>NC_000017.11:80240491-80540901 GCF_000001405.40 Homo sapiens | reverse complement strand
CCAAAAAAAAAAATTTAATATTTATACCTGTGGTCCCAGCTACTTGTGAGGTTGAAGCAGGAATTTGAGCCCAGGAATTTGAGGCTTCAGTGAGCTATGATTGCACCACGGCACTCCAGCCTAGTCAGTAGACCAAGATCCCATCTTAATTTTTAAAAAATGCAGAAATTAAGAAAGAAAGTGGGGGAGGGTGTTGGCAACAACCTGCTCCATGAGTCTCTTACAGTCACTTATTCAAGACTTGAACACAGAGGTGTTTGTAAGACCACATGCCACGAAAGCCTCCTGCTGGTGGTGAACGTCAGCCTGCAGATGTGGGGCTGAAGGGGCTTCCAGGCCCAGCTAGGATCCAAAAAGAGTGGAACAGACCATGCGCAGTAGCTCACACCTGTAATCCCACACTTTGGGAAGCTGAGGTGGGAGGTTTGTTTGAGCCCAAGAGTTTGAGACTAGCCTAGGCAACACCGGGAAACCCTGTCTCGACAAAAAAAAAATAATAATAATTCTTTTTTTTTGAGATGGTGTCTTGCTCTGTTGCCCAGACTGGAGTGCAGTGGCGTGATCTCAGCTCACTGCAAACTCTGCCTCCCAGGTTCAAGTGATTCTCCAGCCTCAGCCTCCAGAGTAGCTGGGATTATAGGCGCCCACCACCACGCCTAGCTAATTTTTGTATTTTTAGTAGAGACAGAGTTTTACCATGTTGCCAGGCTGGTCTTGAACTCTTGATCTCAGGTGATCCACCTGCCTCAGCCTCCCAAAGTGCTGGGATTACAGTCATGAGCCACCACACCTGGCCTCAACAACAAAAAAAATTGTTTAAATTAGCCAGTCATGGTGACATGCGTCTGTAGTACCAACCACTAGGGAGGCTGAGGTGGGAGGATGGCTTGAGCCCAGGAGTTTGAGGCTGCAGTGAGCTGAGATTGCACCACTGCACTCCAGCCTGGGCAATCGAGCAAAACTCTGTCTCAAAAAAAAAAAAAAAAAAAAAAAAAAGCAGAATAACCTGCTTGAACAGAGTGGGGCACCTTGTCCTACCATGTAAAGGTAGACCAGGTGACTCCTTCTTACCCTAAAACTTAGACTGTTCGACAAATGGAATTAAAGATACAGCAAAGTGAGCAAGAGAACAAATATAAAAACCTGAGTGTGGGGGGCAAATATGACAGAAGGCAGAAATGAATGCAGGGAGAAATGCAGGGGGTGGGGGTTGCATAAATGGCTCAGATAAATAGCCTTTACCAGGAAGAACTAAGGTGGCTGGATATTCAGTCTCCGAGCTCAGCATTGACCCACTGCAACTGACCTAATCTTTTCCCAAAACAGAAGACCATCACAGCCGAGGCATTCCATTCACAGGCAGAATGGGCTGCGTTCCATGCGGCAGCATTGCCACTTCTCTGCTAAATCAATCAAGGGCACTGAATGTGTTTTGTCATCAAGAATCAGGAGCAAGGCTGGAGGTCAGGGAACTTGAGAAAACCAGGTGCTTCGCTGAGCTGTTGTTTTCCATGCAGGGAGAACAGCCAGCTCCGGTCCTTTCCAGAAAAATCTATGCTTAACTTAAAGGAAACCAAAATAGACATGAAGAACGTCGCTTTTGTCTGAGCATCATGACTCCGTTTTTAGTAAAACCCGAGCCACTCCCCCCTGCAGGTCAGATGCTTTGTTGACAGTGAAGTGAGAAGAGGAAGGAAAAGGAGGTAACACGGCCACAGCATTGCCTTCAGCTGGGAATGTGAGGCTGCCAGGAGCCCAGCAAGGCTGTCTCCCCCTCTCCACCCGTCTAAAAATATGGTGGTATTTATGCATGTGATTTTCACCTTCTACAGCACACCTTTCTATTTTATTCATTTTTTTATATAATAAGCATGTAGATCAATTAGCAGAAACAAAGTTATTCCCATTTTTAAAAGGGTCCCTGGGTAGCATAGGGACTGTGGTGAAAAGTGCCTCTTACTGAATAAACTTCACCCACTGTCCACATTTCTTCCTTCAGAAGTGAGGATTTTTGCATAGCCCTAGCCTTAAAAAGCCAGCCAAGGAAAACACGGCAAAGACAGAGCCGAGAAGGAGATGCATCAGGGAGGGGACTGCCTGAGAGCCCAACACGGAGCTGGGACCTGCACCCCAGCCTCTCCTTCCCACCCTGGGCTGTTTTGCGAAGGGCAGTGAAGAGCCTCTCTGAGACGCCTGCCATGTGGAGCAAGACAAGGGCAAAGCAGCTGGGAGAGCAGGTGCCCAGGCCCAGTCCCCGCTGGGTGGCCTTCCAGCCTGGGCGCCCTGACCGATGAGTCCGGATGGACTTGGGGAGCCATCTGCAAGGCTTTACGGCATCAGACGCTGCTGTCTACGGCCCTACGGATTCTTTGTGGAGAAGGGATGAAGGTACAGTGTCCGTTGGAGGTCAAACATCCCATTATTGGGAGTCCCTTCCTTCCTCCCCCAGATCCTAAAGGTAGAATCACAAAGATGTGGTCTGTACCCATGGCAGATTTAAAAAGAAAAAAGGGGCCGGGTGCAGTGGCTCATGCCTGTAATCCCAGCACTTTGTGAGGCCGAGGCAGGCGGATCACCTGAGGTGGGGAGTTCGAGACCAGCCTGGCCAACATGACGAAACCCCGTCTCTATGTAAAAAACACAAAAAAATTAGCCGGGTGTGGTGGTGCATGCCTGTAATCCCAGCTGCATGGGAGGCTGGGGCATGAGAATTGCTTATATACAGGAGGTGGAGGCTGCAATGAGCTGAGATTACGCTACTGCACTCCAGCCTAAGCAACAGAGACCCTATCTCAAAAAATAATAAAAAAGAAAAAGAACCCTCCCCCTCCCCCTCCCCCGCTCCCGCTCCCTCTCCCCACGGTCTCCCTCTCCCTCTCTTTCCACGGTCTCCCTCTCATGCCGAGCCGAAGCTGGACTGTACTGCTGCCATCTCGGCTCACTGCAACCTCCCTGCCTGATTCTCCTGCCTCAGCCTGCCGAGTGCCTGCGATTGCAGGCGCGCGCTGCCACGCCTGACTGGTTTTCGTATTTTTTTGGTGGAGACGGGGTTTCGCTGTGTTGGCCAGGCTGGTCTCCAGCTCCTAACCGCGAGTGATCTGCCAGCCTCGGCCTCCCGAGGTGCCGGGATTGCAGACGGAGTCTCGTTCACTCAGTGCTCAATGGTGCCCAGGCTGCAGTGCAGTGGCGTGATCTCGGCTCGCTACAACCTCCACCTCCCAGCCGCCTGCCTTGGCCCCCCAAAGTGCCGAGACTGCAGCCTCTGCCCGGCCGCGACCCCGTCTGGGAGGTGAGGAGTCCCTCCGCCCTGCAGCCACCCCGTCTGAGAAGTGAGGAGCCCCTCCGTCGGGCAGCCACCCCGTCTGGGAAGTGAGGAGCGTCTCTGCCCGGCAGCCACCCCGTCCGGGAGGGAGGTGGGGGGTCAGCCCCCGCCCAGCCAACCGCCCCGTCCGGGAGGAGAGGGGCGCCTCTGCCCGGCCGCCCCTACTGGGAAGTGAGGAGCCCCTCTGCCCGGCCACCACCCCGTCTGGGAGGTGTACCCAACAGCTCATTGAGAACGGGCCATGATGACAATGGCGGCTTTGTGGAATAGAAAAGGGGGAAAGGTGGGGAAAAGATTGAGAAATCAGATGGTTGCCGTGTCTGTGTAGAAAGAAGTAGACATGGGAGACTTTTCATTTTGTTCTGTACTAAGAAAAATTCTTCTGCCTTGGGATCCTGTTGATCTGTGACCTTACCCCCAACCCTGTGCTCTATGAAACATGTGCTGTGTCCACTCAGGGTTAAATGGATTAAGGGCGGTGCAAGATGTGCTTTGTTAAACAGATGCTTGAAGGCAGCATGCTCCTTAAGAGTCATCACCACTCCCTAATCTCAAGTACCCAGGGACACAAACACTGCGGAAGGCCGCAGGGTCCTCTGCCTAGGAAAACCAGAGACCTTTGTTCACTTGTTTATCTGCTGACCTTCCCTCCACTATTGTCCTATGACCCTGCCAAATCCCCCTCTGCAAGAAACACCCAAGAATGATCAATAAAAAAATAAATTAATTAATTAAAAAAAAATTAGCCGGGCGTGGTGGCGGGTGCCTGTAGTCCCAGCTACTTGGGAGGCTGAGGCAGGGAAATGGCATGAACCGGGGAGGCGGAGCTTGCAGTGAGCCGAGATCGAGCCACTGCACTCCAGCCTGGGCGATGGAGTGCGACTCTGTCTCAAAAAAAAAAAAAAAAAAAAAAAAAAAAATCTCATTTCCTGAATGGATGAGGAGAACAACACAGATGGGTGAGCCACAGTGAGAGACGCTATAAGGAAGTTACTAACCAAAACCCATTCGGACAGTGTCCTGTTGACTTCTGAATGTGTCAAGGTCCAGGTAGGAAACAGATGGCCCACACAAATTGGGTAATTTGAGAATTTAATAAAAGAACTTGCATCTCCAAAAAAAAAAAAAAAAGAAAAGAAAAAGAAAAATGGGGCCGGGCGCAGTGGCTCACGCCTGTAATCCCAGCACTTTGGGAGGCCAAGGCGGGTGGATCACGAGGTCAGGAGATCGAGACCATCCTGGCTAACACGGTGAAACCCCGTCTCTACTAAAAATACAAAAAATTAGCTGGGCATGGTGGCGGGCGCCTGTAGTCCCAGCTACTCAGGAGGCTGAAGCAGGAGAATGCCGTGAACCTGGGAGGCGGAGCTTGCACTCCAGCCTGGGCGAAAGAGTAAGACTCTGTCTCAAAAAAAAAAAAAGAAAAAAAAGAAAAATGGGGTGGGGGAGGAAAGTTTATATGATTGAGACTATGTTGAGAAAATTTATTATCCAATATATAATATGCAAACTGGATGGGCACGGTGGCTCACGCCTGTAATCCCAGAACTTTGGGAGGCCAAGGTGAGCAGATCACCTGAGGTCAGGAGTTCCAGACCAGCCTGACCAATATGTTGAAACCCCGTCTCTACTAAAAATACAAAAAGTAGCCAGGCGTGGTGGCATATGCCTGTAATCCCCGCTACTCGGGAGGCTGAGACAGGAGAATCGCTTGAACCCAGGTGGCGGAGGTTGCAGTGAGCTGAGATCATGCCATTGCACTCCAGCCTGGGCAACAAGAGCGAAAACTCCGTCTCAATAATAATAATAATAATAACAATAATAATAATAATATGCAAAATGAATTTTTGTAACCCTTCATTTTAATAATCTATGAAAATACAAAGAATGTGACCAACTGTCTCTTTTTAAACTCCCCACTTGTTATTTTATGTACTATTTACATAACATCAGTGATTCTCAAGCTCTCAGCTGAACAGTAGATCCTGAGGGGACAAAGGTAGGCCAACCATTGCTTCTGCTTTTCATAGGGGAGATTAGAGAAATATGCCTGTAAGTAAAATAGGATAATCCTAACACTTAGTGAGTATTGATGGGGAGCCAAGCCTTTTTCCTGAGAATTAACACTTGTAACCCTCCTAATAACCCCTGGGAAGAGCTTGTGTTCTAGATCCATTGTATCAGCAAGGAAGTTGAGACGCACAAGGATGAAATAACTTTCTGAAGATCTCTCCACTGACCAAGTCTGGGCAAAGATTCCAAGCACAGCTGCCTGATGCTAAGCGCAGACCCTCGCAATGTGTGGCACAGTGCCCAGCATGGGGCAAGAGCACCCATTAGCCTGCAAGTGGCTGCCGGGGGCCCTCCAGCGCCTGCTTGTGCTGGGAGTCACACAGGCCTCAGTTCCAGTTTTCACTCTGTCAATTCCTTGCCCTGAGGCTCTGGGAGAGGAGCTGGACTTACCCCAGCCCCATTTCATCTGTAACATTGGGAAACTAACAGTGTCTATTTCATAAGGATGTTGTAAGTAACACTCATGAGCGGCAGAACAGTTGTGGTCAAAGGTGGACTAGACATAGCACGGTGGTCCCATCAGATTACAATGGAGCTGAAAAATTCCTATCACCTAGTGAGGCTGTAGTGGTCATAATACTGTAGCACAATCACATTTTTGTTCGCTTGTTTGTTTTTGTTTTTGTTTTGAGATGGAATTTCGCTCTTGTTGCCCAGGCTGGAGTGCAGTGGCACAATCTCAGCTTACTGCAACCTCCGCCTCCCAGGTTCATGCAGTTCTCCTGTGTCACCCTCCCGAGTAGCTAGGATTACAGGTGTGTGCCACCACACTCGGCTAATTTTTGTATTTTTAGTAGAGACAGGGTTTCTCCACGTTGGCCAGGCTGGTCTCAAACTCCTGACCTCAAGTGATCTGCCCACCTCGGCCTCCCAAAGTGCTGGGCTTACAGGCATGAGCCACCGCGCCTAGCCCACACCCGACTAATTTTGTAGTGACAGGGTTTCACCATGTTGCCCAGGCTGGTCTCGAACTCCTGAGCTCAAACAATACACCTGCCTCGGACTCCCAAAGTGCTGGGATTACAGGCGTGAGCCACCATGCTCGGCCTGTAACCTGGTTTTTAAAACGCAAAGAAAAAGACCGTAGACACGTGTAGAAATGCTGAGATGTATTTTAAAGACAGGATCTCACTCTGCCCAGACATGTGGACCAAGGGTCACAGGACCAGAAATGGGGAGGCCAGGGACCCACTGGTATTATGATCCCAGAAATACCATTTGACATTTTAAACAGCATCACGTCATACTTTGACCATTTTTATTTTAAATTTTAAAAGTAAAAAGTAATAGATGCTTGTTGGAGGAAATTGGAAAATGTTCCCAAAAATGAAGAAAATAAAAGTTAAGCAGAGGAATCAGTGTTCTGATTTTGTGAATTTCCTTTTTTCCTTTTCTTTTTGCCACGTTTTTAAAAATTATTTGACATTTAAAAAAAATTATTCTGAAACATTTTGAAAATAAAAGATCATCGGTTGGGTGCAGTGGCTCATGCCTGTAATCCCAGCATTTTGGGAGGCCGAGGCGGGCGGATCTCTTGAGGTCAGGAGTTTGAGACCAGCCTGGCCAAGATGGTGAAACCCCATCTCTACTACTATAAAAATCAGCTGGGCGTAGTGGCGCATGCCTGTAATCCCAGCTATTCAGGAGGCAGAGGCAGGAGAAGCGCTTCAACCTGGGAGGCAGAGGTTGCAGTGAGTGGAGATCGTGCCACTGCACTCCAGCCTGGGTGACAGAGTGAGACTGTCTCAAAAATAAATAAATAAATAAATAAATAAATAATGACCGGGTGCGGTGGCTCACGCCTGTAATCCCAGCACTTTGGGAGGCAGAGGCGGGCAGATCACTTGAGGTCAGGAATTCGAGACCAGCCTGGCCAACATGGTGAAACCCCGTCTCTACTAAAAATACAAAACTTAGCCAGGTGTGGTGGTGTGGGCCTGTAATCCCAGCTGCTAGAGAGACTGAGACACGGGAATTGCTTGAACCCCAGAGGCGGAGATTGCAGTGAGCCGAGATCATGCCACTGCACTCCAGCCTGGGTGACAGAGTGAGACTGTGTCTCAATCAATCAATCAATCAATAAAATTCCAGATGCCCCAGTTGCACCCATTTCATCACAATGTTAGGGGATGGCAGCCCAGAGTCAGCCTGGAATCCCAGGTGAGTCCATGCGTAGCAAACTGTGAGACCCACAGCTTCGTCCTGTATTCTCAACCATTGTGTTAATCACATACAGGGAACTTGTTTCCAGCCCACCTGGGCCCTGAAGGAGGTGGTAAGGTGTTTTCTGAAGAGTGAGGTTCAGTCAAGCCTGGGAGAACTCATCCAAGCTGTGTGGGCTCCCCCGAGCTATTGGTCAGGGCTGGGTCCAAAGCTGGGAGGGAGCTGCTCAGAGACAGCTTGTCGGGGACTGGGTTGGTCTCCTCCTAGGTGGCCAAAGGTTCTGCCTTCCCTGAGGCAGCCCTGGTTTTCACTCATTCCTCTGGCATAATTATTAATAGTGTCCTCTTACATTCTCAAAGGTGTTCTGATTTGGATGATAAAACATAGTCACCCTACCTTGTATCCACTCCCATGGGACCCTATACATTGTATTCATTGCACTAATCACTATTCTAATTAAACATTGTTTTAATGTCCCTTTGCCCCGCCAGATAGAAGCTCCACGAAGACAGGGATCATATCTGTCTCATTCTCCCTTTTACCCCCTGCAGAGAGCCAGCGCCTGGTATGCAGTGTGGGCACATAGTATTGTTTTGTTTGAGACGGAGTTTTACTCTGTTGCCCAGGCTGAAGTGCAGTGGCACGATCTTGGCTCACGGCAGCCTCTGCCTCCTGGGTTCAAGCGATTTTTGGCTAATTTTTGTATTTTTAGTAGAGATAGGTTTTCCCCATGTTGGCCAGGCTGGTCTCAAACTCCTGACCTCAAGCGATCTGCCTGCCTCTGCCTCCCAAAGGGCTGGTATTACAGGCTTGAGCCACCATGCCTGGCCCAGTATTGTCAAATGACTCCAATGAGCAGGACCCCAAGGAGCTACTGCTAGAAGCAGAAACAGGAGCAGGGAACACACATTGGCAGGGAGAGTTTGAACAGCTCAGACAGCCCAGAGTGAACACTGGCCCCAAGGCATACTGACGACTCTCTCTGTCCACAGCAATGGGATAAACCCCAGATGGAGGGAGCAGTGGGGCAGGAGGCTGATCTGGGGAGGGCCTAAAGGGACCCCTATGACATCCCAAAAGGAATGGCTGCCCAGAAATATAAAGGACAAAGACTTGGGGTCATGCTGCCCTGAATATTAAAAGAAAAGTGAGTGGCCAGGGGTGGTGGCTCATGCCTGTAATCCCAGCACTTTGGGAGGCCGAGGTGGGCAGATCACCTGAGGTCAGTAGTTCGAGACCAGCCAGACCAACATGGAGTGGAGAAACCCCGTCTTTACTAAAAATACAAAATTAGCCAGTCATGGTGGCACATGCCTGTAATCCCAGCTACTAGGGAGGCTGAGGCAGGAGAATCATTTGAACCTGGGAGGCGGAGGTTGCAGTGAGCCGAGATCGCGCCATTGCACTCTGGCCTGGGCAACAGAGCAAAACTCTGTCTCAAAAAAAAAGGAAAAAAAAAAGAAAAGTGAGTTTGTCTTGTGCCCCGGCTGCTGCCCCCAGTAAATGATGTGGAATATGGAAACATCCTGGCCTGTGAATCTTTGCTTTTCTTTATCTCTGATTTTTCCTTGTATTAGCCAAGCTGTGCTAAGTACTGGAACAGTAACTCCCCAGCATCAATAGAAGGCCATTTTTCACACATACAGTAGTTCAGTAGGTGTTAGGGGGTAACCTTGGGGGCACAGACCCCCGAACGGGAGCACAAGGTTTCCATTGGCCGGGTCTGGCGTTTATGTCACTTCTGGCCACATTCTATTGGCCAGAACTCGATCACATGGCCATAGCTAACTGCAGAGGACACTGGGAAATATAGTCTGACTATGTGGAAATAAAAATAAATGTGGAAAATAATGAGCTACAATATTTCTTCCTAGAAGTGAAAGTAAAAGCCCAAAAAGAGTGTATTAGTTTGTAACCCGGCACGGTGGCTCACACCTATAATCCTAGCACTTTGGAAGGCCCAGGCGAGTGGATCGCCTGAGGTAAGGAGTTCAAGACCAGCCTGGCCAACATGGTGAAACCCTGTCTCTACTAAAAATACAAAAATTAGCCGTACGTAGTGGTGGGAGCCTGTAGTCCCAGCTACTGGGAGGCTGAGGGAGAAGAATCACTTGAACCCGGGAGGCAGAGGTTGCAGTGAGCTGAGATCGTGCCACTGCACTCCAGCCTGGGCAAAAGAGCAAGACTCCGTCTCAAAAAACATAAAAATAGAGTGTCTTAGTTTGCTAGGGCTGCTGTAACAAAGTACCACAAACTGGGTAGCTTAAAGCAACAAGTGTATTGCTCCACGGTTCTGGAGGCCAGAATTCCAACATCAAGATGTCAGCATGGTTCTGCTGCCTCCAGGCTCCCAGGAAGAATCTGTTCGTGCCCCTCTCTCAGCTTCAAGGTGTCCTTAGCAACCTCCTACATGCCTCAGCTTGCGGCTGCATCCCTCCTACCTCTGGCACCATCCTAACAGGGCCTTCCATCTCCCTATGTGTCTCTCCTCTCATAAAGACAGCAGACGGCTGGGTGCAGTGGCTCACACCTGTAATCCCAGCACTTTGGGAGGCCGAAGCAGGCGGATCACTCGAGTTCAGGAGTTTGAGACCAACCTGGCCAACAGGGTGAAACCCTGTCTCTACTGGAAAAAAAAAAATACAAAAATTAGCCAGATGTGCACCTGTAATCCCAGCTACTTGGGAGGCTGAGGCAGGAGAATCACTTGAACCCAGGAGATGGAGGTTGCAGTGAGCTGAGATCGCCCCACTGCCCTCCAACCTAGGCAACAGAGCGAGACTCTGTCTCAGAAAAAATAAATAAATAAAATAAAGACAGCAGACATACCATCTTAACTTTAATTACATCTGCAAAGACCCTATTTCCAAATAAAGTCAAATTCACAGGCACCAGGGTTAGGACTTGGAACTGGATTTCTGGGGGACACAATTCAGCTCATAGCAAATCAAGGTGGGGAACTTATTCTTTTTTGAAACAGAGTCTCACTCTGTCATCCAGGCTGGAGTGCAGTGGCACAATCATGGCTCACTGCAGCCTCTGCCTCCCAGGCTCAAAGGATCCTCCCACCTCAGCCTCCTGAGCATCTGGGACCACAGGCATGCACCACCACATCCAGCAAATATTTTTTGTATTTTTTGTAGGGACAGGGTTTCCCCATGTTGCCCAGGCTGGGCTCAAATGATACTGCCACTGTGGACTTCCAAAGTGCTGGGATTACAGGCGTGAGCCACCATGCCTGGCTGTGAACTTTTTACAGATTCCTGAGACACTCCTACATTCCTTCCGAAAAGATCATTCCAGTTTGCAAACGAACCGGCATGAGGACACCGTGTCGTCCCACCTTCCCCAAACTGACTAGCCATGTTTTGGTTTTCCTCCTTAGCTTTATTTATTTTTTATTTTATTTTATATTTTATTTTATTGAGTCAAGGTCTCACTCTGTAACCCACACTGCAGGACAGTGGCATGATCGCGGCTCACTGCAACTTTCAACTCCTGAGCTCAAGCAATCGTCCCTCCTCTGCCTCCCACGGTGCTGGGATTCCAGGCCTGAACCACCACACCCAGCCTTCCTTAGCTTTATTATCTTGATTTTTGCAAATCTGATAAGTGAGCAGTGGTGTCTCATTTTTGACTGGAAAGTTTAAACAGTGCTTGGGAATCGCATCGCCGGTTACAGCTGAAGGATGATGCCCAGGCAGGACGAAGCGTTTGTCGGGCAATGAGCAGCCGTCGCAGGATGCAACCCAAGCAGGGAGTTAGGAACATTTCACTGGCTGTAGTTTGATGCCTGGGTCCTAGCTCTCTTCTGGCAGAAGACAAATATCAGAAGGCAAAGAGGACAAAATGTTCCGTTTGTCCATCTAAAATGCATGTTTCTAGCAAGGAGGCCTGGATGGCCCTCTGCAGACAGCCCAGCTGCCGCGGTCCATCTTGTCTGGTTTGCTTGTCACAGCGGCAGCTTCGGTCTGATGGCTGCAGAGGAGGAAGGCGGCAGCTGACGCTCAGAATAAGCCATCTCCAGTGCAGCTCCATGAGGCTGGCGGAGGGGGGCGGGCAGGGAGGGGGGGCCGTCACTCACAGAACACTCTGTACTCACCCAGGAGCCCCCACCCCTGGGAAGGTGGCCACCTTATGATATGTGATCTGTTCCAGGCAGAGTCTCTGTCAGCCAGGGAAACGTTTGTAAACATAATTTGTGTTCTCCATTTTTGTTATAGTTTGGGTCCTTATTTCCCCCCCATAACTCACTATTTTCCTCCCATATTTTTCCTTCTGGAGGTTTCAATCAGAGAGACATGTCCAGAGTGTCCTGGAAAGTCTGGAAAGTCCTTGCCTTCCCTCGGAATGTGCTCTCTCATGGCAGCAAACGTCGGCAGGGAGTGCAGCTTGCAATTTCTGAGTTTATGTTTACGATCCTTATTTTTATTACCTTTGAGTGAAAGTGATTGCTATGGTTATCTCCTTCTTGGATATATATATTTTCCTTTCATTTATTTTCAGGATGGTTTGAATTTTTATGCATCTTCCATCCCATGCTCCCAAAAGAGGTGGGAAGAGCAGCCGGGAGGACCGGGGAGCCCCTCCTCTTCCCGCCTCACAGCAGACGGCATCTCTCAGAGCATCCCCCAATCAAGGGACAGTCTCCCTCCTCTGCTCCTGGGGAGTGAGCAAATAATCCCCTCCACCTCCACACTCCCGAGTAAGCCTGAGGGGCCTTCCAGGGAGCTTCGGAGAACCCCACCTATAACCCAATCAGGGAGGTTGGTAGAATGAAACCGAAAAGGAAGGAAAAAAGCATGTACCTGCCAAGCTGGTTTCCGCTGGGTTAAAGGCCTCTGTGAAGGCATCATTTACCTAAAATCATCCAACATTGACACTGTCACCAAGGTGGCAGTCCCTGAATCTTGGGCCCGAGTCTCCTGCTCAAGAGGGTCACCTGTGACTCCCTCCTCTCTCAGGCCTTCCAATACAGCCACAGCCACCCATATAATTGCCCCCAAGTGCTTGGCTAGGTCTCAATAGTGACAGGGTGCAGCTGGAAGATCGACGTCTCAGGAGCTGATTTACTTCTCGAAGAACCGAGTTGGACCTTACCACCACTCATTTTGGCCCTGACCCCATCCTGTCTTTGGGCCTGTGGAGCAGAGTGGTCAAGCCATTCCTACTGCAGGGCAGCTGGAGTGGGGCCTTTAGAATGAATCTGAGCCAGATTCCAGCAAAGTTCAACACACTCAAGCTCTGCACCCTCAGGTAAGTCACTACCCTTTCTCTCTGAGCCTCAGTTTTCTCAACTGTAGAATGGGGAAAAGATTACCCATATGTTGATTTATTTTTGTTGTTGTTGTTTTTTGAGATGGAGTCTCACTCTGTCGCAGTGGCATGATCTTGGCTCACTACAACCTCTGCCTCCTGGGTTCAAGCTATTCTCCTGCCTCAGCCTCCCGAGTAGCTGCGATTACAAGTGCCTGCCACTACACCTATTTTTTTTTTTTTTTTGTATTTTTAGTAGAGACGGGGTTTTACCATGTTGGTCAGGCTGATCTCGAACTCCTGACCTCAAGTGATCCATCCACCTCGGCCTCCCAAAGTGCTGGGATTACAGGTATGAGCCACTGTGCCCAGGCAATTTGTGAGGATGTAATGATAGAGTGTATAGCGGGAACTTTGCAAAGTGGGTCTCTCAAAGCTTAAATCAGAGGAGGAACCCCAAGGGTTCGAAAACGTCCAATGACCCCATCTCATGCAGGATGATTCCAGAGTGTTTAACATCACCCCTAAGCCCTACAGGATCCGACCCTGTTACCTCCCTGACGCTGCTGAACTCCAGGCGTGCTGACCCGTGCTCTCCCTGGGCCACCCCAAGCCCGGCGCTTGCCGTTCCCAACGCCAGCAACACTTGCTTGTTCCCTCACTTCCTTGAGGTCTCTAACGTCGTCACTCAGAGAAGTTTTCTATGGCTGCTCCCAAAAGAGCCCCCTCAGCCTCTCTCTGTGCCCTCCCCCTGTCTGATCTCTCTCCACTGCGCCGCCACCGCCCATCATAGCCCAGCCATTGTTTATCGTCTGCTTCTCCTCCGCAGGAGAGGCCAGTGAGAGCGAGGTCTGCCTGGGCCTGCTACGGCCCTGGTGCCCATCAGAGTCAATGCTCAGGGATGAATCAGTGGAGGGGAATGAATTTGCTGGATGAATCAGTGAAGGGGAATCATGTGGCCGACACACCTAGAGGATCCCCACAAAGTGAAGAAGCCTCCAGAGAAGGCTGAGCCCAGGCATTTGGGAGGCACGTGTCCCTCACACAGGATCAAGGGTCCACAAGCAAGACATGGCCTCTGTCCTGAGGGGAGAAGGATGATGGGCCGTCAACCACCGTGCACTGCAACAGGGCTAAGGGCCCAGGATGGGACACTGCATCCAAATTAGGCGGTTGGGAAGGCTTCGTGGGGAAGCAACATTTTTCCTCCATTATCCACATTCGAGAAAGAAGGCACCGTTTGCACTGAGCCCTGAGGTGGGAAAGAGAGGCCCCTGGAGGATGCAGAAGTGCAGGTGACTGCCTGGCGGGGGGCAGGGGCTGAGGTGCAGTCAGAGAGTCAATGGGCTGAGCAGGTGCGGGGGGGGAAGTGACAGAGCCGACTAAGCCGAGTGACCAGGCCCCGGGGAGCTTCCCGGCCACTTCTCTGGTGCATGACAATGAGATTGGGCGTGCCAGGGGCAAGGAGACCTCGGGGTTGGCTCCAACTCAGAGCAGAGAAGGACAGAGGCAGTGCGCCACCATCTTCCTCGCCCCCATCTGCACCTTCCACTGTTGCCAACGGCAGCCTGGGAATCTGCAGAGGTAATCCAGGTAAATTGTAATAGTGGCCCAAACCTGGGCATGAGGGGGGAAGGGCAGAGAGGGAGGGATCTGGAACTATTTGGGAAACAGATGATAAGGACTCAGAGGCTGACTGGCTGCAGACGGGGAAGGGGGGACCTTGGAGAGCAGTCCCGTATTCCCGACTCATCCGGGCCCAGGGCAGGAGGGCCACGGGGTGTCTGAGCTGTGAGCTGGAGCCAGGCTCTGGGGGAACTCCCACCCCTGCCTCTCTGCGCTCCTGGCCACGCACAGGCGCCGTTGTTGGATTTGGGAACGGTGGGAGATACAGCTGAAGGAAATGTGGGGCCGGATGACAAAACGTGGCAGAGCTTGACGGGGTGATTCTTTAAGACGGCAGCTTGGGTGTGTCCAAGGAAGCACCTGGCACAGTCACTGGCTCTCCTCTGGCAGAGGGACTTCAGGGCAGGTGATATAAAACCAAGTTGGCCAATGGGGAGAGATGAGGACCTTCCCTGACGACCACCTGCATCTCAAGCTTGTGGGAAGCCACTTGGAGAAATAAGGCTGCACAAATGTAATTTGGAGCTGGGACTGGAGTGCCTGTGGGTACAAGTGGGGCAGGGTGGGGGGCTTTGGGCAACTGCTGTTGGGTGAGTTTTGATGGTTGAGTGACATGCATGTGAGATGGCCATGGTGACCTCTGCACAGTCATAGCTACTTACATAGCCGGCACCACTGCCATGGTTTGCATGATGGTGTCCCCTCAAAAATTCATATGTTGACATTTACTCACCATTGTAATGGGATTAAGAGGTGACACCGTAAGAGGTGATGAGGTCACGAGGGTGGAGACTTCACGGATGGAATTAGGGTCCCTATCAAAGGGCCAGAGGGAGTGGGTCCACCATGTGAGGCCTCAGCATTCGCCCCCTCCCAAAGATGTAGCCACTAGACCATGTTGGAAGAGAACACGGGCCTTTGCCAGGGGGGCTGGGAGTCCGAAATCCGGGGCTCAGCAGGTTCGCTGTCTGGAGAGGGTCCAGCCTGGCTTCCAAGATGGCACTTGGAGCACTGCCTCCTCCTGGTGGGGGGGACGCTGTGTCCTCACGTGGTGGAGGGCAGAAAGGCAAGAGGGACAAACTCCCTTCACCAAAGCTCTTTTATTAGTAGTAGTATTTTTATGGTAGGGTCTCGTTCTGTTTCCCAGGCTGGAGTGCAGTGGTACAATCACAGCTCACCATGGCCTTGACCTCCTGTACTCAAGTGATCCTCCCGCCTCAGCCTCCCAAATAGCTGGGACTAAAGTCATGTGACACCACTCCCAGTTTTTTTTTTTTTAGAGGCAGGGTCTCACTATGTTGCCCAGGCTGGTCTTGAACTCTTGGGCTCAAGTGATCCACTCACCTCGGCCTCCCATAGTACTGGATTGCAGGCGTGAGCCACTGTATCCAGCCTCAAAGCCCTTTTATAAGGGCACTAATCCCTTTATGGAGGGAGGCGTTCTCTTGACTTAATCACCTCTTAAGGCAATTAGGACACAGGGACATGAAGTTTCAACACAGAATTTTGGAGAGGACACACTCAAACCACAGCACACATGCACCAGACTTTCCTTCCTTTGTAAGTTAAGGCTGAATAATGTTAGGGGCAGATGATTCTTGGCTGTGAGTCCATCTGCTGTAGGCGTCGAGCAGCGTCCCTGGCCTCTATCTACCAGATGCTACTGTACCTCCCTCCTCCCAATTGTGACAATTGAAAAGGCCTCTAGACTTTGCCAAATGTCATCTGGGGGCCAAAGTCTTCCCTGATCTGGGAATCACTCTTCTGTGCACACCCACCTCTGAAGACTTCAGTCTCTCTGCATCTACCTGCGTGCCCCAAAGAATAGCCGCAGCTCGGCAAAGAGGCAAGGGCTGAGGTGGCTCAGGAATGTGTCTCCAGCGTCTGGCTGGCTGCAGCCTAGATCCCAAATCCAATCAGAAAGTTACAGCCACACACATCTCATATCAGCACTGCTTAATAGCATTAGGGCAGATTTTCCCATAGCCATTTTTAATATTAAAAAAACAACCCTCTCTTCTCAGAGCCACGTTAAGCATATGGCAAGCTGTGCACTGGCTGTGTGGCCTCCTGCAAGCTCAGCGCCTGCCTCCTGTTTTCTTGCATCAGGGAAGACACAAATCCTGCTTAGAGTCAAACCTCAGGAGATGTGTGAAGCATGTAAAAGTTAAAGATAAACAGGCCTGCTTTGCCCTTGGACACATAAGCTGGATTTTCTGCAGTAATCCAGGCCCTTCACCAAAAAAGCCAAGAGCAAGAAAACCTTCCAGCACAATCCGTAACAACACTCCCCCCGCCGTCCCCCCCACCCGGCCCCAAAACAGCGAGTCTGGTCTGGCAGTCGAGGCAGCTGACAGCCACAACTCGGGCAGAGTTTCAGCGAGTGCACCCTCCTCCCAGACGCTGCCAGCACAGCTCGGTTTTGATCCACAAACATTCCAAGTTTCAACTCAAGCTCCATATAGCTCTGCTAATACCCATCAGCCCTCAGACAAAATCTTTTATTTCCTAGTAAGCCTGGAATAAAAAAGATGAATTCGCAGGGGATTTAGGAGGGAAACAAAGACACCCGATCCCCTCAGGATGATCTTGACAGAGAATAAATTATGTTTGCTCAAGTATGGTTCATCAGGCATTGATTAAGAGTCATAGCATTTTGGAATTGGAATCAGAAAACTTTATAGTGGGGAAAAAAGAACTCTCCCTTCCAGGGCCGAGGAGCAGTAGTCGTCCATCTTCTTTTGGAACATTCCAGAAAGGTGGCAGCTTTGCCCCAATTCTCACCACCCCTCCCTGTGTCCCTGCCCTCTGTCATGTGACTTGCAGCTCCTCCCACATAGGCAGAATCTGCTTCCCTGACCCTGGACGTCCAGTGTGGCCTTGAGGCTAGCTTTGGCCAGCAAGACAGGCAGAGCAAAGCCAGGGGCTTGCAGACGTGCGTGCGTGGGTGGGCTTGCCTTCTGTTGCCTCTGCCGTCACCAGGACAAGAAGCTGCCTCAGTAAGCCGAGCGAGCCCAGGAGGGTGGGAGACCCAGCCCAATCTGTGGTGTGAGGCAGAGCCATGCCAGCCACAGGCCCAGGAAATCAGTGATGCTGAGCTAGCCCCCGAGCTTGGGACTGGTTTGGCATTCATCATTATTGTGCCAATAACTGGCCAATACAGAAACTTGCTAAGCCCTGAGTGCTAGTGCAGCCCCTGAGGTCCTGTTTGTTACCAGGCATTAGCTGACCCATGCATATGAGCAGTGCTCTGTATCACAGCAGCCCAGTCCCTTTGCCACATCATGCATTGCCAGACAGTGACCAGCATTTGCCTCTTTCCCGCCAGGCTTGGCTGATCCCGACCTTGGAAGCAATCCTGAATATGGGCCAGCAAGTCTAGGTTCGGCTGCCTGACAGCTGTTTCTTGACAGCTCTCAGGTTCCCCAAATATCCCTACCTCTTTGGAATGCTGGGGAGACCCCAGTTACGGAGAAAACATAGTTCTGCCCAAGGCAGGTGGTATCATGGGAAGGCAGCGTCTCCTACAGATATCCCTGCTGCTGCCCACCTCATCCCCACTCCCTACTCCCTCCCCTGCACCTCCCCCAGGCTCCGGACCTCCTCCAGCCCACCACCCCCCACTCTGCTTTTCCCTCCAAGGCTGGCAGCTCCAGCAGCCCCACCCTCCACACCTGTCCCCTTCTTGGTTCATCACCAAGTGACTTGTCCTGAACAAATATTTGCACACCCATGTTCCTGGCATCTTTATACACAACCAAAAGGCAGAAGCAACCCAAGTGTTCATTGCTAGGTGAACGGATACGCAAAACTTGGTGTCTCCATACAATGGAACCTTATTTAGCCTCGAAAAGCAGTGAAACACTGACACAGGCTACAACACAGAGGAGCCTTGAGGACATTATGCTAAGCGAAAGAAGCCAAATAAAAAAGAACAAATGCTGAGCTGGGTGCGGTGGCTCACGCCTGTAATCCCAGCACTTTGGGAGGCAAGGCAGGTGGATCACCTGAGATCAGGAGTTTGAGACCAGCCTGGCCAATATGGTGAAACCCTGTCTCTACTAAACACCCAAAAATTAGCCGGGTGTGGTGGCGGGCGCCTGTAATCCTAGCAACTCTGAAGGCTGAGGCAGGAGAATCGCTTGAACCTGGGAGGCAGAGGTTGCAGTGAGCCGAGATCAAGCCACTACACTCTAAGCCTGGACGATAGAGCAAGACTCCGTCTCAAAGAAAAAAAAATCCTGTCAACTTCCACTCGCATGAAGCCCCTAACACAGTCAGACTTGCAGAGACAGAAAGTGGAATGGAAACTGCCAGGGCCTGGGGGCGGTGGGTGGGGTGGAGAGTTTATGTTTCATGGGGACAGTTTCTGTTTGAGAAGATGAAAATGCTCTGGAGAAGGATGGCGGTGAAGGCTGCACAATCATGTGAATGAGCCAAATGCCCCGGAACTGTGCACAAAAGTGAGTACAAGGGTACATTTTATGTTATTTGTATGTTTCTACAATTTTTTTTTTTTTAGATGGAGTTTCGCTTTTTTGCCCAGGCTGGAGTGCAGTGGTGCGATCTTGGCTCACTACAACCTCCGCCTTTTGGTTTCAAGCAATTCTCTTGCCTCAGCCTCCCGAGTAGCTGGGATTACAGGCGCCCGCCACCACACCCAGCTAATTTTTGTATTTTTAGTAGAGACGGGGTTTCACCATGTTGGCCAGGCTGGTCTCGAACTCCTGACCTCTTGATCCACCAACCTTGGCCTCCCAAAGTGCTGGGATTACAGGCATGAGCCACCGCACCCGGCCCTTACCACACTTTTTTTTTTTTTTAAAGTGACCTGTCCTATATCCCAACTCCTTGAGGCCCAGCTCCCAGCTGGCTGTTGGCTACCAAAGCAATCTGGGAGTCTCAGGTGTGCGTAGGGAAAGGCCTCCCTGCCTGCTGCTTCTGCCTCCCCTGGTTTCAGCAGGAACCGCCAGCATCCTCGCTGCTATAACCCAAATGAAGCGATTGCTAATGGTGACCACCCAGGCGTGGGGGCAGGCCATTCGGGAGATACTGGGGACAGCAAGAGAGTCCCCTGGTGCCCCCTGCTCCATGCGGAGGCAGCAGCCCACTCTGCTTGTGGCAAATCTGCATGGGGCATGCCAATCTTGCATATTCAAGGGAAGGGAGGACTCTGGCTGGCACCCAGCTGGAAGATTGAAATGTGAGCAGACAGGATTTGTTTGGATGAAGAAAGTAGGAACAACAGGGGAAAAGTCAAACGAGCAAAGACAGTGGAAAAAGATCAGAGACGGTGGAGCCAGAGGGCAGGCAGGCTGGCTGGGAAGGCGGCTTTCCCGGCCCCACCTCGCCCCACTTCCTGTCCAAGCTCGCAAGGGAGGACAGGGAGACCTCTGCTTTGGAGAGGTCCTGGCTTTGTAGTCAGCAGGCCTGGGTTCATGTTCCAGCTCTGCTGTTCTCTGGCTGTGTGACCTTGAGCAGGTTACCCAACCTCTCTGAGCCTCAATGTCCTCATCTATGAAATGAGAATAATAACAGGACCTCTTCCTGGTAGGGCTTTGTGAAGGGTCATAGCACAGAGTGCACATAAAAGGCTTAGCTGGTGTCCACCACACAGCAAATGCTTGATTCCTGTTTAGTCGTTTTGCCAGGCAGCTTCTGACAGGCCCCAGTGGTCCCATTCCTGCTGCTCATACCTTGAGCGTGGGCTGGACCTAGTGGCTTGCTTCTAGGAAGAGACTGCAGCAAAGCTGATGGGATGCCATTTCCATGGCTAAGTTACGGATGGCTATGACTTCCATCCTGCTGTCACTCTCCGCCTTACTGGTCCCCTCTCTTTTGGCCCTCCTGATTGCGTGCTCTGACAACACAAGCTGCCGTGTTGTGTGATGCTCTACGGGGCAGCCTCCATGGCAAGGAACCCAGGGAGGCTTCGGTCCAGCGGCCTGCAAGGAACTGAAACCCACCAGCAGCCGTGTGAATGAGCTTGAAAGAGGGTCCTTCCCAGAGGGGCCTTGAGATGACCACGGCCTTGGGGGGACACGGAGCAGAGGGACCAGCTCTCCCAGCCAGATTCCTGACCTGCCAAATCTGTGCCATAATAACCAAAGTTGTTTCAAGTCACTAAGTTTGGGAGTAATTTGCTACTGAGCCAGAAATAATGAGTACAATCATTTGGTGTTTCTAACCATGACTGGACTCCTTCTTTCTCTCCCTGGGAACTGCATCCTCCAATTATCCCCCAAGCCTGCGCTGCAGCCTCCTCAGCCTCACTCTCTGCAATAATCTCACATTCTGCATCCACGCCACACACCCTCAGACTCTCACATCCTTACGCAACAAAACACTCGCTCACATTATCTCTACATTGTGGGCTCACTTATTCTCTATTATTTAACCAGAAGTAGCCCCAAAAGCATGCACTGAGCTTCTCCACCCGGCTGCAAACATCTCCTGAGAACATCAGCTCCCTTGGTTACAATTCTATATTCACCGTCAGAGACACAGCTCAGCATCTCCCTGACTGCGAAAATGTAAGGATCAATCCCTCTGCTCTGTGTGTTGTCTTATGTATCCAGGAATCACATGTCACATACGCACAATCTCAATTCTGGACTACAGTTCAGTCTCCAGGGAAGAGACTAGGTTTATTGACCTCTAGGGTCTAACAACTAGGCTATGGTGGGCCACTGGGCCAGGTAGAGAAGAAGGAAGGCAGGCCGGGAAATAGCCCTGGGCCTGAGTTAAAGTCCAGCTCTTCTCTGGCAAGCTGGGCCACGTTGGGATACTTCCTGCCCCTTCAGTGAACCTCAGTCATAGCTCCTTAAGGAGTTGGCTGTAAGAGGCTTACATGTGGTAACATACATGAAAGGCTCTTCTTTCCTGGCTCGGCTCCAGTGGGGATGACCTACTGCAGGCCAGAGGCCCTGGCTGCAGATCTGGGAACCTACCTCCTACTAGGAAGAAGCACATTGCCATCATTCAGTCTCTTGTGAGTTGGGTTATTATGAGTCTGTTTGCCAGAGTCTGAGCTCTAAAAGGGATGAGTGACTGGATTGGGAAGGCAGAGAGCTGTCGTACTATGTGGACCCTCCTCCCAGCCGCAGGGAACTGCCAAGTCCCATTCTTCATGACATCCTTCCTGTGTTGACACAATGTTCTCCCCTCTCTTTAAAATAACAACCTTTACTTGACCCTGCTGCCCAAGAACTTTCCTCTAAGATTCTGCCAGGCTATGCAGAGGGCAGACGTGAATGCAGGCTATAAATCAGGAGCCCTCGTGACTCTTAGATCCATTAATCCATCAAGAGAAGATTTGCTACCTCTTAGTGTTGAGGGAGAGACCAGAAATCCTCTCACAGGATTGACTAAAGGCTCAGGCAGTACATTTGATACAACTTACGACCCAGCACTTAGTGTGGTGACCCTCAGGGGCTTATGGGACACCAGTATTCTTCTCTGTGCCTTACTGCTTGCAGCTGCACCCACACCCCAAATCCAACGAAAGGAATCTGCTTCCTGCTTTGCCTGTCCTCAGACTGTATTTGGGTAAGGTAATAATATTGAGTTGTTAAGGAGAAAATGAGCCACTGCCATAATCTCCAGGATCCAAACATTCCAGACTGGGAGTTATCTGAAAGCTAGGGCCTCCTTCGTCCTCCAGCATATAGCCCTGGGACTGGTTAATAGGGACCCACCCAACACATATATGGAGGATGGATGGTTGGATGAATGTGGATGGTGGATGAGTGGGTGAATGGATAGATGGATGGGTGGATGGATGGATGAGTAGATGGATGGTTTAATGGGTGGATAAATGGTTGAATGGGTGGGTGGATGGATGGGTGGGTAGGTGGATGGATGGATGGATGGATGGATGGATGGATGGATGGATGGATGGATAGATGAGTGGATGGATGGGTGGGTGGATGGGTGGATAGATGAATGGTTGAATGGATGAATGGGTGGGTAGATGGATGTATGGGTGGATGGATGGATGGATGGGTGAACGTGTGGAAGGGTGGATGGGTGGATGGATGGGTGGATGGGTGGGTGGGTAGATGGATGGATGCATGGATGGATGCAAAGATAAATGAATAAATGAATTTCTGGACAAGGAACAGATTTTCTTTCCCAAAATTCACCACTCAATACCCTTGTAATTTCCCTTATTTGTGAGATGGGGTGAGAGTAGGTTTTTTTCCTACCCACTCCCTAAGGTTGTTGTAAGAATAAAAGTAGATGATACAAGTAAAAGGGCTTTGGCTACCTATATAGGATTATACCAATGAAAGGAAGTTTGGCTCAAAAGAAAATGTTTTCTTCAGTCTAACTTGAGAAATGCTTCTAGGAGAACTCATGGACTCAAGTCATTACCTAAGGAATCCTCTTGCGGGACAGCATTTTCTGGGTTCTTTAGAGGCAGAATTCAGAACAGTGGAGGCTGCGTCATATGAGCCATTTCACTTTGGACAAGAGGACCACCTTATGGGCAGCCCCCTCCCTGGGAGCTATGCCTGGTCCCTCCTACACATGGTCTACAGGTCTAGGCCTATCCCTCCTACAAGTTTGTGAGCTTGTCAAGGGCATGTGCTGTGTTGCAGACCTAAAATCTACCTCTTGCTCAGTGAAAGTGAGTCACTAATAGGCACTCAAAGCCTGCTGCAGTGATTTCAGTAAAACAAGTCCAGGTGCAGTGGCTCATGCCTATAATCCCAGCACTTTGGGAGGTCAAGGCAGATACATCACCTGAGGTCAGGAGTTCGAGACCAGCCTGGATAACATGGTGAAACCCCGTCTCTACTACAAATACAAAAATTAGCCAGGCGTGGTGGCAGGCACCTGTAATCTCGGCTACCTGGGAGGCTGAGGCAGGAGAATGGCTTGAACCTGGGAGGCAAAGATTGCAGTGAGCCGAGATCGTGCCACGGCACATCAGCCTGGGTGACCGAGCGAGACTCTGTCTCAAAACAAAACAAACAAACAAAAAACCAAATCATAACATTAAAAAAGAGTTTGTTATGAACACAGAACTTTACAAATAGACAACAATGCAGAAATTAACAGAATGAAGCATTGAGTACGAACTGTGTCTTTGCACATCTTTCAATTAAGAGACTGATATTTGAAGGGGTATGCTCCCCATTCCAGCCGTATTTTTAAGATGGACGATGAGTTTGCATGATTGCAAGGGGGCAGCAGAGAAGAGAGGGGAGGCACAAGGTGGGCTGTGACCTGCTTCTGTATGTGAGATAATTTATACAGAGAGCCAGATGCAGTGGTGGACAGATGAACATGCTCAGTCCATAGCAGATGATTATGGTGATGGGGTTTGGGGTGCAGCCTCATCACTTTGTGGTACCTGAAGCGTGCCTCTTTGGTCCTTGCACCCCTCTTTCCTCTTTTACTTTTCCCTTTCTGATTGTGCCTCCTCTCTGCTTTGGATGGGGGCTGGGAGGAGGTGTGGGTCCAGGTCAGAGCTGGCAGAAAGAGCAGGAATCCAGGCTCAGATGCCCTCTGCCCCTCTTTCCTTCCCGCTCTCAGCACCGTCCAGCCAGTCCACAACTGCCGGTGATATGAGACCAGGTGTTTGCTCTCTCAGGCACCCAAAGGGATGGAGAGCCATCCTGGGCTGGGGAAGGGGCTCTGGACCAGCAGCCAGGCAGGACCACAGAGGGAAGGGGCTGCAGCTGTCACCAGCACGCATGGGCTTGTCCTCAGAGCACCTCCCAGCGTGGCAGCAGGCCACCTGCTGCAGGGCTCATTGGGGGACAGAGTGAGGGAACACAGTGGCAGTTTTTATGGATGACAGCTCTATGAAAAGGGCATAGCATTTACTTTCGCAAATTTGAGACTGGGGATTGGTGAACTGACCAAAGTCGGTAAATATCAAGGGTTAAAAAACAGGTCCCAGAGTTATCCACCCTGATGCGGAGTGGCCTGCGTCACCCTCCTGAAAGGACAGGCGCCAGCAGTCAGGAGGGACTGGCTGTATTCAAATTCCTAATATCACAGTTTCACACTTCGGGAATGAAGTGAGACAGTGCCTGGGAGCTGGACCCCAAATGATCTCGAATTATTACAGAAATCTGTGATGTCTGGGCCGCTTTCCAAACCTGCCATTGTGGCCATTCCTCAGAGGAGGCCTGGCTGGGTGCTGGGGCCTGACCGTCAGAGACTCAGGACACAGGGGAGAGCGGGACATCCATGAGGCCTGTGGTGATTCAGGACCCACCTCCAGCTCTGGGGAATGACTCCAGGTGCGCACCACTACGCCCAGCTAATTTTTAGTAGAGACAGGGTTTCGCCATGTTGGCCAGGCTGGTCTTGAACTCTTTTTTTTTTTTTTTTTTTTTTTTGAGACGGAGTCTTGCTCTGTCACCCAGGCTGGAGTGCAGTGGCATGATCTCAGCTCACTGCAACCTTCACCCCTCCAGGTTTAAGCAATTCTCTGCCTCAGCCTCCAGAGTAGCTGGGATTACAGGCGTGTGCCACCATGCCTGGCTAATTTTTTTGTATTTTTAGTAGAGATGGGGTTTTGCCATCTTGGCCAGACTGGTCTTGAACTCCTGACCTCGTGATCTGCCTGCCTCGGCCTCCCAAAGTGCTGGGATTACAGGCGTGAGCTGCCGTGCCTGGCCAGAACTCTTTTCTATGTACTCCTTCTTCAGGCATTTTCTCATCTCCCAATCAAGATGGTTACAATGACCAAGAAATTTCAGAATGCTGTGATTTGTGTGACATTCCTTAAGCAAGTGAATCAACGTGCTGCATTTCTCAGTGTGCAAGCGTGGAGGCAAGTCAGGACAGGATGCAGCTTCAGGAGATGATGATGGGTCACAGCAGTGCAGCCCAACCAGCGGCCACACCGGGAGGGCCAAAGCAGAAGTCACCAACGAAGACGCCCGACCTGAAGGCCGGCTGCCAGGGAGCCGAGAACCGAACCGCTCGGCAGGCGGCAAACGCCGGGGACACCTTCCCCCGCGGTCCCGGCTCGCGGGTTTTCTTCATTTCTGTTAGTTATAACAACCTATACTGAAATATAATTGCCAATATCATTTTTGAGATGTGCTCACCTGGCAATATTATCACAAATTCCACGGCCTCCAAATTTTGCAGTTTCTACAGGGGCCCCCGGCTTTCGTGCCATGGTTTTGATAGTTAGACGTTTACTCTTCATGCCAGCGGCTTCTAGTCTTCTTGGAATTTCTTCTGAGAGACTCAGAAGAAAAGTTTCTGCCTCTTTTGGCTATGGAAAGACAAACGTGGAGAAACTTCCATTCCATTTTCCTATATACCTAATACTTGTTCTCAAGTATTTTAACTTTGAATATTAAACATGTCGGTTACTAACTATCCTGCTTAGCATCTATTAAAAAGAAACATTCGATATTCCCTCAACTATTAAATATAAATACCTACCTTCCCAACAAAGTGAAAATAATGAGTACTTTAAAAGATATTTTTGGCTGGGCGTGGTGGCTCACACCTGTAATCCCAGCACTTTGGGAGGCCGAGGTGGGCGGATCACCTGAGGTCAGGAGTTCAAGACCGGCCTGGCCAACATGGTGAAATCCAGTCTCTACAAAAACACAAAAAGTAGCCGGGCATGATGGTGGGTGCCTGTAATCCCAGCTACTCGGGAGGCTGAGGTGGGAGAATCCCTTGAACCCAGGAGGTAGAGGTTGCAGTGGGCCAAGATCATGCCATTGCACTCCTGTCTAGGTGACAGAGACTCTGTCTCAATAAAATATATATTTTTTCCCTTCTTTCTTTTGTATGCTATCATTGACTTGTTGAAATTCTTTTGTAATTATGTTCTTAATAAGTTCTGCTAAGAAAATGTACGTTCCAGGGCCGGGCATAGTGGCTCACACCTGTAATCCCAGCACTTTGGGAGGCCGAGACAGGCGGATCATGAGGTCAAGAGATTGAGACCATCCTGGCCAACATAGTGAAACCCCATGTCTACTAAAAATACAAAAATTAGCTGGGTGTGGTGGCCTGTACCTGTAGTCCCAGCTACTTGGGAGGCTGAGGCAGAAGAATCGCTTGAACCCAGGAGGCAGAGGTTGCGGTGAGCCGAGATCATGCTACTGCACTCCAGCCTGGTGACAGAGTGAGACTCCGTCTCAAAAAAAAAAAAAAAAAAGAAAGAAAGAAAAAAAGGAAATGTACATTCCAACACTGTGAAAAAGCCAAACAAAACAAGAAAGGCCTTCAAGAGGAAAGACTGCGGTTCCTGGGAGAGGAGGGAACCTGCCTCCAGTCTAGGAACAGCAACATCAACTCCCGCGGGTGTGTCCAGGCTGCAGCCTGCCCTGCAGACTCCGGGTTTACAGCCCCAACAAGTGCATGAACCCATTCCTGACAATCCATCCCTGTGTGTGTTACATCCTGGTGGTTCGGCCTCTCTGGGAACCCTGACTGATGCGACTTTCCTGCCCCACGTGCCACCAGGACACCTGGGGAGCCACTGCACAGCCTGGGCCAGTCCCACACAGGTGCCTCGCTTTCCGCTTCTCAAATGAAGGGACAGGATGGAAGGCGACCCTAGTGAAAATTCTGGGCTTTGACATTCAAAGTTAACCCCACAAGGCGGCACGTGAGACAGCGCCTGAGGTGGGGAGATGTCTGGTCTGGGCTCAGAGTCATCCACCCCATCCCCCTCAAAGCTGGCCTGTGAGCCCGTCCACTTGCCCCAGGCCTCCCAGCATCAGCAGCCCCTTGGCTAATGGCCCTGGCCCGTAGCTGTTCTCTCTATGACTCCCAGATACTCCCAGGCTCAGATCTCTTGTTAATCTGAATCGTTAACTGACTCGTTCAGGGCAAAAACAAGAAAATCTATACTGCAGCAAAGATCCCAGGGTGGATTTTTGGCCTGTATTTTCTAGTCAAATTGTCCTGAAAGTTGGATTTGTTCTGAAACCTCAGGGCATGACCTTGCTAAGTGCAGGTTGGGAGGGCGCAGGACAGTGCGCAGGCGAGGACGGTGCGTAGGCGAGGACGGTGCGCAGGCGAGGACGGTGTGCAAGTGAGGACAGTGCTGCTGAGGAGCGGGGGTGTTTTGGATTCTTCCTGGGAGATGTCAGGCCCTGAGGCTGACCTTGAGCTGCTTTTGCTGGACCTGGGTCAGGAGCCCCGCTGGCAGAGCTTTCCAGACGGGCCTGTGTGTTTGCCACGCCCGGCTCTCCCGGGTGGCTCCAACCTTGACTGCCAGAGAAAGTTAATGTTTTTAATTAAATAAAGTCTATTGGGTTTTTTTCCATTGTAAGTGCCATACTCACTTATTCTTGCTGCAAAAACCAATTTGGCGCCATGCTAGGTGCTGGGGCACGAGGGTGACATCAGGGTGACACCAGGATGACACCAAGGTGACTTAGTCCCTGACCACAGTAATTTACAGTTGGGTTGCTGCTCTTGACAGAAAACTGAATTTTAAGAAGACTAGAAAGGGCCCAGGCGCGGTGGCTCACACCTGTAATCTCAGCACTTTGGGAGGCTGAGGTGGGCAAATCACCTGAGCTCAAGACCAGTCTGGCCAACGTGGTGAAACCCTGTCTCTATTTTTTTTTTTGAGACAGAGTCTCGCTCTGTCGCCCAGGCTGGAGTGCAGTGGTGTGATCTCGGCTCACTACAACCTCTGCCTCCCAGGTTCAAGCAATTCTCCTGCCTCAGCCTCCTGAGCACCTGGGATTACAGGCACCCACCACCATGCCCGGCTAATTTGTGTATTTTTAGTAGAGACAGGGTTTCACCATGTTGGCCAGGCTGGTCTCAAACTCCTGACCTCAGGCAATACACCTGCCTCAGCCTCCCAGAGTGCTGGGATTACAGGCGTGAGCCACTGAGCCCAGCCACCTGTCTCTATGCAGGGCAACGGCGGCATGGCTGCACCCGGCCCCTCAAATGGTGAGAAAATAGAGTGACCTGGATCCCCCGTACAGAGGTGCGAATCGAGGAAGTTGCCTGGGCTCCCTTGGCCCCCTGTGTCCTCTGAGTGGTTTGCCCCAGGCCTGACCGAGTGAAATTCCATCTCTAACAGCAGCCAGAGGATGTGTCACCGGAGGATGTGTCACCAGAGGATGGGTGAGGGAAGCAGTGTAACTGTCCACGGCGGGTGGTCCAGGTCCCTGGCCAGCGGCCTCAGTACGCACTGTTCCATGGCAGGTGGTCCAGGTCCCTGGCCAGCGGCCTCAGCGCACACTGCCTTTAGGCAGCTCCCTCACCTGCCAGGCCCATTCTCCACCCAGAGCCAGGACGAGCTCTAAGAAGGCTGGAGTCTGGCCTCAGCCCTTTCCTTCTCAAGACCCTCCAGAGAGCCCTTTTGGTCTCCATGAAGCCCAAGCCCCTGCACCCGGCATCCAGGCCTGCTGCCTTGGTTCCTGGCGGCTCCACAGGCTGTCCCCGCTGCCCTGCAGTGCCCACGCCCTCCTCACCTGCGAACTCGCTCACCGCCCACCTGCCGGGGTCTCACGGGGCCCTGGCTTCGGTACCTCACTCCTCCCGCTGGAGGGCAGACTCCTTCTGCAGACGGGATGCTCCTGGGCACAGGGCCTGCCTTCCTCTCGAGGGGCCTCCGCTCCCACCAGCCCAGGGAGAGGGGCACATGCCGTGTATGTGTGTGTGTTTGTGTGTGTAGTATGTGTGTCAGTGTGTGTGGTGTGTGTGGATTGAGTGTGGGGTGTGTGTGTAAGTGGTGTGTGAATGTGTGGGAGTGAATTGAGTGGTGTGTATGATGTGTGTGGCATGAGTGTTGTGTGTAGTGTGTGTGTGATGTGTGGTGTGTGTGTGGCTTGAGGGTGGTGTGAGTGTGTGTGTGCGTGGTATGTATGTGTGGTGTGTGGTAGGAATGTTGTGTGTTGTGTGTGTGTTGTGTGTATGTGTTTGATGTGTGTGGATTTGAGTGTGGTGTGTGTGGCTGAGGGTGGTATGAGTGTGTGTGGTGTGTGTGGATTGAGTGTGGTGTAAGTATGTGGATTTGAGTGTGGTATGTGGTGTGTGTGGATTGAAGGTGGATTGAGTGTGATGTGCATATGGTGTGTGGATTGAGCATGGTGTGTACTGTGTAGTGTGTGTGGATTGAGTATAGTGTGTGATGTGTGGTGTGTGTGGATTGAGTGTGGTGTGTGATGTGTGGTATGAGTGTTGTGTGTGGCGTGTGTGGATTGAGCATGGTGTGAGTGTGTGTGGTGTGTGGATTGAGCGTGTTGTGTGATGTGAGGTATGAGTGTTGTGTGTGGTGTGTGTGGGGGAGGTGTGGTTGAGTGTGGCGTGTGCTGTATAGTGTGTGTGGATTGAGCGTGGTGTATGTATGTGGATTGGTGTGTGCTGTGTGGTGTGTATGGATTGAGTGTAGTGTGTGATGTGTGTGGATTGAGTGTGGTGTGTGTGTTGTGTGAGCATGTGCATAAGTGCTTTCTGGGCCATGGAGGACACAGTGTAGGGAGGGGCTGGGCCTCTGGACAGCTCAGGGTGCAGCGGGCGCAGCACAGGGTCTTGGCTCTGTGGGTCCAGTTTCGACAGCCAACGGCCATAAAACTCGGACCAGCTTCCCCTTCTGGAAGTGGAGGTGTCAGGTTGGTGGCATGGGCGGCCCCTGCACCCAGGGCTTGGCCACTGCCCTGAAGATCTCGGCTCTGGCCAGAGCCAACCCCATGCTGCTCCTCACTTGCCACCCACGTGGGCAGACAAAAGTCACCCCCAGTCCAACAGGAACCTCAGCCTCAACCCGAAGGCTGAAGTACACGAGGCGACAGGACTCCAGGGCACAACCAACGAGGCAGCGCCAAAAAAAAAAAAGGCCATTAGAAACCCAGAAACAACAAAAGTCTGCGCCAGAAAGTTTTGGTCCAGATATGAAGATGCTGATGTGAACTTTGAGGAGAAGCCTGGACAGAGTCCACGACCTAAAGTCAGGGTGGCACGGGGCACATTAGGGCCACAGCTGCTACTCCCCACAAAGTGGGGTGAGCATGAGGAAGGCGTGGGCCAAGCAGAAAGCCATCTAAAGCCGGAAGTGGTTTGGACCCTCCGTGGCGGTGGCGCATCAGGAAGGGTCCAGTGTGACTTGGGTGTGTCCAGTGCGCAGCTGGGAACGTGGGGAGGACATGCCTGGCCGTGCAGGACCCGCTGCGAACACTTCAGCGCACGCTGTGGAGTGAAAGACCCGCTCTGCCCACCAGGCATGGAGGCAGCTGCCCTGCAGAGCAGGATGAGAGAACTTCCAACTTTGGCAGAGAAAAGCAGACAGGAGCTGAGGAAACCATGGGAGGGTCCAGGAAGGGTGGTACCCTCCATCCCCAAGGAGGAGAGCAGACGCTGCCCACAGGTGACGGCCTCAGGCTGGGTCTCAGATGGAATTCCAAGTTAGCAAGTAAGCAGCAGACGAACTAGAGGTAGACTCGGAAACTGAACTGGGGCTGGGAGTGGCAGTGCCGACGAGCTGAGTCCTCATCGATCGCAGCGGGAAATCGGTGGGCCATTTCTAAGGTCCATAAATCAAGCAACAGCACTGTAGCCATATTATTTGGACCTGAGGAGGTGACCACCATCATGATTTAAAACGGAAACCGTCAAAAGAGGTTATCTCCGGGGATGAGAAAGGCGGAGCAGGAGGGAATCCTTTTCTTTATAAACCTCTTTGTACTGTCAGGTTTTTTAAAAATCTGACTTTTAAAAAAATCACCTGCCTGTATTGGTCTGATAAAAAGAGGAAAGAAAAAAACGAAGGCTGCCAAGTGCAGTGTGGCTCACGCCACAGCACTTTGGGATGCCAGGGCAGGACGATAGCTTGAGGCCAGGAGTTCAAGACCAGCCTGGGCAACATGGTGAGACCCCCATCTCTACAAAAAATAGAAAAAAATTAGCAAGGTGTGGTGGCATGTGCTGTGGTTCCAGCTACTCGGGAGGCTGGGGTGAGAGGATCGCTTGAGAATGGGAGGTCAAGGCCGCAGCAAGCCAAGATTGTGCCACTGCACTCCAGCCTGGGCAACAGAGCAAGACCCCGTCTCAAAAAAAGAGACAGAGAGAGAAAGGAAGCCTGAGTTTTATTTATCCTTATTGTATTTTGAGCCCTCTTCCGGCTGCTGCGGAGCCTACAGTGTGACTCCCAGTTCAGGGCACCCTGCACCTCCACCATCAACCTGCCCCCAGCCTTGATCTCCCCCAGGAATACCCCAGAACCCCCAGAAAAGGCAGCCCCTGTCTTGGCCATTTTAAGTGGAGAAGTCTGTAGAGAGGGAGACGAGGTTGGTGTTCCCCAGGTCAGGGCAGCTCCAGGGAAATGGAAGAGATACGCCCAGCCAAAGTGCTTTGTAAGCCACAGGCTCTGTAGAAGGAAGCGTGAGTTCATAGATGGTTCATTTGACCTTAGAACATCTTCCTGGCATTGCCTTTCGTATTCTCTGGATGGGAGATTAATCAGGGTGGATCCAGGCCCTGACTCTACCCTCTCTGGTTTTATTCCCCTTTCTTAGGATGATGTAGCCCACGGTGCCTGGCTGGACCAAGAAGAATGAGGACCAGGGCTGTGCTAGAACCAGGTGGGGCTGTGTTCAGATCCCAACCCACCACTCAGGAGCTCTTGCCTTCACTCACGTTTAAGATTTCCTGGACATCCTCCTGAGTGGCACCTTCAAGGAGGCTGGATCCATTTCCACGCCCACCGACAGCATGCAAAGTTGAGGCTGGCCAATCCAGCTGTGGGCCTTTGAGGCTGGTCTGAGGATGTCTCGGGGCAGGTGGGGAGGGGGCATGGTGGTCCCCGCTGAGCTCTTAATCAAAGGCCCCACCTCATCTGTGCAAGGCCTAGGATGATGGAGTCTCGCTCTGTTGCCGAGGCTGGAATGCAGTGGCACGATCTCAGCTCACTGCAATCTCTGCCTCTCAGGTTCAAGTGAGTCTCCTGCCTCAGCCTCTCAAGTAGCTGGGATTTCAGGCACCCGCCACCACGCCTGGCTAATTTTTGTATTTTTAGTAGAGACGGGGTTTCACCATGTTGGCCAGGCTGGTCTCAAACTCCTGACCTCAAGTGATCCACCCACCTTGGCCTCCCAAAGTGCTGGGATCACAGGCGTGAGCTACCTCACCCATCCTTTTATTATTTTGAATTGTGGTAAGCTACACATAAAGTTATCATCATTACCATTTTTGAGTGCACAGTTCAGTGGCATTAAGTTAATTTACGTTGTTATGCAACCATCACCACCATTCATTTCCAGAACTCTTTTCATCTTACAAAACTGAAACTCTGCACCCATTAAATGACAACTCCACATTCCCCTCCCCAGCCCTGGCAACCTCCATTCCACTTTCTATCTCTATTTTTCTGGCTGCTCTAAATACATCATAGGGCCAGGCATGGTGGCTCATGCCTGTAATCCCAGCACTTTGGGACGCCAAGGCGGGTGGCTCACCTGAGATCAAGAGTTCAAGACCAGCCTGGCCAATGTGGTGAAACCCTGTCTTTACTAAAAATACAAAAATTAGCTGGGTGTGGTGGCAGGCTACTGTAATCCCAGCTACTCAGGAGGCTGAGGCAGGAGAATCGCTTGAACCCAGGAGGCAGAGGTTGCAGTCAGCCAAGATTGCACCACTGCACTCTAGCCTGGGCAACAGAGCGAGACTCCATCTCAAAAATAATAACAATAATAAAATAAATACCTCATAGACGTGGAATTATACAGTATTTGCCCCTTTGTGACTGCCTTATTATTTATTTATTTATTTCAGACGGGGTCTGTGTTGCCCAGGCTGGAGTGCAGTGGCACAATCTCGGTTCACTGTTGCCTCCGCCTCCAGGGTTCAAGTGATTCTCATGCATCAGCCTCCTGAGTAGCTGGGACTACAGGCATGTGCTACCAAATCTGGCTAATTGTTTTGTTTGTTTTGTTTGTTTTTGTATTTTTTGGTGGAGACAGGGTTTCACCATGTTGCCCAGGCTGGTCTTGAAATCCTGACCTCAAGTGATCTGCCTGCCTCAGCCTCCCAGAGTGTTGGAATTACAGGTATGAGCTACCACCCCCGGCCAGCGACTGGCTTATTTCACTTAGCATGTCTTGAGATTCATCCATGTTGTAGCACGAGTCAGAATTTCCTTCCTTTGTGTATGCTGGGGGAGGCGTTTTCCTGCTCTCTTGCCCAGGCTGGAGTGCAGTGGTATGATCACAGCTCACTGCAGCCTCAACTCCTGGGCTCAACCAATCCTCCCACCTCAGCCTCTCAAGTAGCTGGAACCACTGGCATGTGCCACCACATCTGGCTGATTTTTTTTGTTTTTTTGTATAGAGACAGGATCTCACCATGTTGCCCAGGCTGGTCTTGAACTCCTGGGCTCAAGCAATCCTCCTGCCTCGGCCTCCCAAAGTTCTGGGGTTATAGGTACAGTTGTGAGCCACTGCACCCGACCTCTGAATTTTCTTCCTTTTTCAGGGCTAAATAATACCCCGTTGTACGTACATACCACATTGCTTTACCCATTCATGCGCCCATGGACATCTGGGTTGTTTCCACATTTTGGCTGTTGTGAATAGTGCTGCTATAAACACAAGTGTACAAACATTTCTTTGAGACTGCTTCGTTTCTTTTCTTTTCTTTTTTGAGATGGAGTTTTGCTCCTGTCGCCCAGGCTGGAGTACAGTGGTGCCATCTTGGCTCACTGTAACCTCTGCCTCCCAGGTTCAAGCGATTCTCCTTCCTCAGCCTCTCAAGTAGCTGGGATTACAGGGATGCACAACCACACCTGGCTAATTTTTGTATTTTTAGTAGAGATAGGGTTTTGCCATGTTGGCCAGGCTGGTCTCAAACTCCTGACTTCAGGTGATCCACCCGAAGTGGTGGGATTACAGGCGTGAGCTACCACACCCGGCCAATTTTTTATATTTTTAGTAGAGACGGGGTTTCACCATGTTGGCCAGGCTAGTCTCAAACTCCTGACCTCAGGTGATCCACCCGCCTCGGACTCCCAAAGTGCTGGGATTACAGGTGTGAGCCACCGCACCTGGCTGAGACTGTTTAGTTTCAGAGGCTTCAGTTGTTCACCTAATGATCCCTTTTTCAAAGTAGTTGTTTTTGTTTTATTTATTTTTTCAAGACAGGGTCTCCCTCTGTCACCAGGCTGGAGTGCAGTGATATGATCATCGCTCATTGCAGCTTCGAACTCCCTGGCTCAAGCAATCCTCCCACCTCAGCCTCCTGAGTAGCTGGGGCTACAGGCATGTTCCACCACACCCAGTTAATTTCTACATTTTTTGTAGAGGTGGGGTCTCACCATGTTGTCTAGGCTGGTCTCGAACCCTGGGGCCCAAGTGATCCTCCTGCCTTGGCCTCCCGAAGTGCTGGGATTACAGGCGTGAACCACCGTGACTGGCCTCAAAGTAGTTGTTTTAAAATTCAGAGTCTCCTTTGGGCTTTTTTCTTTCTTTCTTTTTTTGAGACAGAGTTTCACTCTTGTTGCCCAGGCTGGAGTGCAATGGCGTGATCTGGGCTCACCGCAACCTCTGCTTCCCGGGTTCAAGCGATTCTCCTGCCTCAGCCTCCGGAGTAGCTGGGATTTCAGGCGTGTGCCACCCCACCCGGCTAATTTTTTTGTATTTTTAGTAGAGACAGGGCTTCTGCATGTTGGCCAGGCTGGTCTTGAACTCCCGACCTCAGGTGATCCGCCCGCCTCGGCCTCCCAAAGTGCTGGGATTACAGGCGTGAGCCAGCTCACCCGGGCTTTGAGCTCTTAAATGCATAGTGAGCCCTGCCTTTGCCCAGCCCTGGCCAGTGCTAAGAACTTTACATGCATTGCCTCACCTCATCTGCACAGAAGAGGGTTTCTATTAATATTACTATCCTCATTTTATTGATAAGGAGCTGAGGTATAGAGAAAATAAAAAGCGCGTCCAAGGTTACACATTCGGTAACTTGCTGGGGAAGTTTTGAAGCCAGACACTCGGATGCCTGCGCCCACATTCTAAACCACTTTGCTCGATGGCTTAGCGTTCCTGGGAAAATGGAGAGGCAGGCACCATTGTCATTGTGTGGAAAAACTCAAGTCACAGACAACTTAAGCGGCTCTGAAGGCCACAGGGCTGTTTTCTCTGACTCCCGTCCCGAGTTTTAGAAGCTGCAGTACAATTATTCACAGACATTTCTTTCCTCTTCCCTCACTGCCTCTCCAGACACTGTGTCCCTAGGATGTTCCTTGTTCGGAATCCAGCCTCATCAGCCATCCCACGGCCCGACAGAAGCATCCTGACATCATCAATCCACAAGAGACCAAACGTCTGCTGAGCCCAGAATGAATCAGACAAGAGAAAGGTTAGGCGGCCAGGGGGAGCTAAAAGCCCCTAAAAGTTTAAAGAGATCCTACCAAATGGGTGGTTGGCTCCCACAGAGATTAGTTTTAATCAATTATTAAGCAATAGTTTAATATTTTAAGAGTCTGCTCAATCACAGAGAAATGAAAACATTTCATGACTTTTTTCCCTACATCTTCCAAAGCAAAAAATGTAAAGCAAGTGTACCTCCAGTGACACATTTTTAAAAAATTCTTTCTATTGAAATAATGGAATGTCTTTATTTTTTTTTAACTTCTTTTGTATTTGCCACACAGCCTGGCCTGAGTGGGTGCTGACCAGACACTCACTGAGCAGATGGGGTCCTGACTGCCTGAAGCTGGAGCACCCTGCTTTGTTTGGGGAGGTACCATAATGCCCTAACCTGCTCCTGGCTACTAACCATGGTGCCACAGTCTGTCCTGGAAGCCTCTGGAAGCTGGACACATGGGAAAGTCTCAGCATCTCCACTCTTTTCCCCACTCCCCCAGCCCCCACTTTCAGAGCCAATAATTTAGGAACTGGGAAGCAGCTGACAGAGGGCAGTGGGAGAGGGAAGGGTTAAACACTGTTCCCATCTACACGATGAACTCTGAAATAAGAGAGGTCCTGGACTCCCATTTTATGCTGCAATTAATTCTCCCTTTGGAGTCTGATACAATGTGCCTTTTTCCCTCTGTGCATCCATCCATGGATCCACCTACCCACCCATCCATCCACCATCCATCATCCGCCCATCCCTCAATCCATTCACCTATCTATCCACCAATCCACCCATCCTTCCACCCAGCCATCTATCCACCCATCCCTTCATTCACCCTACCATCAATACATTCACCCATCCCTCCATCCACCCATCTACCCCTACCATCCATCATCCCTCCATCCACCCATCCCTCCATTCATCCACCCATTCACCCATCCCTTCATCCACCCATATATTCATCCATTCATCCATCCATCCATTCATCCCTCTCTCCATCATCCATCCACTCCTCCCTCTATCCACCTATCCACCATCCCTCCATCCACACATCCACCCATCCACTCATCCCTCCATCCACCTATCCACCCATCCCTCCATCCACTTATCCATACACACACCCATCCACCCACCCACCCACACCTCCATGCCTCCATCCATCCTTCCATCTACCCATCCACCCATCCCTCCATCCACCCATCCCCTTATCCACCCATCTATTCATCCACTCATCCATCCATCCACTCATTCCTCTCTCCATCATCCCTCCACCCCTCCCTCTATCCATCCGTCTACCTATCCACCATCCTCCATCCACACATCCACCCATCTACCCATCCCTCCATCCACTTATCTATACACACAACAATCCATCCATCCATCCACCCACCCCTCCACCCCTCCATCCATCCTTCCATCTACCCATCTACCCATCCCTCCATCCACCCATTCACCCATCCCTTTATCCACACATCTGTTCATCTACTCATCCATCCATCCACTCATCCCTCTCTCCATCATCCACCCACCCCTCCCTCTATCCATCCATCCACCTATCCACCATCCCTCCATCCATGTATCCACCCATCCACCCATCCCTCCATCCCCCTATCCACCCATCCCTCCATCCACCTATCTACCCATCCCTCCATCCACTTATCCATACATGCTCCCATCCATCCGTCCATCCACCCCTCTACCCCTCCACCCATCCCTCCATCCACTTATCCATACATGCTCCCATCCATCCGTCCATCCACCCCTCTACCCCTCCACCCATCCCTCCATCTACCCATCCACCCATCCCTCCATCCACTTATCCATACACACTATTCATCCACCCCTCCATCCCTCCATCTATCCACCCATCCCTCCATCCACACATCCACCCATCCACCCCCCATAATCCAATCACCTCCTACCAGGTCCCTCCCTTCACACGTGGGGATTATGGGGATTACAATTCAAGATGAGATTTGGGTGGGGACACAAAGCCAAATCATATCACCCACCTACCCATCCACCTACCCACCCACCCATCCACCTACCCACCCATCCATGTAACAACATGTACCAGGGGCCCAGCTCTAAGCCAGGTGCTCAAGGATTCACTGTCTGGAGCAGAGACACACCTGGACCCCTACATGCCATCCAGGGTGCTGGGTGCTAAAGCAAAATGTCCTCAAGGTATGTTGAGCACAAGGAAGACAAGAGCCCCTCTGTGGGGCAGGTGGCCCTGACAGAGAAGGGTCTCTTCACTCAGTTCAAGAATACCACATAGGCAGACCAGCTGAGGTGTGGGGCAGAGGGAGTGAGACATGGGCCCTCCAGCCTGGGGCTTGTCTGTTCCAGCCCCAGCACGCTCTGCCCTTCCAGTATCCACTTTCCTCTCCTGTTAAATAAGGACGCTCCAGCCTTTGCCTTGGGCCATGCAGCGTGGGGTCACCTGGAAGCGGTCTGCACACTGGGCAGGCCCCAGCATTTCCTAGCTGCCCCTGTCTTCCTGGGGAAGCACATGGGTGGGGGGAGCAAGGCTACGAGGCCTTCCTGCAGATCATTCAAATGCATTTGCTGCATCCAGACCACGCCATGCCTTCATTAATGGAGACCTTCAAGATTGCTCTGTTTGCCTCAAAGCCACCCACTCTGCAGTGACGTCCGATCCAAAGTTTTTGCAAAGTTTGCAAAGTTTTCAGAAATGGGCCAGCACTTTAAACTCCAACTGCTTCTGCCCAGAATTTTCTCTTCCTCCACACAGCTGCCCCCAGACACCCCAGCTTCCATTCACGGTGAAGGCCTTGCCTCGCAGCAGTAACGTAAGAACCTGCTTTTGGGTTTTCTGAACTCCAAGCCTCACTAACCAAGGGGCACTTTATAATTGATTTGCCTCCATAAAATTCACAAGTGACTAATACACCCAAGAATTCCCAAGCCGCTCCTGGCTATGAGTTCCAACGTAATCCGTGTGTGCGCTGTCTGCGTCGGACGTCACCGCAGAGTGGGTGGCTTTGAGGCAAGAGCCGTGGTGCAGGAACACACTGGCAGAGCCCGGGCAGAGCCTTTCCTACATCTTTTGGTTTCGATAACAGGGTTTGCTTTAAGTCTTCAGCCAGGGGACCTGTATATCCTAAAGACAGTATGTAAAATATTTATTAAGAAGAGTATCTATTTTTAACTAGGGATGATTTCAGTTCTATTATTCATGCAGCCTCGGAGGGCAGGCTTCATGCTTGTCTGCTTGCAGGAGACGTGAAACAGAGCAGAGGCGAGTCTGAAATCAGAGACCAGGGCCTGGGGGAGGGCAGCGGGGGATTCCGAGCAGGAGAGGTGGGAGCCGTAGTGGATGGTACCTGCCTGGTTCCAGCCAAACCTCCACATTCGGGTCACTCTGTCTCTGAGATGTGGTGAAAGCTTTGGCTTCATTTTAAAAACAAAGTTATCTGCACCCCCTGCTAGTCCTTTTGAGGCTCCTCCTCTAGAGACGCCTCGGCGTGTAGGAGTCACCTGAACAACGCCCCGTGCAGCCTGTGGAGCCCAGGATAAGGCATCCCATTAAAGACAAGCACCTGCTTCCCGGCAGGCCCCACGCTGACAAGGTCTCAAAAAACAAGCTGGAACCTGTCAGAACCCAAAGAGAACACACTCAGCTACCCGCTGAGCCGAGAGCCATGGCGGGTGTCTGGTGAAGGTGCCAGGGTGAAGACCTGCTGAGGGACAAGGTTAGGACACCCTCTGCCCCCTCGAAATTTCTGTGTGTTTGTTTTTTTTTTGAGAGGGAGTCTTGCTCTGTCACCCAGGCTGGAGTGCAGTGCGTGATCTCGGCTAGCTGCAAGCTCCGCCTCCCGGGTTCACACCATTCTCCTGCCTCAGCCTCCCGAGTAGCTGGGACTACAGGCGCCCACCACCACACCCGGCTATTTTTTTGTATCTTTAGTAGAGACGGGGTTTCACTGTGTTAACCAGGATGGTCTCGATCTCCTGACCTTGTGATCCACCTGCCTCGGCCTCCCAAAGTGCTGGGATTACAGGCGTGAGACACAGCGCCCGACCGCCCCCTCGAAATTTCTAAGTACAAAGCTGCCGAACATCTGGGCACCTACAGCAGGAGCCTCCTGCACACCGAGTGGAGGTGATGACCAAGGGTGCTGAGGGCAGGAGGACCAAAGCTGAGTCCTAGATCACTTGGAACAGCCTTGGGACCCGGAGGCAGTCCCTTCACCCTTCTTAGCCTCTGTATTCTCAACTGTAAGTGGGGAACCCCAGAACATGCATCTCCTGGGAGGTTACGCATCACGGAAGACGCTCTGCCAGGATATCCAGTCCCTCCGTCTGCAAATAAGGAGGCGGGGGAGGGAGGGAGATGGACAGGCAGGGGGACATTCCCATTTGGCGCCTTCTGTTCCACACACACTGTTTCATTTGATTCCCTCCCATGCCTCTGCATTTTGCACTGGAGATGAGGGCTCAGTCCCCAGAGACCCCGTTCCTCCTCACTCACACCCGAGACAGCTTCAGAGAGGCGGGTCCTACCAGGGTCAACGTCCTCACAGGCAATGACTCTCCTGGGGATGGCAGCCGGTGCCTGCTGACCACGCATCCAGAGTCTCCTCCTCTCTGGGCGCCCCTTCTTATTTCGGGAGTGGGCAGATCGGGAGCCTCCCCACAGGCAGCCCCTGGGAAGCACACTCTGGGCCTGGCGCCCAGACTGCAGCTCCAATTCCTTCCTTGCCAGCCTGACCTTGCCCGGTGGAATCAGAGCAGCTGATGAGGCGGGGAGGGAAGGAGGCCCACGCCCAGAGGTTCCAGAACCATCAGGGGCACACACTCAGAAACCAAGGAGGCACGGACCGGAACATGTAGGTCAGCGCCAGAAGGCCCCGTGTGAAACCCAATTACAACCTGCCGGCAGGAAGGGAGCGTGGTGTCCTCAGACCTCGGGGAAGGTTGCGGGGTCAGCATGGCTGCAGTCAAGCTGGCTCTGCTCACCCTGGCATGCAGGCTCTGGGGCTCAGATCCCTGAATGGGCTGGCCATGGCCACCTGGGGCCCCCTGACTCCATGGAGGAGAGCAGGAGGGGGCAGGAGGGAACAGGAGAGGGCAGGAGGGGGCAGGAGGGGGCAGAGCTTCTCTTCCCTCTTAGGGCTGCCTGGGGAGGGCCAAGGAACGCGTGTCCTGTTCTGGGGGCTCCCTTGCTGGCCTGTTCTGCCCCCCTCCCTCTGGCCTCTTTGCTCTTGCTCCTGGGAAGCACACAGCTCGAGCAGACCCACAGTGCAGGGGTCACCACGCTCTCAGCCTGGGCCTCAATCTCAAACTCAAGGCCAGCCCACAACTCCCCCCAGACCTCCCCACCCTAGCATGGCTCTCAGGTATCCTCAAGGAAACCCCCGCCTTTGCTGCTCCTCACCCAGCTTCGGGCACTGCTTTCTGATTGGCCTCCCATCTCCCACTCCCTTTCGTCTTTGCCGCTCCTGTGACTCTCCTGGCCACAGCTCTCGCCTGTGCCCTCACTGCTCCCAGGTTCAGCGGCTCCCCACAACCTCTTGAAAACACACATGGAAAGTTATTCTGTCTTGGAGTCACAAGGTCACATTGCGGGGGCCTTGATAAAGATCTGTCCGGTTCCATTTGTTTATCATGAGCATGTATTTTTTGCTTTAAAAAGGATAGTGTTATTCAGTATAAAAGTAATCAAAGAAAATGTGCCTGTAGCCATTTTTAAAGGAAGGAAGGAAGGCGGAGGCGCAAGGCTAGGTGGGCAGCTGTTGGAGACGTGGCCTGGGGCCCCACTCACCCTCTGAGCCCTCTTGGATTCAAGCCTGAGGGGTCCACCTCATCCAGCCTGATGCCAGGCCTCCAGCCATGCCTCCCACCTCCTCCACCCGGCGGAAGCTGAACCCACTGGGGAACTTTGCCACCTGGCCCACGTTCAGTTTCCACCTTTGAGCTAGGATGAGATCAGACTCCCTGCCAGGGGTGGGAAGCAGGAGCCTCATCTGGGTTGGGTAGGAGATGGCGAGGCCTTACAGGCACATGGGGTGCTCACTGAGTTCTGAGCTCCACACACAGACCTCTCCCCTGACTGCCTGCGAGGTTTGAGTTCCGGGCGTGACAGAGCCGAGGGCTATATGTCTGGCAGCCCCCAGGGCTGGTGCCAGCGGCTCTGAGCCCAGCACCCAGGAGTAGATAATCACCATCTCTCATCTGCACACTGGAGACCAAGACCTTGTGCCACCCGTCCAGGGACACGGCCAGCACACAGCAACAGGACTTGAACCAGGGTCAGCCTGGCTCCAAATTTGAACTGCAACTGTTAGGGGTGCTCCGCCCGGGGCACATTGCCAGGCACCCCCGTCTGTTTGCAGCCCAGAGAGTAAGAGGCACCTAACCCAGAACCGGAGAACTCCAGAGGCTCCCCTCCCGCCCTGCTCTTGGCCAGTGAGGGCAGCTTGCAGCACGCCAGGGCGCTCCCAGGTGGAAACGCCACATGAAGCCTACTAATGGCCAAGTTCCTGCCTTTATTTATGTCCCTCTGCGGAGAGGCTTGAGGCTTCCCAGCAGCAAAACACTTTAAAAACGATAAAGAGACGCTGGATCCCGACCACAGGAATCCTGGAGGCTGGAGACACTGAGCCATAGCTGGTGCCCAGCTTTGAGGACGGCGGCCTCCCGAACTGTGGCCAGGAAGACAGGCCGGGCTCCCTCGGCCAGGGGAGGAGGGAGGAGCAGAGGGAGACAAGAAGACAAAGCCAGACCCCACGCACGCCCCGGCCGGCCTGTGTCGGCACCACCACGGTGGCCCGGAAGTCTGTTACGGGCGACATGCCATGCTTTGCATAATTCCACTCCTACAGCTCCCCAGCAATCCTGAGTTTTGTTCTCGCGCTATTTCAGATACGGCCACTGGTGTTCAGAGGTTAATGTGTGCAAGGACCCACAGCAGGCGACCGGAGCAGCCAGGATCCAAACCCAGGCACGGTGGGGGAACTGCGGCCTTAGCCGTGACGCAGCCCGGCCTTATGGCAGGCGAATTCCTGTGATGCTGCCCCAGCACACACTCACATATACACACAACACACACATATACACACAACACACACACTCACATATACACAACACACACACAGAGGCACACTCACATATACATACAACACATACATATACACACAACACACACACACAGGCACACTCACATATACACACAACACACACACACAGGTATACTCACATATACATTACTCACAGGCACACTCACATGACCACATCCTCTTCCTATACACTCACACACATGCTCACAAACACAAAAAAACACTTTTTTTTTTTGAGACGGAGTTTTACTGTTACCCAGTGCAGTGTCGTGATCATAGCTCACTGCAGCTTCAACCTTCCTGTCTCAAGTGATCCTCCTGCCTCAGTCTCCTGAGTAACTGGGACTATAGGCATGCATCACCATGCCCAGCTAATTTTTTATTTTTTGTTGTAGAGACAGACTCTCGATATGTTGCCTAGGCTGGTCTTGAACTCCTGGGCTCAAGCAGTCTGTCCACCTCAGCCTCCCAATTATACACTAGGATTACAGGCATGAGCCACTGTGCCTGGCCCCACATCCTCTTTCTATACACGCACACACAAACACACACACACAACCATGTCCTCTTTCTACATGCACAGACACACAACTACACTCTGTTTCTAAACACACACACACACACGCCACCTCTTTTTCCAGTGACCTATCTTTGCTTCAGACACCAGCACCTTGGAGGCCTCCAGCTACAGACTCACCTGCTCGAGGTGTTGCTTGATAACAGCTGAAACAGCTTCCTCCATCAGCCCAGGTTGTCAGTTGCAAGGAGCAAAACCTACCTGTGGTTAACTGAAGCAGAAGAGGGAGTTGACGGAAAGGTAGTGGTTGCCTCAAAGATGAAAGAGACTCCAGGAGAACCGAGTTTGGGCAGGACTTCCCCAGGCTCAGGGACGTGAAGGCAGAAATGCGCCCCTGAGAACACTGTACCCCTCAGGTGGTCAGGACCCAGGCGGCCATAGGTTTTGCTGCAGTAACACACAGGCTTGAGATACCACCTGCTCTAAGCGGCAGCTGTTCTTTCTGGTTCTTTCCCACAGTAGGTTCATCGTGGATCAGCAGGAGGCCTCCTTCCACTTCATCACCTAGGGATCTAGCCACCATGCCAGAGGGAAGAGAAAGAGCAACTGGGGGTGGGGGGTTCTTAAGGCTCCCGATTCAATGAGCTCTGGACAGGGGCGAGGGGCTGGAGATTGAGTTGATCACCAACTGCGGATGATTTAATCAAGCACGACTGTGTGATGCAGCCTCCGTAAAAAGCCCTAAACATGGGGTTCAAAGAGCTTCTGGGTTGGGGAACAGGTCAAGGTGCTGGGGAGGGCATGGAAGCTTGGTGCCTCTTCCCCCGTATCTTGTCCTATGCATCTCTTCTTTGTGGCTGTTTCTGAGTTGTAGCCCTTATAATAAACCAGCAATAGTAAGTAAAGCACTTTCTTGAGCTCTGTGAGTCATTCTAGTAAACTGTTGAACCTGAGATGGGGGTTATGGGAACCCTGATTTATAGCCAGTCAACCAGAAGAACTGGTGACAACCTGGGACTTGTCATTGGTGTCTGAAGGAGGGGGCAATCTTGTGGGACTGACCCTTAAATGTGAGGTCTGTGCTAACTACAGGTAGTCAGTGTAAGAATTGAAGTGAGTTGTAGGCCACCCAGCTGTCTGGAAAGTTGAAGAACTGGTCGATGTAGGAAAAAAAAAAAAAACCCTCACACATTTGGTGTCAGAGTGTGAGTAAAACTAGTTCAGAATGGTGATGACACTCAGCTGGGCATGGTGGCTCATGCCTGTAGTCCTAGCACTTTGGAAAGACAAGATGGGTGGATCATTTGAGGTCAGGAGTTCGAGACCAGCCTGACCAACATGGTGAAACCCCATCTCTACTAAAAATACAAAAAATTAGCTGAGCGTGGTGGTGGGTGCCTGTAATCCCAGCTACTCAGGAGGCCAAGGCAGGAGAATCACTTGAACCCAGGAGGCGGAGGTTGCAGTGAGCTGAGATCACGCCACTGCACTCCAGCCTGGGTGACAGAGTGAGACTTTGTCTCCAGAAAAAAAAAAAAAAAAAAAAAGAAGGAATGGTGATGACCCTCCTTTGGTGCATCCATCACAGCTCATGTCTTCCAGAGAGCCTTCTATAAAGCCTGGGAATAAAACAGGCCACACAGACGCTGGGGAGGGAGAGCATAGTGCCAGCGACCCACAGAGTTGGGGTGGGGAAATGCTGCCTGCTCCGCCACTGAGGTGGCTGGGACCCTCGGCAAACCTCTGAGCCCTTCTGTATAGCCTCAGTTTCTGCATTTGTTTTAAAAGGGAGGTATATGATCCAGCAATTCCACTTTTGGGTACACATCTACAAGAAGTAAAAGCATGGTCTTGAAGAGCTATTTCTACACCCGTGTTCACAGCAGTCTTATTCATTATAGAGGAAAGGTAGAAGCTACACCAGCCTCCTTGGGTCAAAACTGTATCATTCCACTTACACAAGGCTTCCTGGGCCAAACACTGTATCATTCCACTTACATGAGTCTCGCTGGGCACTGGTTTAACTGGAACAGAGGTAGAATGGGGGGGTGCCCAGGCCTGGGGGAGGGCGAATGGGGAGTTGGTATTTAATGGAGACGGAGTTCAGTTTGGGAGGATGAAAAGAGTTCTGGGGACTCATGGTGATGGTCCCACAATCACGTGAATGTGCTTAATGCCACTGAACGCTCCACTCAAAAACAGTTAACATGGTACATTTTATGTTATGTATATTTTACCCCCATTTAAATATTTTTAATTTAAATTTTTAAAGGGACGTGCCTGCTGTGCTAGGGTCCAGTCTGTGGTGCTGCTGAGAGACCCACTTTCCTTCCTTCCCCCTGGCCTGGGACTGAAGAGCCCCCTAACCTCAGAAGCACTGCTGGTGTGCCCCACCCTCACGTCCTTGTATGATGACAAACATCTGAGCATCTCAAGGGAGGGGAAAACAGCAACAGTCACAACTAGGATTTGCCAAATGCTTCCACTGACCAGCACTGTTCTTTTTTTTTTTGAGACGGAGTCCGTGCTCTGTTGCCCAGGCTGGAGTGCAATGGCGTGATCTCAGCTCACTGCAACCTCCACCTCCCAGGTTCAAGTGATTCTCCTGCCTCAGCCTCCTGAGTAGCTGAGATTACAGGTGTGTGCCACCACTCCCGGCTGATTTTTGTAGAGAAGGGGTTTCACCATGTTGGCCAGGCTGGTCTTGAACTCCTGACCTCAGGTGATCCGCCTACCTTGGCCTCCCAGAGTGCTGGGATTTCAGGTGTGAGTCACCGTGCCCCGCCTACCAACCGGCACTGTTCTAAGAGCCTTGTGGGGTTTGTCTAATGTAACCCTTACCACAGCCCAGAGAGGTGAAGTCACCTGTCTGAGGTTACACAGCAGCTGAGCGATGGACCTGGCTCCAGCCCAGGAGAGACGCTGAGGCTGCTCCTCTCATGGCTCCCTGGACCCCCTTCCCACCATCTAGTCATGCCTAGAGCCTGCTCAGAGCTGGTGCCCAAGGAGAGCCTGAAAGCAGGCTACTATACCCAGCAGCGCCCGTAGCCTGAGTCTCCCATCTCCTGGGGTGCACCGAGGCCATGCTGCCTCCGTTACCAAGCACGCATTTCTTGAAATGCATAGTGGGACCCACCTGGGCGAATTGTCAGTGCTTTCTATTTCCTGGGTGGTGATGCTCAGCCACATTTCTCTGTCTGGAAGGATCCACCAGTCCCAGCACCGCCTCTTCTCTGAATGGCCCCAGCACCCAGGCGTGTGGGTTCATGACGCTCACCTGAGTTCATACAGCTTCTATGAGAACTGTTGCTGACCAGGGCAATATTCTCCTTGTCTTCCTTCCCCTGGAATGGAGGAGGGCAGCCGGTGTGGCAGAAGGGGCCCCCCAAGAGGTGGGGAGAGGCCGGACACAGTGGCTCACGCCTGTAATCCCAGCACTTTGGGAGGCTGAGACGGGCGGATCACTTGAGGTCAGGAGTTCGAGACCAGCCTGGCCAACATGATGAAATCATTTTTAGTGTTTACTAAAAATGCAAAAATTAGCCGGGCATGGTGGCATGCGCCTGTAATCCGAGCTACTCGGGAGGCTGAGGCAGGAGGTTGCAGTGAGCCGAGATCACGCCACTGAACTCCAGCCTGGGCCACAGATTGGGACTCAGTCTAAAACAAAACAAATTTAAAAAAAAGAGATGGGGAGACCCTGGCCCAGGGCTAGCTCACGCCTCCTCTCTGGGCCTCCAGGTGTCCTCTCAGATCTCGTGGCCCCAGCTCTCACGCTGGCCTGGGGAAACCCACCTATCCAAGAGTCTCTGGGGCAATTCTCTCTGCAGGCTGCAGCTGTGGGTGGCCGTCTGCCTCCATGGGCATTTGGGACACTTTGGACCTGTGCCCTGAGGTGAGTGGTACTGAAGTCCAGGTCCTGAGGCCTGGCTATGTGACACACGACAGGTGATGTGTGCGCAGGTGCCAAGTGAGAGCCCGTGTGCTGCGGGAGAGGGAAGGGGGAGCAGGACGCCCACGCAGCCGCCTCACACTGTGGGCGTACCCAGGGCAAGCTGTAAATGCTAACAGCAGCAAATCAATTTCACAAAGCAATTTGTCCCCTCTCTTCTGCTGGCCCCGGGAGGCTTAGCTTAATCACTCTGGCATACTGTCAGGAGATAGTTGGAGATGCACAAATCCCTGCCTTCCGCAGGAAACAATTGGCCTGGCCAGGGCGGGCGGGACCAAAGAGTCCCCAGGCAGAGCCAGGCAGGCAGCATCACGAAGTTGCCCCAGAGTCTCCTTCTCCGTGCTCCCCTCACCTTCCTCTCTCTCCTCCCCCAACCAGAACCTGAGCTCTCTTTCCCTCCCCGCTCACTGGAAACAGGAGTGAAACCAATCCCCCCCCAACACAATGGAGGTCCCTGTCTAGAAACAACAGGATCCCATTCGCAGCGAAATCCCAGGGACGGGTCTGCAGGCAGCACCGATGATGAAGGCCAGCTTAAATCCTCTCTGGAAGAGAGTGAAGTCTAGACAAAGAAAGAAAACAGAACCGCAGCCTTTCCGGAGGGTCTGCTACCCAGTCACCAATGGCTGCCTGCTCCATAGCCACACGGGGGTGAGAGTGACACTGCGGGTGCTGACCTGGAGCTGGGGACAGGCAAGGCCCTTCACTCACACTCTCCTGTCAGCAACCTGGAGCTGGGGACAGGCAAGGCCCCCACTCACACTCCGGGCAGTGATCTGTACTCAGAGAGGACAAGCAGCTTGCCTGAGGTCACACAGCCAGGAGGGCAGGAGTGAGGCTGCAGCTCTGGTCTTGACCACTGTAGGCACTGGGTCTGGAGGGGCACAGAGGACGGGGTCTCCGGAAAACACGTCCTGCACTGCCACCTGCACCACCACCTGGCCCTCCTGCCCTGCCCCACCACCTGCACTGCCACCTGCACCACCACCTGCACCACCACCTGCATCACCGCCTGCCCACCACCTGGCCCTCCTGCCCTGCCCCACCACCTGCACCGCCACCTGCACCACCACCTGCCCCACCACCTGCACCGCCACCTGCACCGCCACCTGCCCCGCCACCTGCACCGCCACCTGCCCTGCCACCTGCACCACCACCTGCACCACCTGCCCTGCCACCTGCACCGCCACCTGCCCCCGCCACCTGCACCGCCACCTGCCCTGCCACCTGGCACTCCTGCCCTGCCCCACCACCTGCCCCACCACATGCACCGCCACCTGCACCGCCACCTGCCCTGCCACCTGGCACTCCTGCCCTGCCCCACCACCTGCACCGCCACCTGCACCACCACCTGCCCCGCCACCTGCACCGCCACCTGCCCTGCCACCTGCACCGCCACCTGCACCACCACCTGCACCACCACCTGGCCATCCTCCTGTGTCTGGGTTCCCAGGAGCAGCCCTCTGCCTGAGGTGGCCGAGAGAAAGGGAAAACCATTAAGCTTCAGAAAAGCATTTTCCATCAATGGTCCATCACTCTCCCTCCAGCACCAGGAGAGGCCACAGACCAAGCCCAGCCAATCGGAGAGGGGCCGCTGCTCCAGTGGGAAGCCCCGCCCCCACCTCCTGTGGGGCGTGGGGTTTCCTCTGCTTTGGAATGCCCACCCCCAGACCCAAGCCTGTCACTCTCTTCATCCCCCGCCCTCGCCATCCTTTTAAAGGGAACACTGCAGATTTAAAACACAAATTAAATTTTTAATGAAATCACACAGCAGTAGTGTCCGATGCGATGCAGTATTGATGAGATCACAGTGTCTGGCGGGTGCTCGCTCAGGAAAGCTTTTTAGGATGTTATGCAACATGGGACCAAGTTAATTATTTGCAACAAAGGGCTCCATGTCTCTGTAGTGCTGCTGGGGCCCAGTGAGTGGGAATCCTGTGCTTTTCATTACTGCCAGCTCTGAATGGCAGCCACAGGGAGGGGAGTGGTGACATCACAGACCAAACACGACCCGAGTGCGAGGCCGAGATAGGAGGACAGGGAGAGAGAGAAAGAGTGTGAGACAGAGGGGGAGGGAGGGAGGGGATGGAGAGGTCTCACCAGGGAGCCCTTGTCCCCACAAGCAGATGCCACCGCACAATGCAGCACTTTTCTTTCAAGTCTTGAAATCCAGAGTTCCCAGTTTCTGCCCCCTTCACCCTGCTTCCCGAGGTATCTGCTCATTCAAAGGGGCTCCCGCAGGGCTGGGTGCCTCCAGCCACATCCCTCCAGGACACTTCCCCTCTGAGGATGAAGCCACTGTCATCAGTCACAGCCTGTCCTCAGGTACAGTGGTGCAAGGTGTCCTGAGCTTGGCCATCAGCAGGCGAGCTTCCTGGTGGCTGGGCCTCTGTCCTGCCGAGTTACCCCCTGGCTCCAGCCCTGCCATGGGACTCCACCTGTGGGATGCCCATAGCCTGCCCAGGACAAAGTGGACACACCCCTGGGCCAGGTAGCTTAGCCCTTCCAGGCCAGTGAAGCTGGGCCTGCAAGAACCTCCCTGGATACCACCCCTGGGTGACTGGCCACCCAAGAGCAGAGGAAACTGGGGCGTGGGGTGAAGGGAAGGGCTGCAGGTGGGGCAGCCGTAGAGCAGCAGGGAGCTCCCTGCCTGGCCCCCGCCCCTCCCTGCCAACATTCTGTGCTCTTGGGACACCCAGCATGGGTCCCAGTGCTGGGCCCACTGCTCCCCAATGTGTCTCAATAATGCCGTGCCTTTGACTTCAGTTCCTGGCAGGAAGGAAAAGTGATTCTTTCAGAGGTGGAGAAACCAAGACTGGAGGGTGAGAGACTGCCCTAAGGTCTCAAAACTGGGGAGAGTGCAGGGGGGCCCCTGGGCCCCTGCCAGCCTCCATGGGCACCTCCTCGTGGGCTGAGCTGCTCTCCTTCTGGCCTCTCTCCCTTCTACATCGCGAGATGCCAGCCAGGGCTGGGAAAGGGCCACGAAGCACAAGTGTCAGGAATGTCTGAGACTGACCTAAGGAGCAAGAACACAGAGGACCAGGGCCAGCAGGGCTTGGCAAGAGGCTTGTGAAGGGGAGACGTGGTTGCAGGATCCATGAGAAATCACCCCGAGCATCCATGGAGGCCCCGACACTCACCATGACCAGCCTCGTAATTCACACGGAATGAGATGCTGAAGCTGACTATGGCACAATTTGGGGGTATTCTCCCCACCCCCACTGTTGTTCTTGCTTGTCGTCCTACCGGGTCACCGGAACAGCCTCCTAATGGGTCTCCCTGCCTGCTCTGGCCCCAACACTGCATCCGGTCTCCATCAAGTGGCCAAAATAGTTCCTGCTCCAAACCCTTGTGTGGCTCCCCCTTGCCCTAGCGCAGTCTAAACTCCTCCCTGTGGCCTGCCAAGAAGGCGCCGATGACCACTGCGTCCATTGCTGAGCATCTTATCCATCCCTGTCCACCACGCTCATCTTCTCCACCACGTCCATCCCTCTCTAATGCATCCGTCTCTCTCCACTGCGTCCCTCCCCTCCACTGTGTCCATCTTCTCCAATGCGTTCCTCCCCTCCACCACATCCATTCCTCTCCACCGCATCCTTCCCCTCTCCTCCCTCCCCTCCACCGCGTCCCTCCCCTCCACCGCGTCCCTCCCCTCCACCGTGTCCATCCTCTCCACTGTGTCCCTCCCCTCCACTGTGTCCATCCTCTCCACCGCGTCCCTCCCCTCTCCTCCCTCCCCTCCACCGTATCCCTCCCCTCCACCATGTCCATCCTCTCCACTGCGTCCCTCCCCTCCACTGTGTCCATCCCTCTCCACCGTGTCCCTCCCCTCCACCACGTCCATCCTCTCCGCCACATCCCTCCCCTCCACCACGTCCCTCCTCTCCACCACTTCCCTCCCCTCCACTGTGTCCATCCTCTCCACCGCGTCCCTCCCCTCCACTGTGTCCATCCTCTCCACCGCGTCCCTCCCCTCTCCTCCCTCCCCTCCACCGTATCCCTCCCCTCCACCATGTCCATCCTCTCCACTGCGTCCCTCCCCTCCACTGTGTCCATCCCTCTCCACCGTGTCCCTCCCCTCCACCACGTCCATCCTCTCCGCCACATCCCTCCCCTCCACCACGTCCCTCCTCTCCACCACTTCCCTCCCCTCCACCGTGTCCATCCTCTCCACTGTGTCCCTCCCCTCCACTGTGTCCATCCTCTCCACCGCGTCCCTCCCCTCTCCTCCCTCCCCTCCACCGTATCCCTCCCCTCCACCATGTCCATCCTCTCCACTGCGTCCCTCCCCTCCACTGTGTCCATCCCTCTCCACCGTGTCCCTCCCCTCCACCACGTCCATCCTCTCCACCACTTCCCTCCCCTCCACCATGTCCATCCTCTCCACCACATCCCTCCCCTCCACCACGTCCCTCCTCTCCACCACTTCCCTCCCCTCCACTGTGTCCATCCTCTCCACCGCGTCCCTCCCCTCCACCACGTCCATCCTCTCCACCATGTCCCTCCTCTCCACTGCGTCCATCCTCTCCACCGTGTCCCTCCCCTCCACCACGTCCATCCTCTCCACCATGTCCCTCCTCTCCACTGTGTCCATCCCTCTCCACCGTGTCCCTCCCCTCCACCACGTCCATCCTCTCCACCACTTCCCTCCCCTCCACCATGTCCATCCTCTCCACCACATCCCTCCCCTCCACCACGTCCCTCCTCTCCACCACTTCCCTCCCCTCCACTGTGTCCATCCTCTCCACCGCATCCCTCCCCTCCACCACGTCCATCCTCTCCACCATGTCCCTCCTCTCCACTGCGTCCATCCTCTCCACCGTGTCCCTCCCCTCCACCACGTCCATCCTCTCCACCATGTCCCTCCTCTCCACTGCGTCCATCCTTTCCACTGTGTCCCTCCCCTCCACCACGTCCATCCTCTCCACCATGTCCCTCCTCTCCACTGTGTCCATCCTTTCCACTGTGTCCCTCCCCTCCACCACGTCCATCCCTCTCCACCGCGTCCCTCCCCTCCACCACGTCCATCCTCTCCACCATGTCCCTCCTCTCCACTGCGTCCATCCTCTCCACCGCGTCCCTCCCCTCCACCACGTCCATCCTCTCCACCATGTCCCTCCTCTCCACTGCGTCCATCCTCTCCACCGCGTCCCTCCCCTCCACCACGTCCATCCTCTCCACCATGTACCTCCTCTCCACTGCGTCCATCCTCTCCACCGCGTCCCTCCCCTCCACCACGTCCATCCTCTCCACCATGTACCTCCTCTCCACTGCGTCCATCCTCTCCACCGCGTCCCTCCCCTCCACCACGTCCATCCTCTCCACCATGTCCCTCCTCTCCACTGCGTCCATCCTCTCCACCGTGTCCCTCCCCTCCACCACGTCCATCCTCTCCACCATGTCCCTCCTCTCCACTGCGTCCATCCTTTCCACTGTGTCCCTCCCCTCCACCACGTCCATCCTCTCCACCATGTCCCTCCTCTCCACTGTGTCCATCCTTTCCACTGTGTCCCTCCCCTCCACCACGTCCATCCCTCTCCACCGCGTCCCTCCCCTCCACCACGTCCATCCTCTCCACCATGTCCCTCCTCTCCACTGCGTCCATCCTCTCCACCGCGTCCCTCCCCTCCACCACGTCCATCCTCTCCACCATGTACCTCCTCTCCACTGTGTCCATCCCTCTCCACCACATCCCTCCCCTCCACCGTGTCCATCCTCTCCACTGCCTACTCCTCCCACCCTGCCGTTGCTACTCCCAAGCAGCTTCACCTACCTCGAGGCCTTGCACAGGCTGCTTTCCTCACCCAGGATGCCTCTTTGCCCGGACAACTCCCATTCCTGCTTCAGAGCTTGGCTTAAATGTCACCTCTGCAGGGAGTCCCTCCCTGATCCCCAGCCTGAGTCACGGCCCTGCTGGGTGCTCCCCAGACACTGCTGCTTTAGCTGCATTCCCCTGAGGGATAGGGAGTGACACAGGAGTGGAAGGGAACGGGGGTCATGGAGCTGGCTACTGCTGGGGTGGCTGGAGCTCCGTCCTTTGGGACCTTCCAAGGAAGCTCATGAACCACCCACTTGCAGGGGCCTGGGGGGCCTTGTCCTTCGGTCTTTACACCTTTGCTCAAGGGTGGCTCACAGGCATAGGCCCCCACACACTTGCAGGTGTGCAGGAAACTGTGCAGAGCACGTCCTGCAGGTGAGGTCCAAGAGGCCCCAGGGCAGACGAAGAAGCAAGGGGCTGCTTGGCTGCCTGGTGAGGGGGAGGGAGAGGCGCAGTCTGCATAGACCTGAGGGCCGACAGAGGCTCAGAAAGGTGAGGCCGAGAGGTGACAGGTACAATCCATGCCACAGTCTCTCATACGTTGCAATCATTCCCTGCTTACGACGATTCCCCCTTCACAAAGGCAAGGACAGGTTCTCTCCCTGCTTCCCTGGTGTGCCCAGCATCATCCTGGCCTGGGGGGGTAGTGCATGCTGAGTGGGCAGCACTCAGGAAACAGCCACGCAGGAAGGACTAGAACGCGCTGGGGGCTCATGCCTTGCTCTCCCCGCTCACCCGTCGGAAGGGCAGCAAGGGAGGTGGAAGGAGGGGGCCCGGAGGGGTCAGTGAGCGCGGCGCACACCACACACAGCCAGCAGGGTCCTTCCTGCGAGACTAGCAGGGGCCAGCCCTTCTCAGAGCCTGGGATGATCACTGCCAAGGCCAAGCTGTGAGCTGAGACTGGCTCAAAGGACTGTCAGCTGACAGGGCAGGTCTGAGAACGGGGAGGGGTGGGATGAAGGCCAGGGGCCGGCTTGTTACCAATTTGCCATGGCTCCCTGCTGCAGAATGCATTAGGCTGTCCCTACGCAGAGCAGAAAATAGGTGCGGAGTCCGGGCGCTGCAGCTCACGCCTGTAATCCCAGCACTTTGGGAGGCCGAGGCAGGCAGATCACCTGAGGTCAGGAGTTTGAGATTAGCCTGGCCAACATGGAGAAACCCTGTCTCTACTAAAAATACAAAAATTAGCCAGGCATAGTGGCTCACACCTGTTATCCCAGCTACTTGGGAGGCTGAGGCAGGAGAATTGCTTGAACCTGGGAGGTGGAGGTTGCAGTGAGCTGAGCTCGTGCCACTGCACTCCAGCCTGGGCTACAGAGCGAGACTCTGTCTCAAATAAATGAAAAAAGATGGGGAAATGAAAAATCTTCCCAGAAAAGGGTCTCTGTGACCCCAAGACATCCCAAAAGGAGGGCTTCATTCCTTCCTTCTTTTCTTTACTTCCCAGACACCTGAGCAGTTTAAAATTGTAAGATTTCTTCACCCTGCCCCCTGCACATGCACACACACAATGCGTGCTTCTGCTTCATCCTCATGATATCCCCAGGAGGGAGGGGGCGCACACACCTGCAGTGTCAGAGAGGTAGACGTCCAGCCTCAGCTGAGAGACGGAGCTCCTTGCTCCCCAAGTGGCACGCCAGCTCTCCCCACCCAGCTTTGAGACCCTCCCTGGATGGGCCTAGTCCTACCAACAACACAACAACATCACATCATCCTAGTAACAGCAGCTGCCGTGGAGTGTGTGCTCACTGTGAGCAGGGTACTCCCCTGGGGCCTCCCCGGGCCATCTGGTGTGACGTTCCCATCTTGCCCAGAGCCCCACAGCCGGTAGTGGTAGAACCAGACGTTGAGACACCTGAGCTTGCAGACAGAGCCATTTTTTTTTCTTAAGACGGAGTCTTCCTCTTGTTGCCCAGGCTGGAGTGCAGTGGCATGATCTTGGCTCACTGCAACCTCTGCCTCCCTGGTTCAAGTGATTCTCCTGCCTCAGCCTCCCGAGTAGCTGGGATTACAGGCACACACCACCAAGCCCGGCTAATTTTGTATTTTTAGTAGAGATGGGGTTTCACCATATTGGCCGGGCTGGTCTCGAACTCCTGACCTCATTATCCGCCTACCTCGGCCTCCCAAAGTGCTGGGATTACAGGTGTGAGCCACTGAGTCTGGCTGCAGAGAGCCATGTTCTCTCCCAACTCACCTTACCCTGCTCCAGAGGGTGCCCACCAGATCGTTTTTGACATTGTTATTCAGGGTGGCCCAGAGCCGGGGTGAGGGGTCTCTCTGCAAAATCCCACGAAATCCTGCCCTAGGAAACCACAGGTCATTCAATGTTGGTACTCTGGGCCCAGCCAGATACTATCTTAGAGGGATCTTAATGTAGTTACGGATAACAGATGCCAATGTTTTAATAAAAGTGCATGAAAGAGAAACTTAAAACCAAGAAAATTCTATCCATCAACTTAAAAAAAAAAATAGGGACATGAGCCCAGGAGTTCGAGACCAGCCTGGGCAACATAGCAAAACCCTGTCTCTACAAAAAATACAAAAGCTAGCTGGGTGTGGTGGCATGCGCCTGTAGTCCCAGCTACTCAGGGGGCTGAGGTGGGAGGATTGCTTGAGCCCAGGAGGTCAAGGCTGCAGTGAACCGAGATTGTGCCACTGCACTCCAGCCTGGACAACAGAGTGAGACCCTGTCTTAAAAAAATAATAATAATAATTAGCTGGAAACATCTTTGTGTCTCTACCATCTGGGAGAGTTCCTGGCACATAGTAGGCCTGGAAGAATGTTCATCCAATGAATGAACGAATGAATGAATGAATGAATGAATGGAATTCAGAAGGCTAGACTCGCAGTACTAGAATTAATATTGCTACTTAGGCCAAGGCACTAACATACAGTGAGCCTTGCTTGACTCCTCTGCAGAATGGGCAGAATCAAACATAAGAATGCCACCTGCCGGCTGGGCGCGGTGGCTCACGCCTGTAATCCCAGCACTTTGGGAGGCCAAGGTGGGCGGATCACCTGAGGTCAGGAGTTTGAAACCAGCCTGACTAACATGGTGAAACCCCGTCTGTACTAAAAATACAAAAATTCGCCTGGTACAGTGGTGGGCACCTGTAATCCCAGCTACTCAGGAGGCTGAGGCAGGAGAATCACTTGAACCCAGGAGGTGGAGGTTGCAGTGAGCCAAGATCACGCCACTGCACTCCAGCCTGTGGGAAAAGAGTGAGACTTCGTCTCAAAAAAAAAAGAATGCCACCTGCCAAAGCCGTCTGGTAAACGTCCAAGACACCTTGGAAAATGTAACAGAAAAAGGAGCATATTTGCACCATGCCTAATAGTTTTTGTTTGTTGTTTGTTTGTTTTTGAGACAGAGGCTCACTGTGATGCCCGGCTGGAGTGCAGTGGCGTGATCTCAGCTCACTGTAACCTCTGCCTCCCAGGTTCAAGTGAGTCTCCTGCCTCGGCCTCCCAAGTAGCTGGGATTACAGGCGCCTGCCACCATGCCCAGCTAATTTTTGTGTGTTTAGTAGAGACAGAGTTTTGCCATGTTGACCAGGCCGGTCTTGAACTCCTGACCTCAGGTGATCCACCCGCCTCGGCCTCCCAAAGTGCTGGGATTACAGGCATGAGCCACGGCGCCCGGCCCTGCATTGTGCCTAACTGTGACATGGGAGTGTCATTCATCCCCCAGAGCACTGGATGCTCCCGGAGGGCTGGCTTCAGCCCATCCTGCAGCCTGGCACCCTGCAGTCTGCGGCCCTGTCCCCAGAGGAGGAGGCACGGTGGCTGCTGCCTCCTTCGGCAGGCGACCACACTCTTCCTCTCCCAGGTATGAGTGATGGCGGCAGCGCACGGTCCTTGTAATAACTGTAATCTCTTGCCAGTACACATCATTTTTATTCCGAAACACTTTTATGCCTCAACTCATTTTATATTTCATGTGCCCTCTCCTGGCGTCTCGCAGGTGGTAAAATTGATGGGCAAGGACACAGCAGGCTGGCAGGCCCCCGGCCCCCACCTCAGCAGCCAGATGCCGGTAGCTGGAGGGAGCGTCCTAGCTCAGGAACCAAATGAATGCAAACTGGGGAGGGCTGGGACGGGGGCCCTAGGGCCATTCCTCACCTGGCTTTGTATTTGCAAGCCCTGTGTTGGGGGTGCAGGGAAGGCATTTTGAAGTGCAGAAGGTGCTGTACAAATGCCTGAGAGTACCGATGTCTGCTGCCCTTGTCACTGTTGAATGCGGAGATCAGAAACCTTAAAACAATGGTCCTTGAATATCGGAGTCCCAGGGTGCTCTTTTCAGCTTTCTTCTGTTTTTGTACCCACTGCCTCCCTGGATGGGCTCCCTACTGGCTTGGCTGTGGTCCACGGCCTCTAAAGATGCTCCCAGGACTCTGCTGTCAGCCCCGTCCTCCCTCTGCACCCTCAGGCCCCTTCCGCTCAGGTCAGCTCAGGACCAGCCTCCTCATCGTCTTGGAATCTCTAGAGCCTCCGTGTGCTGGGCTCTGGCCTCCTCCCGGATGTCAGATAGCCACTGGAAAACCCAGGCGTCCTAGTGTGAACTGTGGACTCCTCCCTCCCTCCAGGCCCTCCCAGGCTCCCCACCCCTTCTCTGCAGGCAGAATCACCACCACCCCCTCGCCCAGAAGCCGGGGATCTTCCCAGGTTCCTCCCTCTCCTTCACTTCCCACGCCCAAGCCATCACCAAGCCCCTGCCAAGGAATCTCCCAAATGCCCTCAAGCCTCTCAAGCCCAGTCCCCTTCCTCCCTGGCTCCTGTGACATCACCCTCCAGGTCTCTTCTGCAAGCCCTGCTCCTGCTCAGCTCCGCCCTCACCAAGGGCTCCCAGACAGCGCCTCCACAGGACTGTGGGTTCTCCCCAAGGTCCTGGCCCACCTTGCCCACAACTCCCCCACATCTACCCTGGCCCCTGCAGCTCACTCTTGGCAGGATGAACTACGTCCGTCTCCCCACGGCCTGCCCCTCATTGCTCTGGCATTGCTAGTGCCAGCCCCCTTGGCTCACTCTTCAAGCCCCTGTTATCACCTCCACAGGAGACCCTTCCAGCTGATGGCTGGACCCTAACCCATGCGCCTGGTGCTGGCTCAGGACCTCTCCCGTCCTGTGGCCCTCACGCATGGTACCCAAGGTGTGTTCAGCCCTGTCTAGCCTGCCAGATCGCCTGGCCTCAGAGACGGAGAATGGTGTTTTACTCATCCTGGCCCCAACACCTGGTCTGCCCCTCAGTGGATGCTCTGGAAATATTTGTTCAACTGAGAGCAACTGTTCTGAACAGTTACACTATGGCAAATGCCCAAGCATCTGCCTGGTGCCATGAAATGCCTACTTGGAGAGTAAGACACGCCTTCCCCAGGTGGGAAGGGCTCACCTTTCCCCTGCAAACTCCTGTTGATTGGGATCAGTGAGTCAGCAGTTCAAGAGCACCCATTCCCCATCCTTGACCCCAGCACTGGGCTCAGCCCAAGAGAAGGAACAGGCAGGGTGGGGACAGAGACCACCCAGGGCCCTGTCCCCAGCCAGACTGGGCCAGTGGCCGCCTGGCTGGCTCAGAGGAGGAAGGTGGTCCTTGCTGTGGGGAAGCCCCTGGTGGGAGCAGGGAATCTGGGGTGGGAGCTCAGCTGTCGCAGGAGAATGGGGCACTGCCCCGGCCCATCAGCTCCTGGCTGCAGCTGCTGCAGGCTTCGCCACACTTGCATAGTGGGCAGAAGCGCGTAGTCCTGCGGTGAGGCAGGGCTGGCTTCTCCTCTGAAGATGGCTGGTGAGAAGGTCTTGAGCCTGGGGTCCGCAGCCCCACCTGCCCTGCCCACTCACTGGACATGGGTGGGCTGGGGCACTGTCCCCTCAGGGCTCCTCTCCTGGAGTCTTTTCCTTGCAGCTCCTGTGCTGGGCAGAGATAAAGTGGCCACATGGAGTGCGAAGGCCAGGGCTTGGCCCCAGCTCTGCCTTCGCTGGGCGACGGTGCGACCTTGGCTTCTCTGGGCTTCCCTGTGTTTCCTCTGTGGTGAGCGAGGACTAGAGCCCAGCTGTGCCTTTGAAAGGCAAATGCGTGAATGTGGACCCAGGACTTGGAAAGGGGACAAGTGCTTGTTTTTAAGACACAGTTAGGTTACCACCGCAGGGGTGTCATGTAGAGGACAGAGGGGAAGGCTCGGGTGGGGCGCCTCCCTCAGCAGAGCCGGGGAGCAGGGACCTGTCCCTTATCACACAGAGCTGGTGGGTGGGGCTGTCAGGAGTGACTCCAAGGCACAGGTGGGCTGAGGCTGTGACTCAGAGGCCCCGTGGGACTGGCTGCCGTCAGAGCAGCCCCACACCCAACCCTGTGGGTCCAGGGGCGCCTCACTTGGGGGGAAGGTCACGTGGCCTGACTGTGTCCTGAGGGCTGGGCTGCCAGAGGTCCCTGTGCCTTCTCCCCTGGTGCGGCCAGAAGCCCCTCTCCTCTGCCCAGGACACCCTGCGGATGCTGTGCCCTGCACACCCTGTGTGAGGCATAGAACCACAGAGAAAGGTGCACAGATTGCACCTGGACAGCCCAGTGAATGGTCACAAGACAAACACCCCATGAGATCAGCACCCAGATAGAGAAACAATATGGCCGGTACCCTGCGAGCTGCTGGAAACTCAGATGCAGGTGAAAATGGCGTTGCACATCTCACACACTAAAACCCCGGCCACTCACCTTACCGCAGACTGTCCCACATCCTAGACCAGCTGCCAATGCAATGAGTCTCCGAGGGGTACAGCCTGTCCTCCAGAGGGGCATGTACCTGACCCTTGGCTGAGGCACTGTGTCTATCCCAGGGCTGTGATCATCGAGGGCTCCTGCTTCTCTTCTGCGGGTGGGGGACCAGGGCCTCTCCCACCCCACCATACCCTCCCCTCCCAGCCTCACCCCTCCAGAGGCAGCATGGAACATCATGCGGGAAGGGCTGAGGCAAGTGGGGCAGAGAAGGGTGCCTCTGCCTAGCACCCCGCAGTGCTCTCAGGCCCTCCCAGCATTCTCCCAGCACCCACCCATTGCTCACCCTTCTTCCTGCTAAGGGTGGAGGTTCCAGATAAGCTCAAGGCATGGCCTGGAAGATGAGAGGCCGGGGAGATACGGCAGGATGAGCAAGGGGCACAGGCACCCACCAGGCTTAGGCACACCCCTGCATGAGCTCCCACCGTCCACTGAGTAAAGACTCTTGATGGGCACTGAGGTCCTCTTAATACCTCCCAACCTACCCGGCTAGCCTTCTTTTTTTAAAATTTTTTTTTTTGAGACAGGATCTTGCTGTGTTGCCCAGGCTGGAGTGCAGTGACGTGGTCTCGGCTCACTGCAGCGTCAACCTCTCGAGCTCAAACAATCCTCCCACTTCAGTCCCCAGAGTAGTTGGGACTGCAGGTGCACCCCACCATGCCTGGCTAATTTTTGTATTTTTGTAGAGATGAGATTTTGCCATGTTGTCCAGGCTGGTGTCAAACTCCTGGGCTCAAGAGATCCACCCACCTCGGCCTCCCAAAGTGCTGGGATTCAAGGCGTGAGCCCCTGCACCCGGTCTGTCTAGTCTTCTTATGCCTGGCCACCCTCTCCATACTGGCCACTAACCAGGGCCTCTCCTGGACACCTGCCCCCTTTGCCTTCTCTACACTCCCCCTCCCACTACCAACTAACCTCTGCAGGCCTCTCCGTGCCCTTCCACCAGGAGTGAGCTGAGCCGGCCAGTACCCACTGATGGTGGCATTTGCAGGAATTTCACAGGTCGATGGTTAAACACAGCCACTATTACATTTTAAACTAAGTAAACTTATAATTAAATAAATTATATTTTAAATGGGCAATAAATACTACAAACTCATCACTTTCTAATTATTTTCTTACATTGAACTATTGTCTATCTTTTTTTTTTTTGAGACACAGTATTGCTCTGTCATCCAGGCTGGAGTGCAGTGGTTCGATCTCGGCTCACTGCAACCTCTGCCTCCCAGGTTCAGGTGATTCTCCTGCCTCAGCCTCTCAAGTAGCTGGGATTACAGATGTGTGCCACCACACCTGGTTAATTTTTGTATTTTTGGTAGAGACGGGGTTTCACCATGTTGGCCAGGCTGGTCTCAAACTCCTGACCTCATGTGATCCAGCTTGGCCTTCCAAAGTGCTGGGATTACAGGCGTGAGCCACTGCGCCCAGCCTTGTCTATGCTTTTGAGTTTTATTCACATCTATTGCACCGTTATGGTGGGAGTAGTATAATAAGTACTATTGTGCTAGGCCGGGCGCTGTGGCTTGCACCTGTAGTCCCAAGACCAAGGCAAGAGGAGTTCAACCATCTCTACGAAAAAAACAAAAAAAATTAGCTGAAGTGTGGTGGTGCAGGAAGCATCGCTTGAGCCCAAGAGGTCGAGGCTGCAGTTAGCTGTGATTGCGCCACCGCACTCCAGCCTAGGCAACAGAGCAAGACCCTGTCTCAAAAATAAAATAACAGTGTGCTAGTGTGCATGGTTTCCCAATGAGTGAGGTCGTGTCACAGGCAGCCACAAATGTACGCGGCTGGGAATATTACGGGATCGCCTCCCTCACCCCAGCTGCATCTGGGGTGTGGGACTCAGGCAGGGCCGGGATCACTGGCTGTTCACAACACCATCCCCCCTCTTCCGACCTAGTAACCAGACACCCCGATGAGTTTGGGCAGGGCGGCCCTTCGTTTTCCTGCTCCCTCCCTCTCAGATACTTTCAGAACACTGGGGAGGCCGAGGGAATCCTAAATACGACCCTCCGCTTGCCCAGGGTCTTGTGAAGGAGAAACGCGGCATGGTGGCCCTCGCGTGTGTGTGCAGCGCCTGCAGGTGTCCCGCCCAGCGCCTCCTGCACAACAGTTGCAGGCTGGACCCGAGGGTCTCCTCTCCTGGGGCCCCACAGTGCCCAGAGGTCCCGCTAGCCCCAGACACCGCCCCAGGCTCCCCTCCCTTTCTGACGCCGTCCACTCCCTTCCTCTGCGGAAGGGGGACACGCTCCTCTGTGCCGAGGTGCCAGGCCGCTGAGATCTGCTGCCCTGGAGGAAAAGCCAGGCAGGGTCCCTGGCCTTGGGCGGCTAGGAAGGCTCCACGGCTGCTGGGGATAGAGACGCGGGGCCAGGCTAAGGGTTCCCGCCCCGTCTAAACAGCCTGCCCTGGGCAGGGCAGGGCTCCTCTCCCGCGCCCGCGCGCTCTCGGCTGGGCACGGTCCGGCTCCAGGCCTGACGGGCGCGGCCTCCCCACTGGACGCGTGCGGGAGGGCGGCGAGGCCAAAGCGCTGGGGCCAGGAGGGCACCCGCCTAGCGGCTCCCTACGGGAGTTGGGGCAGAAGACGCCGCGACCCCGCGCGGGTAATTTCTCCCGAGGCGCGTTCCAGCCCGTGGCGCTGCCGGCGCAGACCCCGCGTGGGGACCGGCGAGGCTAACCCCTCCTGCGGCCCGGGGTCGGCAGAGCACGCAAGGGGCCGCGGGCCGCGTGGGTTTGGGCGCGCCGTGGTGGGCAAGCGGGGCCAGCGGAGCGGGAACCCGCACACCCTCCGAGCGGAGCCGAGGACAGGCCCGTGCGGGCCGCGGGGTCCCTCTGGCGCCAGGAAGCGGCGGCCGAAGGAGACAACGAGAACGCAGCCCCGGCTCAGGGAGGCTTAAAAGCTGAGATGCTGAACGCAGACGGCGGGCGCTCGGGGGCTGGGGGGCGGGTAGAGGCCGCCATTTCTCAAAAAGGTCTCCATCGAGCCGGCCTCTGCTCCCGCCCGAGGGGCGGACGCCCGATCCCGGCACCCGGGACTGCCCGTGGGTCCCTGCTGGCTGGGGACCCCCAGCCCCCGGCTGCGCGCAGGGAAAGGCTGCAGAACGCAGAGACCAGAGAAGCCGGGGGCGGCGGGGAGGGGTCGGGGGGCCACGGCTGTAGCCCGGCCCCGCAGTCTCGGAGCCTCAGTTTCCTTCTCTGTACCACGGGAGCGTGGACGGAGGGATTTCCGAGGCTTTGACCGCTCTGATAGCCCCGGGGCGGGGCGGGGCGGGGCGGCTGCGCCAGCCCTGGTCCTGAGCCCCCAGCCCGGCGCCGGAACCCGGACCGCGATCTCGGGAGCCGAGCCCCGCGGTCCAGATGAAGGCGCGAGTGCGCGGGTGCCGGGTGGGGTGTCTGAGCGAGAGCGGAGCTTCTCAGGTGGACGCCCCCAGCCACCTCCGGGACCCTTCCTGCTGGCCTTTGGGCCTGAGAAGTGGGCGCGGCTGGACAGACGGGAAACAGCCCCCCACGCACAGGTGGACACCCGGGGATACCGGGCGCGCGCGGCGCCTGGCAAGGGGAAGCTGCTGGAGACGCGGGCGGCTGCTCCCGCGGGGCCCCCTTCCGAAGCGCCGCTGCGAACGTCCAGCCCCGGCGACGCCGCCTGCCCGCGATCGGGCCGGCGCCGCGGACAGGAAAGGCTCGATCAGCTAGGTCTGCCTCCGAGAAGTCCCCAGCGCCCCGCCCGCACGGGGTGGGGACTGACAGTCCCCCGGGGACGGGGCCGGGTCCACAGAGCCCGGGAGCTGGGGGAGGGGAGGCGCCGGGGGCCCCGACCCGTGGGAAGTCCCTGTACCCAGGCTGCCCGGCGGCTTCTCAATAGCACACGGACATCTAAGAAACGCGGGGCGGCCCGGTGACCCCCGCTCTGGACTTAGTGGCGCCGCGAGGCCCCACTCCGAGCCGTTGACCACCGGGCACTCGGGTGTTGACGACCTGGGTCCTTGGGCACCCAGCCCGGCTCCAAACGACCCCGGCCCAAGGGTGTTCAGTGCAGCCAGGAGGGCCGAACCGAATTCTATCTCCCGGACGCGGTGGTTTCCCGCCCGCCTGGAGCCCCGTCGGAGGTTCGGGGACACCACGCAGGTGGTCCATCCTCGAGTCCGGGGCCGGAGCCCGACTTCCTTCCCCCTGAGCTCTCGGAGCCTTCGGGGCAGCAGCGCCGGCCCAGGCGGGGGCGGGGGAGGAGGGGGCCGCGGCAGCTCCCAGAAGGGCGGGGGGGACGCGAGCGGAGGCAGCCCCGGTGGCGCGCTCGTGAGACCCCCGCCGCGCCGCGGGCCCGGGCCGCGGACAATTAAAGCGGGATTCCTCCCCCGCTGACGTCGGCGGCTCGAGGCCCCTCCCGCGGCGGCATAAAAGGCGCGGGCTCCGCAGCGCAGGCGGCAGTGGGGGCCTGATAGCGCGGCGGTGTGGACCGCGCGGCCGAAGAGCGCGGCGCCCAGAGCGCGGGCCGCTCGCGGAGCCACAGCCCGAGCCGGGTCCCAGCCGGAGCCGAGCCCCAGCCGAGCCGAGCCGGGCCCGGAGCGCCCGGTGCCCGCAGCCATGCCGGCCGGCCGCGCCGCGCGCACCTGTGCGCTGCTCGCCCTCTGCCTCCTGGGCGCCGGGGCCCAGGATTTCGGGCCGACGCGCTTCATCTGCACCTCGGTGCCCGTGGACGCCGACATGTGCGCCGCGTCCGTGGCCGCCGGCGGCGCCGAGGAGCTCCGGAGCAGCGTGCTGCAGCTCCGCGAGACGGTGCTGCAGCAGAAGGAGACCATCCTGAGCCAGAAGGAGACCATCCGCGAGCTGACCGCCAAGCTGGGCCGCTGCGAGAGCCAGAGCACGCTGGACCCCGGAGCCGGCGAGGCCCGGGCGGGCGGCGGCCGCAAGCAGCCCGGCTCGGGCAAGAACACCATGGGCGACCTGTCCCGGACACCGGCCGCCGAGACGCTCAGCCAACTCGGGCAAACTTTGCAATCGCTCAAAACCCGCCTGGAGAACCTCGAGGTCCGCGCGCGCCCTCGGCTCCGGTTCCCCCTCCGGCTCGCTCGCCCCTCTGCCCTCCCCCACCCCGTTCCCTACCCGGCCAGGCATCCCCCGCCCTCGCCTCAGCCGCGCGGGTGCCCGGCCGGTGCCTCCCCGCGCCTGCGAGGCCCCGCGGCGGCCACTCGCCCCAGCTCCCTGCCAGGCCGCCCCCGCAGTCGCCCAGAGGGGACCGCGCCGCGGGCCTTCCAGCACGGTCCCCGCGCCTCGCCTAACGGTGTGGTTTCCCCCGCCCTTGCACCCCGCAGCAGTACAGCCGCCTCAATTCCTCCAGCCAGACCAACAGCCTCAAGGATCTGCTGCAGAGCAAGATCGATGAGCTGGAGAGGCAGGTGCTGTCCCGGGTGAACACCCTGGAGGAGGGCAAGGGGGGCCCCAGGAACGACACCGAGGAGAGGGTCAAGATCGAGACCGCCCTGACCTCCCTGCACCAGCGGATCAGCGAGCTCGAGAAAGGTACTGGGGCCAGGGGGAGCCGTGCTGCCTGCCTGCACCTGCTTGCCCGACCCTGCCTCGGTCCCGATCCCTAACAGCCCAGCTCTGCACTGTGCAAGCCTCAAGCCGCTCCGCTACCCCCAACCCCTGCACCGCTTTCTCATTCCCCGCACCCCTTCCCAGGTTCTGGGCTTCTAGTCGGTGTTTCTATCAGGGCTGGGTGCCTTGGGCTGGGGCTGTCTCTGGGAAAGGGGATTGCATAGTGCCCCCTCCCCCATCCAGACACACTCACACACTCGCTGGATTTTTCAAGTCTGATTTGTTTAATCCTCAGTAACTTTGCACAGTGGCTGTCGCTGGCTCAAACCCTCCCTGCTTAAGAAAGCCTGTCTCTCCCTGGTCCCCAGCCTCAGCGTACAGCTGGGTGCAGGCTGGGGCTGGGCGCTCTCGTTCCCCGGGCCGCTGAGGCTGTTAAGCAGGTTTCTTCCCGGCTGCCATGCCCCCGGTGTCCTCTCAGGATCTCCAGCTCCTCCCCACTTCTGTCCTGAACCCCTACCCTGAGGTTTTCTTTTCTGAGTGACCCAAGTCCTGGCATCTTTCAAATCCCTGAGGTTTCTCAGTCACCAACTCAGGCCAGCCAGTCTATCACCCAGGGCGCCTGGATGAGCGCTGGAGGCTCTGTCTTGAAGTCGCAGAAATCAAACAAGGTTGTAAAAGGGGAGGGGGGGGGGTGCCCGGTGCGGAGCAAGGCCACGTGACCCTGCTCAGACCGCAAAATGTGCCGGACAGATTTAAACAGTGCCATCTTAAGGCTTGTTATGTAACTGAAAAACAGATCAGAAGGAAGGACCTCAGGAGGGAGGGAGAGGGAAGGAGCGGAGATTGGGGAATGAAAAACACCCGGAGAAAGGCCAGGGGCTGGGCCCCTCCCTATCCCCCACTGCAGGCCTCAATGGGTTGGGGTAGCCGCTGGGGTGCTGCACTGAGGGGGCCTGCCCTGCTCTGCTCCCTGCCAGTTGGTTTAGAGGAGGGGGTGGTTGCTGACCGGGCAGGATGTCTTCTAGAAATAATTTTTGGCCTGGGGAACTGGTTTCTTTCTGGGCTTCCTGGCAGGACCACGGCTGCTCACCCAGGGATTGACCAAGGGGTGTGTGTTCCTGGGCTCTGGGCCTGCTACTGTGCCCATTGCTGGCCAGGAATGTTTTGCCTGGAGTCAGTCACACCATACCCAGGGTGCCACAGTATATAGATGGGCTATGGGGGTTGGCGCTTACGGGAGAAGTGGCCGGTGGGGAGGGAGAAGGTGGGCCTTGTGGAAAGGGAGGCCACCAGGCCTGGAACCTGAGCTGTGAGGACACTTACTCACCTGAGAGTGTGGCGGCATCCTAGAGCAGTCACCTTGGGGAGCCCTGGCGCCCAGAGTACTCCCAGCTCCTTGCTGCCCTGCCCTCTCAGCAGAGCTCCAGGCAGAGTCCCTGCTCCAAGGAAGGGCCTTGGAGGTGGGGAGCTGCCCAGCCTCACACCCAAGAGGCATTGGTGGGTCAGAGGCACATCTGGCCTGGAGGGAAGTGTGTGGGCACCAGGGCCTGGCTGTCGGGTGGGGAGAGGCAGGAGCAGAGCCTGGGATTGAGCGAGGAGAGGCTCTGAGCCCCGCCCCATCCTGGAATCAGGTCGGTTACTCTCAGGGTAGCTAGCCTCGTTCCTCCTCTGCAGCCACCCCTGCTCCTTGGGTTGACTTGGCTTGGCGGCTGTCCCCATTCCCTTCTCATGCCCACCACGCAGCCCAGTGTTGATGCAGCAGCCCACCAGGCACTGCCCCCCACCCCCATCTCCCCAAGGATGCCAGCACATGGGCGTGACAGCAGGCCAGACCTGGAGCATGAAGAGCTTGGGTCAGCTCTTTACAGACTGGCCCTGTGCCTTGGGGCAAAGTACTTGACCTGGGAAGCTACCCGCTCTGCGTCTCCAGAATGGAGACCGGAGCCTGCCCTGGCCACGCATCACAGAGCTTGGTGGGGACCGAACTCAACTCAGACACCGATAAGCACTTCACGCAGGTGCAGATGTCAGGACTGTGTCTTCCGCAGGTCAGAAAGACAACCGCCCTGGAGACAAGTTCCAGCTCACATTCCCACTGCGGACCAACTATATGTATGCCAAGGTGAAGAAGAGCCTGCCAGAGATGTACGCCTTCACTGTCTGCATGTGGCTCAAGTCCAGCGCCACGCCAGGTGTGGGCACGCCCTTCTCCTACGCTGTGCCCGGCCAGGCCAACGAGCTGGTCCTCATTGAGTGGGGCAACAACCCCATGGAGATCCTCATCAATGACAAGGTAGAGCAGCCCCCGGGCTCACAGGGCGGCAGGGCGAGGCCCCAGGGCCCCAGCTCATGTTGCATGCGGAGACAGGGCTATGGTGGCCTCAGATGTTGATGGGGCCCCAAGGAAAGTGTTTGCCAGGTGGGACTGAGGGAGGGGGAGGGTGAAGACCAGGAGAAGTGGTAGGAGCCCCCTCACCTGTACTGGGAGAGCAGGGAGAGCTGGACCTTCCCGGATGCCTCCTGGGGTGGGTACGGGAGATGGCGGAGAACGAGCCATGGGGCCTGGCCCTGCCCGATGATGTGATCTGGACTCCTCCACCAGCTGGCCTTGGAACTGGCTTTGCCCCTCCATAGCAGGGACCCAGAGATGCTCTAGCGGGGTGAGGGGTCCTTAGAGATTTTTCCTGAGTCCAAGTCTATCCCACTCAGCCCCCTAACTCTCGGGAGGAGGACAGGTCTGTGTGATCCCTTGGAACAGGACAGCACAGGCAGCCTTTCCCTCTAGTGAACATTCTCCATCCTCCCCTGTTAGCTATGGAACTAGCTGCCAGCTTTCAAACTGTCTCAAGTCCAGGCCAGCAGTGGTAGTCAATGGCTAAAACCTGGGCTGGGAAGTGGATTCCACGCCCTTGTTCCTGTTGCTCTTCCCCACAAAGGGCTGTGCCATTCTGGGCCCCCTTTCCCCAAGCGGAAAGGGTGTGAAGTTTCTTTCCTCACTGTCTGCTGGACCGTCATCCTCCCGACCTGGAATGGCAGTGGGAGAGTGAAATTCCAGGTTGGAGGCTGGTCTGAGCTTTAAAAGGCATCGTGCTCCATGACATCTCTCAGATCCTCGGCAAAAGCTTGCCGTGTTGTAGAGTGAGAGGGTGTAACAGCTAGAGATGGGACATCGGAAGAGAGAGGAGAGGCCAGCAAGGAGGCTGCACAGATGTCGCACGGAGCCTTGAGAGGCAGCAGTGAACTCAGACACCAGGGACGGCTCTCCCTGGTGTAGACTAGGGCTTGTTGTGTAGACTAGCAAAGAGGGAGGAGGGTGAGTAGGAGTGAAGAGACTGCACACCCACATGGCCCTTGGGGGTTCCCTCGGTAGAGCCTTACATTTCCTGTGTGATTCTGTGCCCCACGCCCAGGCGGGGCTGACAGACGCTGAAGTCTGGGGCAGTAGGTGCTGTGAGAATTCAGTAATAGTTATTGACATTTACTTTGCAAGTAGAGATAGGAACAACTGAGGCAGTGAAGATTATGGCTTCTGGGCTGTACCCCTGTACTCACCAGCTGGCGTCTGTCATTCTCCTTCCCAGGTGGCCAAGTTGCCTTTTGTCATCAATGATGGCAAGTGGCACCACATCTGTGTCACCTGGACCACCCGGGACGGGGTCTGGGAGGCCTACCAGGATGGCACGCAGGGTGGCAGTGGCGAGAACTTGGCGCCCTATCACCCCATCAAGCCCCAGGGCGTGCTGGTGCTGGGCCAGGAGCAGGTACTGTGCTGGATGTGGTGGGGAAGGGGAGAGAGCTTCAGAACCAGAGGCTGGGAAGGGGAAGAGGAGCAAGGAGGGAGGGAGGTAGCCGGAGAAGTGGTTCCCCTGAGAAGCAGCCCGGGGAGCAGGCTGGGCAAGGCCTGTGCCCTGGGTGGACATGCACTTGAACTTCCTGCAGGAGTGAGCTCTGGTTTCAACGCTCTCAGAGCTGCAGCAACACTTTCTTTGGCATGGGAAGGCCAGTTCTGCTTTTAGTGATGCATAATCTAGTTCCCGTGAAGTGGTTTGTCTCCTGTTGGGCACCTGGGAGGAAGACGAAGGGATGGAGAATCGGGGACGTCTGTCCCTGTTGGGCAGCTTTAGCTGGCATGGAGTGATGTCTGGGCAGGGGCCCCAGGCCCAGCTGCTGTGGTTGTCCATGGCTGAGGGACCAGCTGCAGGAGGGGCAGAGTCCAGGTCCCCCCAGGAGAAGCTCCAGGGCAGAGGTGGTCGGTGCCATCCCTTTTCTTGGGCTCCCCCAGAGGAGGGATGGATGTAGGGCTGGAGAGTCAGGGACAGGGAGACGAAACGGCACCTAGGAGTGTCCGTGAGAGTCCGTGATCGGGCAGGCACAGAGGCACTCAGATCCCCGGCCTAGGGATGGGCCCCCAGACCACCTGGCGACCCCTCCACTCTCATCCTCTGTTTTTCTCTGAAGGACACTCTGGGTGGTGGGTTTGATGCCACCCAGGCATTTGTGGGTGAGCTGGCCCACTTCAACATCTGGGACCGCAAGCTGACCCCCGGGGAGGTGTACAACCTGGCCACCTGCAGCACCAAGGCTCTGTCCGGCAATGTCATCGCCTGGGCTGAATCCCACATCGAGATCTACGGAGGGGCCACCAAGTGGACCTTCGAGGCCTGTCGCCAGATCAACTGAGCACGGCAGGCCAGGCTGAGCCCGCCCGCCCTCGCCCCCTGCTTGTGCGGCGATGATCTGTTTTGTGCGTCTCTTCTCTCCCTTTTCCCCAGGAATGAACCGAGGCCGTCGCCCCTGCACACGCACACGCACACAGCCTGGTTTTGTCCTCATGCACACGAAGCAGCCCCTGCTCCCATCTGTCCCTGAGGAAGCCCCACTTCTCTGTAGGAGCCCGGACTCTCTCAGGCATGCCCCATTCACAGCTGAAGTGGGTGCTGCAACGTCTTGAACAAGGCAGAAGTTGGTGAGAGGATCTGTGTGTGCGTGTCTACATGTGTGTGTCTACGTGTGTGCGTGCGTGGCTGGGGGAGGCCTTTTCTTTGAGGACGTACCTCATTTCCTTCTTTCTTCTGGCTTTGGAAAAATCTCATGATGAAAATTCATATTTGCCAACTTTGTTAGCTGCGTGCGTGCTTTGGGGTTGGTGCAACCTCAGTACACGCATTTGTCTTTGTTTGCAAACCTTTCTCAGAGCGACATATCTTTATATTGATGTAATAAATGTCTTTTAGTGGTTTGTCAAAGGCCGGGGGCGGGGGCTCTCTACAGAGAATTTTTATTTTGTAATAGAAGTGAACTGTCTCTGAAGGGTGAAGGCAGGCCGTCCTGGGATGGTACCCTGTGCTCTCCCGTGGAGGAGAGGGGATGGCTGAGGACACTGGCCCTTACCCCAGGGCCAGACAGCATCCATCCCTGCTGTTTGCATCTGAGAGCAGCATGGGGCCTGGGAGGTCGGCCTGTGTGCCCAGCTCAGCTAGCTCTGCCCCAGGACGGCCCTGCCCTCGACCTTCCCACCTCCTCAGATCCTGCAAGGCTGGGGTCTGCCCCTCCCTTCTCACCTCTGGAGCTGTGCTGCACTGCTTCAGCCCAGAGGGCCCTGAGAGAGGAGCGTGCCACCCACAGCCCGGGAAGCCGGGCCCCAGCACCCCTCTCCTTTGGCCTCCGGCAGTGCAGACCAGAGGGGACCTTTTAAGGAAAGAAGCCGTGTTTCGATGAAGACCTGGCCACATGGGGCCACTGGGACTTCAACCCAGCCCATCGGTGGGAAGGTCCTTTTTGGGGGACTTTGACAGCCATATCCCTCCCAGCACACCAGGCGCCAGGTGAGCTGGTTCAGACCCCTCCAGGGGTACTCCAGAGACCTCACGTGTGGAGCCAGGCCTGGCCAGGGCAGGGGCCTGAAACCCACTCCTCCATCTCATGGGGCTCACGGCCTACAGCAGCCCACAAGCTGCCACTGGCCGGCGACACTGACACCTGAGCAGTGTCCAGAACCTTTTTGCCTTTTTTTGTTCCCCGTGAAAAGCAACATGGACATTTCCTTCTAGTCCTTCCAAGGAGGGGAGAGAAGTGTATGTGCATTTGTGTGTGTGTGTGTGTGTTGTGTGTGTGTGTGCGCTAAGTGAGAAAGAGAGCAGGCTCGGGAGGCCCTGCCCAGGGTAGGAGGAGCTTCCTGCTTTGCACCATCTGGTGGTCGCACGCCCTGAGGGCACCCCGACTCTGTCTCCAGGAGTCTCATCAGCAAACCGCTGACAAGTCTTTCTAGAAATTCTACTGCACTGCCTGGCTCAGCTGCAGCTGCAGACATTTCTGCAGGAGGAGCAGGTGTTTCTGTCTTCTGTTCCTTCTAGGGCCACCTGTCCCCTTAAACACAGGTCCACGTTGTGTCAAGAACCTAGTGCATCTGTGTGTGTCTGTCAGTGTCTCTGTGTCAGTGTTCTCGTGGGTGTCTGCACGGTACCCGGCCGCCGTTCTGCAATGCATCACTCCCGCAGAGGGGGGTGCAGATCAGGCGCCGTGCTGCGCGTTGTTGTTCAACAGTGGCTTTTTCTTAGATAATCGTGCTTCCTCAGCGCCCGTCGGGTTGTGGCATCCTTGGATCTGCAGGGATCTTCTCCGTTTGCATGTTCCTCGGGGTGGCGTGTTCCTTGCTCCCTGGGTCCGACATGTGTTCCCGCACCTGCATGGACTGCCCCGGTTCTGTGTTGTGTGCCGAGTGCCGCCCAGTGTTCTGTGACCACCCGTGTAGCTACTGAAAATGGCTGGGTAAGCAAGTCAAGGGTGTTGGAGGAGGTCAAGAGAGAGCTCAGTTTCCCTCTCCCCCTCCCCAAACACACCAAGAAGCATTTTTAACGTGTAGGTTGAGAACAAGCCTAAAGGATTCCCACAGCTGGGAGCCAGCAAGAGAGCTTGGAGTCGCCTCTCTAGACCAGATCTAGCCCCACCCTCACTCCAGCCATCTCGGAGCCCTTGTGTAGGCAACGCCCGGTGCGGGCTGTGTGGGGTGCTCCCCTGCCAGCACCTCCGGCCAGCCCCGCCCCTGCCGATCTACTGGACCGCAGACCACCTTCTGCCCCCGTGGGCCAGGTGGGAGCTGTCCGTTCAGGACCATGAGCCATCCTCTGCCCTGACTAGCGAGGGGCAGAGCACACCCCAGTGCTTACGCCTCCACCCCTGCAGCCTCCTGGCCCGCTCACCTTCCTCACCCCTCCTCTGACCCACCCATGGTGCCAGGGCCGAAGCTGACCTTTAGCTCCCTCCTGCCCCTTGCTAGGGTCTGAGCCAAGCCCCTCGACTCCCTCACTGTGTTGACACTTGGCACTTTGCTGGCCCCGAGAAAGGTCGATGACACAGCCGCAAATCTAATCCACGTAGTTCCCATTTACTCCTTAATCTGATTGATGTTCCCTCTTGCACTGAATAATACATGCCTCTCTCAGGTAAGCCATTTTATAAAACAAGAAGATAAAAAGCACTGTTGAGGCAGTGTTTGCTTTTGCCGAGCTGGTGTCCGACAGCTCCCTGGGTGTCCGGGGTGGGAGAGCTGTTGACAGAAGCTCTCCGGGCCCTCAGGGGCTTAGATCCCACTTGAGTCGTAAGCCTTCTTGCTTTTGATAACACAGTATTATTTCTCTTACTGTAGAAGAAAAAGTTTATTACCAAACAAGAGTATTTTTATGAAAGAAAAGGACAAACCTATAAATTAACTCAACCTATATCTCCCTTGAAAATACTTTCAGGCTCCACCAAAACGTAGAACTGAAAGCATGTATTTTGGAAGAAAGAGATACATTTTGTATGCTTTCTTTTCCTTTTGTAGATTCCCAGTTTATTTTCTAAGACTGCAAAGATCACTTTGTCACCAGCCCTGGGACCTGAGACCAAGGGGGTGTCTTGTGGGCAGTGAGGGGGTGAGGAGAGGCTGGCATGAGGTTCAGTCATTCCAGTGAGCTCCAAAGAGGGGCCACCTGTTCTCAAAAGCATGTTGGGGACCAGGAGGTAAAACTGGCCATTTATGGTGAACCTGTGTCTTGGAGCTGACTTACTAAGTGGAATGAGCCGAGGATTTGAATATCAGTTCTAACCTTGATAGAAGAACCTTGGGTTACATGTGGTTCACATTAAGAGGATAGAATCCTTTGGAATCTTATGGCAACCAAATGTGGCTTGACGAAGTCGTGGTTTCATCTCTTAAACACAGTGTGTAAATTTATTCAACTAACGATGGGAAATGTATTACTTCTGTACACAGTGGACTGAAGTGCAATTTGTTGAAAGGGAACAAGTCATTGAAGAGAAAAAAAAAGCCCAATACTTAGAGTCCCAATTTTGTCTCATTTGCCAAAAAAAAAAAAAAAAAAAAAGCAAACCCCCTATGGTTGATATTGTTATAATGTATATACTGTATAATATGAAAGAGAATCGATGTATCTCACTTTTTCATTATTTGCTAACCAAAGCTGTACATTTTTCATATGATCTGCAGCCTTTTGGGTATCAAATGGGTCAAAACCATGGGACCTGCCACCTCCCATCAGCAATTCTGGAAATGCACTATTTCTACTGGTATTCTTGCTTTTTTTTTTTTTTTCATTTTCTTGCTGAAATGACATGAATTGTTGAGTTTATTTTTACACAGTAAAGAGTGGAGAAAGACTGTGGTCTCCTCAGGATGTCTCTTCTTTTCCGAGGCTTGCCAATGCCACCTCCCCCTGCAGCCACCCCTCTTCCCCAGCCAGGTGCAGGTGACCCTCACCTGCAGGGGGTGTGTGCCTCGCTTGTGCATTGCCCTGTGCCCTTTGACAACCCCACACCGTCTGGTGATGCTGGATGTTGGGTGGAGGGGTCTCCATTTCCCAGGGGCAGCTGACGCAGAGGCAGAGAGTGGCCCAGTGTTTCCCCAACTCAGTGAGGCCACTCGGCCTGGGATGTGGGGTCACTCCGCATTCCCCTTCCCCTCCTGGGTGGACTCGCGGTCCACAGCTGGGTCCGGGTTCGAGGTGGCCCGGGCTTGTCGTGCCCAAGCAACTCTGGCAGTTCTCTGCCTCAGCCTCTGCTAGCGGGGCCTTAGCCACGTGTGGTTGCCTTCCCGCTTTCAGAGTCCCAGGCCCCTTCCCTGCACTTGTCTGAGAGTGTCTGAGAGTGTCCCTACAAAGGGATAAATAGCCATGGGAACGCTGGGCCTTGGGCTGAGCTTACTTCCCTGTCCCCCTTGTGGACCTGGCTTGACTCTGGATGTGTTTGGAGCTTGCGAGCTGTTCCTTCCAAGGGACAGAGTAACCAGGACCCAAGTGCCCTGGGGTGAGTGATTCTAGCACACTTACAACCTGAAGTCAGGGGACATGGAGCCAAAATCACCTGCCCGGTGGTTTGGTTGGTGCCCCCCACCTCACACACACAGATGCACACACACACACACACACACACACTGGGTTGGCGGAAGGGACTGGTCACTCTGGCTTCCTGTTGGCATCGCCCGGGGATTCTCTGCCCGGTGCTCTGGTGTTCCCAGGACTCAGGAGCGGGGGTTTAGTGGGTGTGAGTGAGCCACCTGTCACCTGGGATGGTGTGGAGGGAGAAGGTTTGGCCTCAGCAAAGCAGGCAGGGAACCCCCTGTGTCCCTGCAGGAAGAGCCTTGGTCGGGAGACAGAGGCCCTGCCAGGCGGGAGGCCCCTGGCCTGTGTTCCCAGAGCCATTCTCGCTGGGTGGTGTTCACCCCAGGGTGCACGCTCACGGTCGGGCCCAGGGTTATGCCCGATTCCAGTGGCTCCAATGGACACACCGCCTCACACCTCCCACTCAAGAAAGTGCAGAGTTACGTCTGTGATAACGTCACGCATACATTTCTAATCTCTATGTGAGAGCTCATTCAAACACTTGGGTTCTTAACTATCATTAGATGCAAAGTACTTTCTGCACTTCTCACGCCTGATTTTGGCTCATCCATGAATGCCTTCAGGGGGCCGTGGAGCTAAGAACAGCTGCTTGGAAAGAAGCCACGGGCCTTGCAGCTCGGTGGAGTGAGGTGGGAGTCTGGGCAGCGGGACACGGGCGCAAGAAGTCAAAGCCAGAGGGTGTCTTGGAAGTCATTAACTTCAGCAGCCTCTCAGGTGCCTGAAACTGTTCTCGGCTTGCACACTTCTGGTGATGTGGAGCTCATTACCCCAGAGAGGTAGTCTGTCCTATTTTCAGACGGCTCTGACTATCGGCAAGTTTTCTTTTGCGCTCCCGTCTCTTCTTTTTCTGTCATTTCATGCTTGGTTCCTTGCATTGAGCTACAGCTCCTGCCCATCTGTCCCAACACAGGAAGACGGGGGTCCCTCAGTCTTCACCAGCTCTGCCCCCATGCAGCAGCCTCCTCAAATTGCACTGGGCCAGGGGCAGCCTGCCTGCATGGCGGGTACTTCTGTCTCTGTCGCTATGGACAGAGATGCTACGTCCAAGACCTGCAGGATGTCTGGGCCTGGAGAACCTTGAGGGTCGTCTAGTCTGTCTCCCCGACTGTTCAGATGAGGGGACCGAGGCCCAGAGGGGCTGTGTGGCTCATTCAGAGTTGCACAGCTTGACATCCAGAAATCAGAATCCAGGATTCCTGACTCCCAGCTCAGTGTTCTCGCCTGGCCTGGCTAAACAGCAGGGTCCTGACCTGTGCTGTGGGGCTGGCAGTACTCTCTCTCAGGGCCGTGAAGATGGGATGAGGAGCTATATGCACAGGGCCTGGTGCGAGCAGGTACAATTGGGGGCAGACCCCACTACCTTCTGCCATGCCAGGATACCCTCCTCCAGGTTCCTCTCCTGAAGGCCGGACGCCGCCCCCACTGCCCACAGGCCCCTCCCCATGCACCAGTCCCTCCTGGGATGCCAAAGAACCAAGGGGAGCTGGGAAATGTTGCCTTCAGGTTGGGCCATGGGGCACCCCAGCTGCAGCCCTCGGACTCCAGTGCCTCCCATGTCATCCATACCAGGAAGCTCCGGATGTCTGGAGGTCCCCTTCTCAGCTCCTGAAGGCTGCGTCCCCCGCCCCCACGCAGGACTGCAGGCCACCTGTCCTTGGATCTCTCCCTCCCCACCCACTGAGCTGCTCCAGGACTTGTCAAATCCCCCACCCAGGTCCCATAAGCAGCAGCAGGGGAAGCTGGACCAAGCCCTGGAAGGTCTGGGGATGTGGCTTAAAGTGGCCCCCTGCAAATGCAAGGCCTCTGGAAGCCCTACATTTATCCTGGGAAAGGGCATCCGGCTCCAGGTCCCCCAGCTGCCCTCTTCCTGTCTTTGGTGCTCCAGGAAGCCGGGCATGTGTACGGCCTTGAGCCCAGCTGTGGGCTCCTGGAGCAGGGGCATCCCAGTTGAGGGAGTCCTGCTTTCTCCCTGTGCCCATTCCCTACGAGGTAGCCGGGGGTGGGCTCATCCCCAGCAGCACCCTCTCGCTGGCACACGAGCTCCTTCAGCTCGAGGAGCTGGCTGCTCACACACCCACACTCACGCACAGCTAAGTCCCTGTGGCCTCGGCTTGTGGAGACGTCTGCCCCGTGGCCTGAACATCCTTCCTCTCCCAGATGCTCAAGGCCTGGCCTGGGGTGCTTCCTGGAAATGCCACAGACTCCCTCTGCACTCACTGGTCACACATTTCCCTCCTACTGGATTTTTAAATAAATGTTTCCAACAGTTTGACCCTTAAAACCTGGAAATCGGCTGGGCATGGAAGCACATGCCTATAATCCCAGCACTTTGGGAGGCCGAGGTTGGAGGATCACTTGAGTCCAGGAGTCCGAGACCAGCCTGGGCAACATAGTGAGACCCCCATCTCTACAGAAAGTTTCAAAAAGCTGGGAGTGGTGGCCCGTGCCTGTAGTCCCACCTACTGTGGAGGCTGAGGTGAGAGGATACCTTGAGCCAGGGAGGTGGAGGCTACAGTGAGCCATGATCCTACCACTGCACTTCAGCCTAGGTGACATAGCAAGACCCTGTGTCAAAAAAAAAGTACCCCCACATTGGTTTGTTATGGGTTGAACTGTTTCCCCCAGAAATACAGCTCCAAGTCCTAACCATGGTGCCTGTGAATTTGACTGTATTTGGAAACAGGGTCTTTGCAGATGTGTTGTCTTTATAAGAAAAGGAGAGGCCAGGTGTGGTGGCTCACACCTGTAATCCCAGCACTTTGGGAGGTCAAGGCAGTTAGATCACCTGAGGTCAGGAGTTTGAGACCAGCCTGGCCAACATGGTGAAACCCCATCTCTCCTAAAAATACAAAAATTAACTGGGTGTGGTGGCACACACCTGTAATCCCAGCTACTTGGGAGGCTGAGGCAGGAGAATTGCTTGAACCCAGGAGGTGGAGGTTGCGGTGAGCCAAGATCGCACCATTGCACTCCAGCCTGGGTAACAAGAGTGAAACTCCATCTAAAAAAAATTTTAAAAACAAAAAAATTTTAAAAAAGAAGAGACACAGAGGAAGACAGACGGCCCTGTGATGATGGAGTCAGAGGCTGGAGGGACACAGCTGCAAGCTGAGGTGTGTTGGAGTGACAGAGTGAGACCCTGTCTCAAAAACAAAAACGAAACCTGAAAATCCCTTTGTCTCCCAGTTCCTCTAAGAAGGACACTTACATTTCCTGAGACTGACCTGGTCACATGAGGAGTGGGCAGTGGCCTCCCAAGCCTCCATCTTCCCCACCCCACCCCAGCACAGAACAATAGGTTAGGGCCGGGCGCGGTGGCTCACGCCTGTAATCCCAGCACTTTGGGAAGCTGAGGCAGGCAGATTACTTGAGGTCAGGAGTTTGAGACCAGTCTGGCCAACATGGTGAAATCCCATCTCTACTAAAAATACAAAAATTAGCCATGTGTGGTGGCAAGCACCTGTAATCCCAGCTACTCCAGAGGCTGAGGCAGGAGAATCACTTGAACCTGAGAGGTGGAGGTTGCAATGAGCCGAGATTGCACCATTGCACTCCAGCCTGGGCAACAGAGCTAGACTCCGTCTTTAAAAAAAAAAAATTAGAACAACAGGGTAGGATCAGATGGTCTCTGTAGCCCCTTCAGGCTCTCTCTGGTGCCCAAGGGCTGGCTCCAACCCATGAGGACCGGTGGCATCCCTCTGTGGAGGCTACCAACCCTCCCTGCACCAGCCCCCTCCTCCCTGCTGGCCCTGGAACTCGGCCCTGACACACCATTGGTCCCGTGGGCCTAGGATCTGCTTTCACTAGACTTTTCCTCAATGGCGACTTCCCCACTGGAGACTCTGTTGCCCTTCCTCAAACCTCAGGCCAGACTCCTGCCTACTGACCACAGTGGGTTTAAGGTCTGGACTCCAGTGGTGGGCCAAGGTCAGGCTGTCTCCCCAGAAGTTTCTCAGCTACCCTGTAAATGGGGTTGAGACAGGTGCCTGGGGCGGGGTCTCCACACTGGAGGTCAGGAGTCCCTGCCAGGATCCCTTCAGCATTCTCCCATTAGGGGGAGTGGAGGGACTGGCCGAGAGGGGCGGGTGCAGGAGAGGAAGCGCCCCGGTCCCGGCCTTGGAGACATGCAGTCATCTGCATCCATCCCAAGCAAGCACCTGGGCCAGGCGTCCAGCAGCTGGTCGGCAGCAGAAGAGGAGAGGTCTCCGGAGGCCGGCTGCAGCCCAGAGTCCGTGAAGGCGAGTTGTGGGGGGCGGGTATGAGTCTGCGTGCTCGTGTGCCTGTAAGACATTGCCAAAGAAGCCGTCTGTCCCCTGCTGCATTTCTGTGCTTCCCAATTCAGGCCAAGGTGGGGGGCCATCTGCTAAAGTGGGCACAAAAAAAACATTTCACTGTGCAGAAAATTGGCTTCCAAGGAGAGGCTGCGCTCAGCACAGAACCAGCCGAGAGCAGTGCAGGCAGACAAGGCGGGGGCTGCTGCAGAACCCGGGGCAGGGCTGCCCTCCACACACTTCCCTCTGCTCCCAGCTCCCCAGTGGCCTGGCTCCAGCCTGCCAGACCACCCAGCACCTCTGATGCATCAAGCCTCTCCTTGGGGGCTCTTGCATGGGGGCTGCATGTGGGGGCTGCTGCCCCTCTTTCTTTCTTTCTTTCTTTCTTTATTTTTGAGACAGAATCTCACTGTCACCCAGGCCGGAGTGCAGTGGCGTGATCTCGGTTCACTGCAACCTCCGCCTCCCAGGTTCAAGCGATTCTCTTGCCTCAGCCTCCTGAGTAGCTGGGATTAGAGATGGGGTTTCACCATGTTGGTCAGGCTGGTCTCAAAGTCCTGACCTCAGGTGATCCGCCCGCCTCAGCCTCCCAAAGTGCTGGGATTATAGGTGTGGGCCACCGTGCCTGGCCTCCCTCTTTCTTTTAAATGCTCCTCTTCTAATGAGACATAATTCACAAACCATGCAATTCACCTATGGAAAGCGTGCGATTCCATGGCTTTTATAGTACAGTACTAATTTTTTAAAATTGTGGTAAATAGAAATAACACCAAATTTACCATGTTACCCATTTTTAAGTGTACAATTCAGTGGCATTCAGGACATTGACAATGTTGTGCAACCATCACCGCCGTCTATTTCAAAAACTTTTTCATTACTGCAAAGAGAAACTCTGTCCCCATGAAGCAGTAACTAAGTCCCTGTTCCACTCCAAAGCCCAGCCCCTGGGAACCTCTACTTTACTTTCTCTCCTTACAAGTTTGCCTGCTCTGGGCGCCTCACAGCAGTGGAATCCTACAGTCTGCCCTGGTGCCTGGTTTCTTTCACTCGGCATGGTGTTGCCAAGGTCCATCCGTGCTGCAGTGAGCGCCAGTGTTTCATTCCTTCCCACAGCAGAATAAGATTCCTCTGTGTATACAAACCACGTGGTGTCTGTCCATTCCTCTGTTGAGGGACACACGGGTCATGCCCAGCTTTTGCTGTTGTGAATAATGCTACTAAGAACATGTGTACCAATGTCTGTTGGTGTCCTTGCTTTTGAGTATATACTCTGAAGTGGAATTGCTGGGTCATATGAAAATTCTATGTTTAGCTTTTTGAGGAGCTGCCAAACTGTTTTCCACGGCAGCTGCACTGTTTGCCATTCCCACCAGCAGTGCACAGGAGTCCGATTTCTCCGTATCCTTACCAACACTTGTGATTCTCTGGTTTTTAGACAGTAGTCGTCCTAATGGGTGTGAACTGGTACTTCATTGTGGTGTGTTTTTTTGTTTGTTTGTTTGTTTTTGGGATGGAGTCTCACTCTGTCACCCAGGCTGGAGTGCAGTGGTGTGATCCCAGCTCACTGCAACCTCCGCCTCCTGGGTTCAAGCGATTCTCCTGCCTCAGCCTCCCGATTAGCTGCGATTACAGGCACCTGCCACGACACCTGGCTAATTTTTGTATTTTTAGTACAGACGGGGTTTCACCATGTTGGCCAGGCTGGTCTCAAACTCCTGACCTCAGGTGATCCACCCACCTCGGCCTCCCAGGGTGCTGGGATTACAGGCGTGAGCCACCGCGCCCGGCCTTTCATTGTGGTCTTGATGTGCATTTTCCTGGTGGTGAGTGATGGTGAGAATTTTTCATGTGCTCATTGGCCATTTGTGTGTCTCCTCATGAGAAATGTCTGTTCACATCCTTGGCCTTTTGGATCAGGTTTGTAGTTAGTGAATTTGTAGAAGCCCTTTATATAGTCTGGATATTAATCCCTGATCTGGTAGATAATTTGCAAGTATTTTCTCCCACCCTATGGGTTGTCTTTTCACTTTATTGATAGTGTCCTTAATGCACAGAAGGCTTTCATTGGGATGAGGTCTGATCTATATTCCTTTTATTTCCTGTGCTTTTGATGTTTGAAATCATTTGCTTCACTAAATCCTGCTCATCCCTGACCCTCACCCCCTAGTATAAACTAGTCCTCCTGGCCATTCTGTCCCGTCGCACCTGACCTTCCCTTCCAGGGCGAGCCACGCTCTCTGGGTCTGTACAGCCCCATCTCTCCACTCGGGATATGCACCCTGCAGGCAGAGGCCTTGTCTGTTTTGTTCCTCATAGAAATCCCTTCTGGCTTGAACATTCTTGGCTCTGGGCTTTGCTCTTCAGAATTTTCGTTCTCTAAGAATCACAGAATGTTAGCACAGATGTAGAAAGAAGAAAAAAACAGAAGTGCTCTTTGCGATAAGAACGCACTGCTTCACAGCCGAGGGAATCAGCATGACTCCTACACCCCAGGGGTGTTTTTGGATCTTCTGGATCTGAGAGGTGATCTCTACCCTCTCCCTTGCCTTCAGGGGTCCAGGCCGGAGGAGAAGGTGAAGGGCAGAGAGCGCTGGACTGCTTGGACAAAAAGTGAGAGGGACTGTGGTTTTCTCAGACATCCTGGGAGAGAGGAGGTGAGAGCCCATGGAACCAGGAGTTAGGGGAAGAAAAGAGGTGATGGGGTCAAGAAGGGCAGAGAGACACAGCTGAGGTCACTGCTGAGGTCACAGCTGAGGTCACAGGGAGGCACCCAGCTGCCAAGAGGTGCCCCAGGTTGTCACCTGTAAAGTGCTGTCCCCATTACTCCAAACATCAGTAAATGCCTGCTGCCCAGACGGCCCGTGAGAACGATGCTTCACAGGAATGAAGGAGCTAGGTTGTGTCCAGCTCAGACCACCCACTGAGCCCCCCTTGGAAGTTGGAAGCGCACTGGGAGCCAGCAGGGGAACGGGGATCCTCCCTGACCCTGGGCTTCCACCACATGGGGGTGGGAGCTGCGTTGGGTGGAATATGTCACCCCAAATCCATGCCCACCCAGAACCTGTGACTAGGGCTTTATTTGGAAATAGGGTCTTTGCAACTGTAATCAAGTTAAGATGAGGTCAGGCTGGATTGGGTTGGGCCCTAAGTCCAGTGACTGGGGCCCTGGTAAGAAGAGGAGAGGACACAGCTGCACACTTGGGAAGGAGGCCGCGGGACGACAGAGGCAGAAGTTGCAGCGATGTCTCTGAACCAAGGGACACCAAGGATTGCCAGCAGCCACCAGAAGCAAAATGGGGTGCGTGAAACGGACTCTCCCTCCAAGCCTCCAGAGGGAACCAGCTCTGCTGACCGCTTGACTGTGGACTTCTGCCTTCTAGAACTGCCAGAGGATGAGTTTTGAGGTGCCTAGTTGGTGATATTTGTTTTGGCAGCCCAGGACAGTGGAGCGTCCTTAGGCTGGGGGACTGGGGAGTACTAGGCGGCTGTCTGGGCTGGCTGTGGGGTCTCTGTCTCCAGCTGGGGGCTGATCCTGTTGCAAGAAGGGGCCAGACCCACTTCAGGTGGGGCAGAGGCTGGGGTCAGAGCTCTCCAGGGCTCCGGGGTGTCCAGGCTGCTGGCCCTTCGGCACCTGGCGGTAGAAAGGGGAGGCCTAGAGGCTGTCTGGTCCAAGCCACATGCGCATTCTGCACCCACCAGCAGCCAGCTTTGGTCTTGGAGCAGAACCAACGGTCCACAGTGGGGTCACCAACACCAAAGAACATCTGAGGATCCATGTGGGAACCACACTGCCCCAGGAATAAACGCACCAGCGTGTCACCCAGACTCTCCCTGTTGTGGGAATTCGGTCTTAGATGGGCAGAGGGACCAGAAGACCCTAGGGTTTCAGCAGGTGGAAAGGAAGGTGGCAGTAAGAACCACCAAGGGGACAGCGTGGGGATGGAGAGAGAGTGGCAAGGCCACAGGGCCGGAGTCAGCCACATGGGTTCCTGAGGCGGAGGCTCCAGGCAGGGGCCCGGTGACCACGAAGGGCCCGAAGGAGGAAACTGTTCGGCCACACAGGAAACCAGCTTGTCAGGAAGAGTGTGGATAAGAAGGGCAGTGGCAGGTGAGTCAGAGGCAGCTGGGGGTCAGGTGACACCCAGGTCTTGAAAAAGAGAAGAGCCACCCACCCTGGCGTCACTAGTCACTAACCTGGAGACAATTTCATGGCTAAGCAATGTCACTGAACACCAACACCAGACAAGACCACTGTGTGCCCGAGATGGGGCAAGATACACAGGATCGTGTCAGAGCATAGGCAGAACATGAGCATCGGCCAGACCTCAAGGGTCACCAAACCACCCCGTCCTGGCTAATTTGAATGACCGCTGCTGCTTGATCAATTTCAGCTTCAGCTGCATTTTGTTCTTCCTGCCTTCTAGATAAAAGTTATCAAGATACCCAGCTGTGGAGTCAGCCCTGCTGCCTTGAGCCTCTCCCAACTCCTCCTCCCACCATGCTCTCCCAACACGAGGAGACTTGCGGGTCCTTCCTAACATCCTCTCACAGCAACCAGTCAACAGACGTGGCTTGATTCCACTGCAGCGCGTTCCTGGGGTCTTTGGTTGGATGGTAATGGACGCTTTGGTTTTATTCTGAATGATAACGAAAGCCACTGAGTGGCTGCGAGCAGAGGAGAAATGGAAGTGATTTTGGAGACACTATCTGGGGGAGTAGCCAGGAGGCTCTGTCTGGGGGCGGAGGTGAAGGCAGCTGGGGAAGATCCTCTGTGGCTACTCGGGGTGGGGCGGGCAGGAGGAGAACATGCAGATGGCCTCTATGTGCCAGAAATGCTTTCCAGGAGCTTCTGACAGGAGAGGGCAGCTGCAGAGAGCTGGACGGGGGACAAGGCTGTTGCTCCACCAGCTCCAGGCAGCCTGGCGAGGCTGAGCACCCAGCCGAGGAGCAGAGAGGTGCCCACTGCCACCGCCACCCTAACACCCTCTGAGCAGAGGAGCCGGCACGCTCAGGATATCCTTTAAGACAAGAGTTGAAGGGAAAGACAGAATCAACCCGGCTCTGCAGGCGCCAAGGAGCCAGCACACATGGAGGCTGTGCAGTCCATTCCCCGGATGTCTGATGTGGGCGGCAGCACAACACGTTGCTTGGAGGGGCAGTGAGGTCATTCCCACAATTCTGAAGAAGGGTCAGTGGACTGTGTGCTCAGCAGGGAGGGCTGATGGGCCAGACTTGTGGATCACTGACAGCCGGGTCGGAGGGGGGGCTCACCGGGAGGGGTGTCCCCCACCACCCACTCCAGTTCACACTGCTTCTGACTTGTGCCCAGGAGAGCAAGCTAGCCTTCCAGGGGGCCAGAGTAACACTGGGCATCCTCTCGCTGCCTGCTAGGGTGAGACATATGGGACACGTGTGTAGGTGTCTGTCCTCCTTTGATTACTAGTGCTGGGTGGGGGGGGGGGTCCCCAGAGGTCCCCAGGGAGTGCAGAGGCAAAGGCTTAGCATCTGCCCTTGCTGCCTCTCTCCTGGACCAGACTGCTTCCCCTCCTTCTCCCAGGACCTGGCCGTACCTGGAGGGTGGAGCCCTCCGTTGAGCCTGCTTGCTTGAACTTCCCTTCCTCCCCTGCACTAGCAGGCCCCTCAGGCCTCATGGGGACACTCTTCCCCAACCCCCTACCTCACCCCCTCACCCCTCACCTAGAAGGAGGTCAGAAGAATTTGGTGCCATGGAAAGGAACATGGGGCATGGAGCACTTGAGGACACTCCCGGGACCCCCTCTGCAGGGGAAGGTGGAGCTCTGGGGCCAGAGGCTATGAGAGCACCAGCCAGCTCAGTGCACATTTGTCTGAGTCCGGAGTCCCAGTGCTGCTGTGAATGCGCTGAAGGGGTGAGGCAGGGATGGGGTGTTAGGGAGGAAAGAGAACTCTTTGTGAGTCACATTTCAGACGCCTCCATTCCCATTCATACATTAGGGTCTGTGGGGGACTGGGGCACATCAATATATTGTTAGAGAAAAAATGTATATGCAATATAAATGCATTAAGAAAAAAAAACACCCGAAGAAACGATTCTGACATGTTAATAGTGGTTCTATGTGGCAGTGGGATCGAGGATTTTTATACCGTACTTTCATATGTTTTCCAAATTTTCTACACCAAGCACGTGTTAGTTACGTAATTTAAAACTTATTTATTTTTAAACCAAATTCTCCAGCCAACTGTGCTTTTCCCCAGTTGCAGTAACTTTCCTTTCAGTCAGGTTTCTGGGTGAATCCAAAGAACAAGGCGGCCTCTCAAGCCCACATCATGTCACGTTCATATTTTCATTCTTCCTTCGTTGGGCCGGCTCTGCGGAGGCCGAGCGCTGGGGCTGGGGCGAGAACGGTGTCCCTGTCGTCAGGGAGTTTCCAGCTAGTGGCCTTCTCCCGCTTCTCAACCCATCCCCTCCCCTGTCCGCCGAGGTCGGGCTCTGACGGGAGCGGGCCGCCCTCCGTCTGATAGGTGCGGTCTGGGGAACTTGAGCTGCCCAGTCTCCCTCCTTCTTTCCCCTGCTGCAGACCCCAACTCTGAGCTTGGGGGACAGGGAGGCCGAAAGGGCCCTGTTAAACGCTGGGTGCTGGGAAGCCGCCCCCTCCAGGGAGCCCTCAGGACCTCAGGCCAGGGCTGGAAGCGAGAGGAGGCCGGAGCCCAGGGAAAACGGGCGACCGGGGGCGGCGCGCGTGTCAGTAAGGAGCCAGGCGGCGGGGACGGAAGCTCCGGGAGGGCGGCGGGCCGGGGCGGGTGTCAGAAGGCTCCGATTGGGCCTTCTGCGGCCCTGCTTCCCCCGCCCCCGAACCCCCCAAAAGCTGCGGGCAGCGGCAGGGCGCCTGCGACACAGGGGCGCGCCGCGCGGGACCTGAGGAAAAGCTACGGCCAAGCCCCGAGCACAGGCGCGCCGCCGCGCTGGCTCCGGGAACGCGGACGCACGGCGGGGCTGCCACAGCAACGCAGACAGGAGCGCGGCGACTGGCGGAACCGCGGAGAGGCGGGACTCAGGAGGCGTCTCGCGAGAGTTAGGCTTCGCGGGCTTCCGGCCGGTGCCGGCCGCGGGGGCCGACGGGGTTAGGCTTCCGGCGTGGGTTGTGTGGCCTCTCCCAGCTCCACGCGTTTCTGGGCGCCGGGCACTAGGCGAGCCGGCCGGGCTGGCGCGAGGCCGCAGGCGGGAAGAGTCCCCGGGGTCGGCCCCGAAGCGGCTCTGGAGGCAGTAGCCGGGGACGCCGAGGTCAGGGAGGAGGCGGATCCGAGCGCGGTCCCGCAGGGCCCTGTCCGTTCTTCCGCCTCGGCCGGTCCCGTCAGGCCGCCTTTAAATGCCCGGCGCCTCGCACCTGCTAACAAAACGAGCTCCTGCTGTTCCCCAGCTCCGTAAATGGTGCCCCTGGCCCTCCCCAGTTCTCAGGCAGAGCCTTGGCGGCCTCCCTGACCCCTAACACCCCGCATCCAGCCCGGCAGTACATCCTGTTGGCTGTGCCTTCGAAATTTCCCCAGACCTGACCTCTTCTCCCACCTCTGCCACCACCCTGCTCCGAGCCGTCTTTTCCCGCCGAGATGACTGTAGTAGCGTCTCAGCTGGGTCTCCCCGCTTCCACCTTCCCCTCCTGAGTCTCCTCAACACAGGAGCCAGAGCGATCTCGGAAAGTACAGGAGGTCATGCCCCAGTGTGGTTCCCCTTTCCTGGGTTTAAGTCAAGGTCCTCACCGTGCCTGCCGGCCTCCCGGGTCTCTGCGCGGTGGACTCTGGACCTCCCTGCCCCGTCCTGCCTCAGGGCCTTTGCACCTGCTGTTACCGCGGCCTGGAACGCTCCTCCCCTGAAACCCTGTGACTCCCACTTAGTGAGGCGACCACCTGTTGAAAACCGTGCCCCCTTCCTATACAGATGCTCCTGTCATATGGGGTTAGATTCCCCATCAACCCATCATAGGTTAAAGCATTGTAAGGCAATTTACGGTAGGTTTATCCGGATGTAACCCCATCTGTAAGCGGAGGAGTATACTGAATGTGTATGGCGTTTGTACCATGGCAAAGCCAAAATGTAAGTCAAACTCGAAGTCCAGGACGGTCTGTGGCCTGTACTCCCTTGCTTTCCCTCCCCGGCTCTTAGCGCCATCCAGCATCGTTGATAATGTAATTTGATGTGTATTGTCTGAAAGCACCAAGACGGCAGAGTTTCTCTCTTATCCAGATCACAGTGTGTGCTCAGTAAACACTAGACTGAGGGGGTGTATGAGAGGTCTTTTTTTCCTCTCTCCTTCCTCAGGAATGGGTGAAGATGAAGTCCTGTAAGGCAGGAGCTGGATCAAAGAAATATCCCGGGTCTTGTCTGTGTGCAGACTGTTGTTTGAGGACTCTGCTCCAGTTCTAGCAGCGATCGGTGGCTCCCTTGGGTGACTCTCCAGAAGGAAGGGTGCCAGCATGGACTGGTGTCTGCTTGCCAGATGCCCTGAACAGCTCATTCCTCAGGAGGCCAGGGGCGCCTCAGGAAGTGCTGTCAAATGCAATCACTCTCAGAACCCTCTGGGCTGAAAGATGTCATTGATTTATGCTGGCAGCCCCGCGCAGCACTCTGCTAGGTGTTGAATTGTCTGGAGAACACCTGGTATCACCCTCAAGGCCCCTTAGTCTGGTAGGAAGGAATGATGAGGAAGAGGCTGTGTGGAAGTCACAGAGAAGGAGGAGGGTGGGATCAGTTTCCAGGGTGGGGTCTCTGGAAGTCCTCTCAGGGGTTCTCAGGGGGGCATTTCTGCCTAGAGCAGCAGGTGTAAGGCGTGAGCCATGGACGAAGGGAAGGAGCCAGCCATCATTGATCGCCTCCTCTGTGCTGGATGTGGCTCTAGATGTCAAGCTCACATTTACACATTAGCCTTCCTTTACAGAGGAGGAAACAGGCTCAGAAAGCCCCTGACCCCGGTTACACCACTACTAAATGCAGGATTCAGATCTTCAGTTGAGCTCTTTGTGGCCGTGAAGCCTGTCCTCTTCCCAGGGCTCGATGCCACTTCCCAGGCTGGAAGCCAGACAAGCATCCGGGGCTGCCCGGAATTGCATGCAAATGTCCGGACAGCCGGCTTCCTCGTGGGCCCCGGCACTGGCAGAGGAACTCTTTGCCGGGCATGTGGCTTGGGCAGGCCAGGGCAGCCATCTGCCAGCCAGCCATGTGGGGAGGAGGCTGTAGGCCACCCCACAGCCAGATGCTTCTGGGCCGGTCCTGGGCTCCCAAAGGTAGTTCCTTCAGGAGATGGAGTCACCTGGCTCCTCTCTTCCCTTCCACCCAGTTCCAAAGTCAGGGGTTCTGGGGCTGTGTCAGCAAGGGGCCATTCTGGCACTGTCCTTCTGGCACAGAGCATTGTGGCCAGGGATGGACATCTGTTCTGCATTGACCCCCATGGCCAGGACATCTGTGGCCCCACGGAACTCAGTGACAAGGAGAGTCGGCAGCAGGGAAAGGCCACGCTCTGTAGTGTGTCTGCCAGGTGGCAGAGGATCCCTGACACAGCCCAGCTGGCATCTGCCCTTGCCACTGAGGCTTCCTGAGGGCAGTCCCCAAGGGTCCTGCCATGCCAGGGCTCCCCTTCTGCCAGGCAGTGGCTGCTTAAGCTGAGGGAGGGAGAAGCTGGGAGTTGGCCATGACTGATGGTACCAGGCCAGTGGGATCTGGAGCCCACAGATGGTGGAGGATGGGGCACAGCCCCCACCCCTTACCTGTGACGTGCCCTGCCGGCGGGCAGAGGCATCCGGTCTGCTCTGTAGAAGTTGGAGGTACAGACTGGCAGAGGGAGAAGCGGAAGAGATAGCATCATTTTACAGAAGGGAAAGCTGAGGCCCTGAGCCAGGGGGATATGCATGGATGCCCCGTGGGCTTTCTCGCGTTTACTCCTCCGCACAGGGCCCTGTTTTTCAATGGAGGAATTAGGGCTTGAAGGAAATGAAGTGAGGTTTCCAGGGTCCCCTGGCTAAGCCAGTTATTTGGCCCTGACCGGTGCAAATCTGAGAGGGGGACTAAGCAGGCCCTCAGGCCAGGGTCCGAGCTTGCTCACTCAGCCACAGCAGGGAAGAGTCAGCCTGAGGCAGCAGGCCCAGGATCGAGGGTGACCCTCCTCCCAGAAGCAAGATGTGGTGAGGTCCCAGATGGGCTGGGAAGGTGGCATGAGGGCTTGCTTCAAGGGAGCCTGCTGGCTGGCCTCCAGTATCCACCTGGAAACAGCCCCCCAGGTGTGCCCCTCGAGCTGCTAACCCCAATCTGGCCACCCCCCAACTCGCTCCTCAGCACTCCAGTGGTCAGGGTGTCCCCTTCCCTGGTCCCTCCTTGCCCCTCCTCTTAGCACCAGCAACCGGGGCCTCCAGCAGGCCAGAGATCTTCCCACAGCCTCCTGGGCTTCCTGCCCAAGGCAGGGGCTGATCTCTCAAGGGTGGGTGGGACTTCCGGCTGTGCCATCAGCAGTTCCTGGCTGTATCAGTTAGCTTTGGCTGTGTAACAAATCACCCCAAAGCCTAGAGGCTTCACACAACTACCATCTCTTATCCCTCACAGATCCCTGGGTTGCCTGACCAATTCTGGTGTGAGCTTCCCTGCTCAGGGGACAGCTCCCTGAGCCCAGAGCCCTGACTGCAGAGCTGCCGCCTGCAGCCCTGCATGCTGTTTCTCACCACACTGTGTCCCCGCCCTTCCAGCCCGTGGAGTCACACTTCGCCACCCAGCCCCCGAGGACACACTCATGGAACCCCCAGTCAGGCGTCCAGACTAAGCCACCAGGGTGGCTCCTCTCAGCCCCACTCCTGACCAAAGCTTCCTGCCTATCGAGCGTGGGGACCAACTGCAGGCACCTCCGTCTTCAATGCCACTCCGGAGGCAGAGGGGAGCCTCCACCTTCCCTGGCATTGTCACCATCAACCTTAACAATAGTTTGACTTGGTTAAGCTCCTCCAAGGGCCGGGGAGGTCGGGCTGGGGCCAGAAGGAGCAGCCTGTACCAGGTAACTGTGACAGCAGACAGCCAATGGGCAGAAGAGAGGTGTCAACGTCCCCCACTGTCGGGACCAGAGAAGGCGCCATGGGATGAGGGAGGGTCTGATCCCAAGGTAGGAGGAAGTATCCTGGGTCCCGGGGTCCCTCGAGCAATCTGCATTGTAAGGGAGGGTCCCTCTGGGGCCAGGAGATACATCAGGAAGTGGCGGAAAGACTGCATTTGGGGGCCAGATCTGGAGGGCCCTGGAAGCCAGGCTGAGTCGTCTGCCTTTGCGAGTGATGGGGAAGCGTTGACGGGCTTTGAGCCCGAGCCTGCCAGGAGCACAACGGAGCTTCAGGAAGCAGCTTTCCAGTAAGTGCCGGGAGCCTTCTTGGAAGCAGGCAGAGGATGAATTATAAATAAACAAACCAGAGCCCTGCAGCGGCGTGGGCCGGGTGGGAAGAGGGGAGAGACCGGAGGCAGGGCCTCACTTAGGTGCTAAGCAGCCCCTGGCCTGGCCCCCGCCAGCCCTCCCACCCTGCCTTGCACCCTGGCCTCGGGGACTCAGCGGCCTTCCTGCTCAGGGCATCGGCGGGGACCTCAGGCTTCTGGGGCCAACCTTGGCCAGGCTGCAGAGGGGAGGCCTAGTGTAGACCCCCACTGTGGGACTGGGAGGCCCCCCTGCCTCTCACAACTCCAAGGGTACAGGCCCAAGTCTCTCTCACACCAAAACAGGCCCCGTGGCCACTCATCCGTGTGGGAGGTGTCTCACCAAATGTTTGAAGGGGAAAAAAAATCCCATTTTCTAAGGTGTTTTTTTCCTTTCTATTTTTTGATTATTTTTCTAGATGACTTCATTTCTAAGAAGGGGGTAGTGGAGAGAAGGAGGACAGGGGGAGGGAGGACTTGGGCCCTGAGGAGGCCGCCGGGGACCAGAGCAGCGTTGGGGGAGGAGAGCGAGAGCCAGGCCCAGGGAAAGCCCAGGCCTCTTCAACCTGGGGAATGGGGGGCTTCTGTGACCCGAGCCCAGGTGTGTCCCGAACCCAGGTGCCTCGAGTGCCGGCTATGAACACATCTCCCTCCTGATCTCCCACGGGCCTGCTGGCCGCCTGTACTCCCACGAGGCCCTGTGGGGGAGGTCGGCTCTCCTCCAGCAGGAGGGGAAGGGTCTTCAGGCCTTCACCCCAGATCTCTGGCATGTGACGCGCCCACCCCCCACCTGTCCCAGGGACAGAGCTGAGAGCACTTCCCCATCCCACACACCACTTGGAACCGGCAGAACCCACTCTGGCCAGCTTAATGGAACCCAATACAAGATATTAGGAGGCTCATAGAACCTTCCGGAGAGCCTCGGCGGCCACACAGCCAAGAACAAGGGCCCAACCGTGCAGCCTCCCCCACCGGGCATGGACCCAGCAGCCCGCACCTGCTGTTCTGAAAGCCAGGGCCCCGCTGCCGTCCCCGTTGGTCAAGGGATTCTGGAGGCATCGGCTTCCTGGCATTGCTCACCTCTGAGGCTGAGGCTGAGGCTGGCAGGTGCGAGTGGAGCTGGCTCCTATGCCTGGGCTCGGGCTGCAAGGGAGGCAGGCCCAGGCACAGGATGGTGCTCAGAAGGTGGTGGCCACCCCAGCACTCCCTGAGCCCTTGAAAGACTTTTCCAACCCCAATACCCAGCAGTCTGCTGGGCTGGAGAGACGGGAAGGGAGGCTGTCTCCCTCTCTGGGGGCTGCCATTAACAAATGAGCATCAACTTGATGGCTGAAATCAACCGACATTTATTCTCTAACAGGTTTGGAGACCAGAATTCCAAAATCCTTCTGGTCCTCTGCGGGGACCCTGTCCCAGGCCGCTTTCCCAGCTTCCGTGGGTGCTGGGGACCTCGGCACTCCTTGGCCTGTGGATGCATCTCTCCCACTGTCCCACCTCTACCTTCCCCTGTGGGTGTCTGGGTCTCAAATCTCCCTCTGCCTTTCTCTTTCGAGGACACCTGTCATTGGATTTCAGGTTAACCCTTCATGCAGGATGATTTTATCTCGAAATCTTTAACTTTATTCCATCTGCAAAGACTAATTCCAAAAAAGGTCACATTCTGAGGTTGTGGGTGGACACCTGGGACCACCATTCGGGGCACTACCATGGGCATGATAAATGGGCACAGGACGGGCAGCCGGGGAGGGAGGAGGAGAAGAGGGAAGGACGTGGGTGTCGGCTGGGACCGCTGGGGCAGGAGGAGCCAACTGCCTTGGGACTGTCGTCCTGGACGTGGGATTGTCTGTCCTCTTACGCCCAGACCTGCTTGCCACTGCCAGATGGTGTTTCCCACCACCCTTGGCCTCCTCACTGTTGCCTGGCATGTCCCAGTTCTACATGCCATGAGCGCCCCACCTGCCCCCCAACAGCTTCCAGACCCCCTCCAAGCCTCAGAGCCCTGGGTTCTCCTGAGTCCCAGAGGCAAGAGAAGCTGCCCCATTCCTCTCACCCAAGCCAGCCTCTTTCTCGGGTCACTGAAAGGACAGTAAGCCCCGCCATCCCCTCGTCTCCTGACTCCCCATAGCCCAAAGCTCTTTCTCCTCCCCAAATCCCGCCCTGTGGAGTTTAAGCCATTTCTTCTGATGAGGCTCCCAGAGACAGAGACCTGTCAAGATGCACAGGGCCATGAGTCAGACTGGGGCATGAAAATGTCTGCACACATTCTGCACACAGTCTCGCCTTTGAGGGAGACCTCAGAACTGCCTTTGAGGGTGACCTCAGAACTGCCTTTGAGGGAGACCCAAATCCCATTTCAGAGATGAGGAGAGAGGTTTAATACCCTGCTCCTGAGTTCACACAGACACGCCTGGACTTGAACCTGAAATGACCAACTCCAGCTGTGAGTGACTCTTTTCTCTGATTGCACCACAGGGACTCAGTCCCGTGAGGAATGCTATCCCTGCTGAAATCCTTCTGGGGACAGGGAACTCACCACCTCACAAAACACAGGCTAAGGCCAGGCACGGTGGCTCATGCCTGTAATCCCAACACTTTGGGAGGCCAAGGTGGGAGGACTGTTTGAGGCCAGGAGTTTGAGACCAGCCTGAGCAACATCTCAAGATGCTGTCTCTACTATATATGTGTGTGTGTGTATACACACACACACTAGCTGGGTGTGCTGGCACACACCTGTAGTTACAGCTACTTGGGAGGCTGAGGCAGGAGGATTGCTTGAGTCCAGGAGGTCGAGGCTGCCACGAGGCGAAATTGCACCACTGCACTCCACCCTGGGTGACAGAGTGAGACCCCATCTCAAAAAAAAAAAAAATAATAAAAATAAAACAAAACAAACCAACCAAAAAAACAAAAAAAACTGTGGGCTCTACCAATAGTCCCAAATGCCAAGAAAGCTTCCTTCATGGAGGGAAAGCCTTTTTCTCTCCGTGGAACTCAGCCCACTGGCCTTGGCAATGGGCAGTGCTCCTGGCCTGCAAGTCTTCTCCAAGACACATCCTCTGTTTCTTAGCCCACCCGTGAAAAGTAGGGCTCTGGGCCCCTCCCCCCAGGAGGGTTTCTGGCCCAATCTGCAACGTCAAGTACGCGCCGTGTCCTTGGGTTGTGAGGCAGCTGGGGAGGGTGACTTTGGACAGATGTCCTTGGGCTGTGAGGCAGCTGGGGAGGGTGACTTTGGACAGATGTCCTTGGGCTGTGAGGCAGCTGGGGAGGGTGACTTTGGACAGGTGTCCCCGGCACTGTGCCCCAGTCAGGTGCAACTAAGGGATGGGCTGTGCCTACTTTGAAGGTAACAGAGTCTGCCCAGGGCCACAGTCCAAGGGCGAGGCCCTTTTGGGGTGCCTGTCATGGCATCTGGTCATCAGCCACCTTGGCCCCTGCAAGCTGGGGCCACCCATGGGCACTCCTGAGCAAGGCCTGGGAGGGACCTGCCAGTGTCCTGGGAGCCACTCTGCCAAGGCTCAGTGGCGATGTCATACTTTGGAAAAGAAAAAGAAAAAAAAAAAGGCAACCACCAACAAACTAAGAGGCTGAGTCACAGCCAGGCGGAGGCATCTGTTGAATCCGAGAGAGCCATGGTGGCGATGGGGGCCCCCTTAGGCTTGGTGGGGGAGGGGGCACAGAGGGGCCACCTGCCCCATTTCCCTGCACTTTTGGAGGCACCAGGCAGCCTCTCCTGGAGGACACGTGCCCTTCCAGTGGGGTGCTCTGGTCAGAAAGCCCAAGGGGTCAAGCAGACTTCAGGCTCAAATTCCAGCTCAGCCATTCGTTGGCCCCTGGCCGGGGCCAGCTGCCCCAGCTTGCTCAGCCTCAGTCTCCTTTTCTGTCTAGTGGGCATAAGGGTGGCTCTTAGCATTCTTGTGCCAATTACAGAAGAGCTGAGTTCTCAGAGCAGCCTCTGGCACAGGACAGGGACTGAGCACAGACAACTTTGCTCTGTTTACTGCCATCATGAAAGAAAAGCCCCCTGAGGCCGGGTGGGCACCCCTCTCCTGGAGCAGGGATGCTGCAGGGTTTGTCCGTGGGGTCGTCTTCTCTGCTCAAGGCCCTCCTGATGCCCCAACAAATCGGCTTCCAAGGCTGTTGGTGGCCTTGGGCTGTCTCCTTGCCAACTCTCCCACACTCCCTCCTTCCTCGGATCCCAGTACTCCTGAGGGGTCTTGGATACAGTGTGATGGGCTTGGGGGGCAGCAGGGGCAGGGCAGGATCTTCTACCCTGGCCAGCATCCTGCCCAGCCTGGCAGGTCCCCTCACCGTGGGGCTCCTGCTGTGGCCAGGCAGGGACTGGGGAAAGCTGGCAAACTCCGAAGTGGCCTCACTTAACACACAGCATGGCCCCAGCCTTTCTGGGAGCCACAGCCTTGGAGCAAGGGGCGGAGGTGTAGCCCACGTGCCCCGGATCAGTCTGGCAGGGTGTGCTGGTGTCCCCTGGCAGGAGGCCCCTGCAGATGGCAGGCATCTGTGTGCGGAGGACGCCTTCATCCTGCCAAGGCACAGGGCTCCGGAGCGGGAAGGCACCCTCTAGACCATCCACACACACTCCTGGGGCCCGAGGCCTGCAGAAGGAAGGGACTTGCCCAGGGCCACCTGGCCAGGGGTGACAGGTCTCCCAGCCCTGATCAGGACCTCTAAGGCTCTGCATCCTCCGAGGCTGAGCCCAGATCCCCTGAGCCCCTGGCCCAGGAACGGGCTGCATGGGCCTCTCCCCAACCCTGGAGCCCATGTGATCCCAGCCCCCCTCCCTCTGATGGCTCCCGGCTCCCCCACCGGCGGGTGCCTGCCTCTCCCGCCCCCGCGCTCCCGGCGGGGAGGGGTTCCTATGGCACCCCTTCCCCCGCACACACTTAGCTCACTGGCAGCCCATCTGCCCCGAGACGGCGGCAGCAGATGCTTGGATGCACAGTGGTGCCTGCAACTTGGTCGGCCCAGTGCCTGTGGCGGGTGTGCACGCTGCCAGCCAAGGTGGGGGCCTGGGCCCTGAAACACCCACCCAGCTGGGGCAGAGGCCCCTCGTCCAAGGCCAGGCTATAGACAGATTAGGACACCCAGGTGCCTGCCAGTGCTGGGGACAGGGTGTCGGCAGAGCTGGAGTCAGAGCCGCCCCTGCAGCCCCTCCCCACCAGCATCCCCAGCCAGCGCTCCTGGGAGGGAACTGATGGATGGGCCACTCTCTAGCGGGCTGCACCCTCGCCTCCCTGACTCCCTGGGGAAGGCCCAAAGCGTGCAGATTCTGCTCCTAGGCCCCAGCCACAAGGAGGAGGCTGATGGGTGCCACGGACACACCCCACAGGGGCTGCCACTGCCCGAAGTGCATGCCAAGGTTTGTGGCAGAGGGTCTGGAGCTTCCCAGCAGCACAGAGGGTTAGACCCTCAGCTGGGGCTCAGGGGACAGGCCCCTTACCCTTAGCCTGCCTGAGCACCTCAGCCTCTGGTACCCCAGGCCCACCCTCCAGGTTCTGCTTAGCGCCCTTCCTCTCTCTCCTGACTTCTCACTCCCCCGAATGGGGGTGGGGGGCAGAGCTGGGTGCTAGGAGGTGGTGGCCATGGCCCCTGGATGCACATGGCCAGTGGGTGGACAGGCCTGGTTTCCATGGCAGCAGCCTCCAGCCCTGGGTCGGGAGAGGAGTGTGCTGAGACCCCCAGAGCCTGGCCTTTGGCCAGCCTCTCCCCACGCCCTCCCCACGCCCTCCCCTGCAGCCCTCCCCACTCCCTCCCCACGCCCCCCCACCCCCCCACGCCCTCCCCTGCCGCAGGAGCAGGGCTTTGTCATGCCTGGGTCCCCAGCTGGGCACAGGAGGGTGAGCCCAGCATGGGGCAGGGGCCTAGGGGGCCATGCACTGGTGGCTGCAGTGCCCCCACTGATATGGGGGTGGTGCCACCTCCAATAAAACAGAAGAGTTTGGCTAAGCCTGGAGCCCTGGGGACTTGGGCTTGACACTGGGGGGAACGTCCTGATTCCGGAAAGAATGAGAGCATCTCTGGGATCTGCTCCCAGGGCTGTTCACAGCCTCCAGCCCAGCGTCCTGGGTAAGAGGTGTGGGGAGGCAAAAGCGGCCTCAAGACAGGAGAGGCACGGCCTGCGGGGCGGAATGAGGGGGCCAGCTCGCCTCCTTAGGACCCCAGTAGCCGAGCCCCCAGGAGCGTCTGAAAGCCGCAGACTCCCAAGGATCGGGCAGCCCCCCTCCTCCCGGCACCCCCGCGGTGTGAGCTGCAGACACACAGGCACACCCGCACACATGCGCACGCCCCCGGGCCGCCTCTGCTCCCCTCGCGACTTGCGTTTGTTTTGCTCCGGCAGGGCTGGAATGGGGACACGCTGCACTCTCGCAATTGGCAGTTTCCTCCAAGCCCCCCGTGGAGGTGCCATATGTCCGCATCATGAATAGGCTTGAGGCTCCGTGCCATGGCCTGGGGGGCTGGGAAGAGGCAGCTGCCAATCACCCCCAAGTAGGCAAGGGGAGGGGGCTACCAGAGGGGCGGGGTGGGGGCACAGGCAAAGGCCAGGGGACAGGGTAGGGCCAGGGCTTCGTCACTGGTTCTCACAAGGGTGGGACACATCGCAGGTGACCCAAGGGCCTTTGCTGAAAACAAAGCAAAACCCAAAAAGTCCTGGGCTTTGACTTTGATAAGTGACCAAAGTCCCCGACCCTGCCACTCGGCCTCGGGCCCGTCCGTGTGCCGGCCGTCAGCCCAAGCCACCTCCCTCCTCCAGGACAGCCCAAGCCACCTCCTCCAGGATGCCTCCCTCCTCCCTGCGCCTCTGCTCCGGCATGTGCACCCTGGGAGCCTTCACCAGTGAGGTGGGTCCAAGGCCTCTCTTGTAGGGAGGAGAAGGAGGAACCAGGTTCAGCCAGCACCAAGTGGGGGCCACAGTGTTAGTTCCCACAACACTCCCAGAACTGGGGGTTATTATCCCCATTTTATAGATAAGAAAACAGAGGCCCGGCGAGGTTTTACTAAACTGTTTCAAGGTCTCCCAGCACAGCGACGGCAGAGCCAGATTCTGCTCAGGTCCGGACAGTGCACAGTCAATGGTCCCTTGCCCAAGCCTGGAGCAGCCCCGTCCCCTGCTGTGCCTGGGCACCCTCTGCCTGGTGGCCACCCACCCTGCCCCTTGTCTCAGGGACCTGGCTTCTCCTCCTCCACCTCCCAGCTCCGTGATGCACTCTGTCCTGCCCCCACCCCCCAACCCCCACTTAGAATGAACTCTTCTCTCCTCCTCCCAGCTCTGTGATGCTGTCACAGAGTCTCTCTGTGTCTCTCTGTCCCCCGCCCCTTAGAATGAACTCTTCTCCCAGCTCTGTGATGCTCTGTCCCCCACCTTAGAATGAACTCTTCTCTCCTCCTCCTGGCTCTGAGACACTCTGTCACCCTCTCTTAAAATGAACTCTTCTCCCAGCTCTGTGATGCTGTCCCCTCCTTACCGCCTTAAAATGAATTCTTCTCTCCTCCCAGCTCTATGATGTTCTGTGCCCCCCACTTTTAGAACAAACTCTTCTCTCCTCCTCCCAGCTCTGTGATGCTTTGTCCCCCCGTTACCCCCTTAGAATGAACTCTTCTCCCAGCTCTGTGATGCTGTCCCCCGCCCACCCCCTTAAAATGAACTCTTCTCTCCTCCCAGCTATGATGCTCTCTCTGTCCCCCCACCACCTTTAGAATGAACTCTTCTTTCCTCCCTGTCCTGAGGATGCTGTTACCCATCTTGCTGACTGCAGAGACCACACAAGACAGGGACACCTGTCTGCAGTCTGCACGTGTGTCCCTCCCTAACCTCAGCCCTCAGTCACCTCTCCCATCCGTGCCTGGTCCAGGTCTGACATGCAGGTGACTGTGGAATGAATGAATGAATGGACAGAGACAGGTACAGGCAAGAGTGGTGCGCCGAGCACGCGAGGCATGACTGCAGAAGCTGCCACCAGTGTAGCCGCAGCCGGTGTCACACCGTCCCTGGGGGGGTGGAGGAACTGCCCTGCTCTGGGCTCCACAGGCCCTTTCTCTCATTCCTGGCCCTGCTGGACGCAGCGACGGTGGGTTGGATGAACTGCCCTGGGTTAATTGGCTCTCTCTTCCTGCCAGCATGATGGATCCTGCTTGACATTTCCCCAGATAGTTAATTGATAACCAAGTAATTTGTCATGGAGACCTCATTATATGCCAACTGGGTCCCCTAAGCCGTTAGCGTCTGTGCCCCAGAAACAAGATTGGCAAGTTAATAATGGAGGCTTAATCACGCTGTTCTCTGCTGGCACCGGAATAGAATTACCTGGAGACAAGATGGGACACTGTTGCTCTCCTTGGGCCTTGGAGATGAAGCTTTATGAGAGATCCTGAAGCCACTGACCCTTCTTGAGAAGGTCACCTGACCTCGGTTTTCTCAACCAGGTGTTCCTTCTCCTGGCAAGAGTGCTGTTCTACTGAGAAGTCCCCCTCTCCACAAGGTGCACTGAGGCTGCTCCAGGCCCTAGCTCTGCACTGGGCACTTGGCCCCCCGACCCCAGGCCACAGTGAGGGGTTCAGGGGAAGGCATGTGACTCAAGCCTGGCCAGCCAACAAGTGTCGGCGTGGGGCCTTCGCTGGGGCCACTGGGGCCGCTGGAACAGCAGGGCTCACTCTGCCAAGGATTGTTATGTGGGTGAGGAAGTGAGGCTGGGCTGATGAGGGAGCAGCCTCCCGGAGAGGGAGGGAGCCAAGGCCAGGCCATGCAGGGCGGCGCTGCCTCCTGGAGTGAACTAACGAGGTCCCAGCTTTGCTTAAGTTGGTTTTTGTCACATGTAACCTGGAGAGTTCTGATTATACACAAGGGAGCTCCACTCAGACACCCACCTGCTGCAACTCCAGGATTCAAGCTGTCTGCCAGGGCTGCGGGGAGGAGCCCCCTGGGGAGGAAGACCACCTGGTACAGAAAGGCAAGGCCTGGGAGAGATGGCCTGGGCTGGGACGAGGGCTGGGGTCGGCAGTCTTGAGGAGGGCCTGGGGTCTGCTCCCCAGGGGGTCTTGGGCAGGAATGGAGGCGAAGCAGGGCGGAAGCTGAAGAGGAGTGAGGCTGGAGGAGAGGCTCCGGCCCCAGCCTTGACTTCAGCACCAAGGACAGCGGCAGCACACTTCCCGTGCAGTGAGGCAGGCCCAGCGCAGCCCCCGACAGTGAGGCGGGCCCAGCGCAGCCCCCTACAGTGAGGCGGGCCCAGCGCAGCCTGGCCTGGATGTTTTTAATTTTAAAAATATCTTTTATTTAAAACTAAATAGTGATGGAGATGGGGTTTCGCTATGTTGTCAAGTTGGTCTCGAACTACTGGGCTCAAGCAATTCTCCCGCCTCGGCCTCCCAAACTGTTGGGATTACAGGCGTGAGCCACTGTGCCCAGATGGGCCGGATGTTTTTAATGAACCAAAAGGAGATTTATACTTCCATGGCAGGGTTTGGGGATAAATAAGTAATGGGTACACAGAATATCAACCCAATCCCCTAAATGAGGCAATTATTAAGTCCAGGAAAAATAAGTGGTTGTACAAGAAAGGAAATGTAATTACAATACATTACTCAGCTGGGAAGAGTGTGTGCTGAGAAATAATAGTGCATACATTGAATTCTGATTCAATCAAAAGGAGAAGCTGGTGGGAGAGTGTGGGGGGGCACGTGTGAGAGAACAAGCTTTCAGCCGCCATCGTGGGAAGGACATGGGTAAATTTCTCAATCTGAAAAGGAGAAAAAAAAAAGCAGCACCAGCAGCAACATGAGCATGGCTATTCGGAAGTAAATACCAAAGAGAATCAGCTACAATCACAGAAAAGGTTGCCTCTGAGAAGGGGGAATCAGGAAAGAGGTGTGGTTTTTCGTCAGAAGCCTTGTAGTACTATTCGATTATTAAAACTGTCAATTTATGATGTTGATTAAAAGCATACATGAAATGTAGGCAGGGAGCGGTGGCTTATGTCTGTAATCCCAGCACTTTGGGAGGCTGAGGCGGGTGGATCATTGAGGTCAGGAGTTCGAGACCAGCCTGGCCAACATGGTGAAACCCCGTCTCTACTAAAAATACAAAAATTGGCTGGGTGTGGTGGCGGGCGCCTGTAATCCCAGCTACTCAGGAGGCTGAGGCAGGAGAATTGCTCGAACCCGGGAGACAGACGTTGCAGTGAGCCAAGATTGCTCCATTGCACTCCAACCTCAGCGATAGAGCGAGACTCCGTCTCAAACAACCAAAAATACATGAATGTAAGTAACTAAAAAACAAAACCAAAAATTCTCAAGCTGCTCCCCGCTCCCAGCTCTCTGTCAGGCCCAGGCAACCCCAGGGTAGGGCCCCGAGGCCTGTCCTGTCTTCCTGGATTCTGCACCTCCTCCCCGGCCCCTCTCGGCCCTCCTGTGCTCCCTCCATGCCCCTCTCTGGGCTGCTCCGGGTCTATCTGTGGATTTGTCCTGGTCCTCATCCCTCCTGCCTTAGCCTGCCTCCCACCTTGCCTGCCCCTTTCTGCACTTTACTCCCTTTTGGGTTCTGCCCATGGCAATCAGAGGGGAAGGGGTGCCTGTCCCTGGGGGAGGAGCCCAGCCCTGTCCACAGGGCCCGTGGCACCCGCAATAGCTGTCAGCTGGCCCCTTTAGCCACACCCCTACTGGCCCCACACCAGCCGCCCATGGTGGTAGGACACAGAGAAGTTGCTCCTGCTTGCCGGGGAGGTGAATTGGGGCTAGCAGGCTGTACTCCATCATCTCCATGACACCTCGCCTAATTACACTGCGTGCTATTCATCTGGATGTCAGCGCTGCAGCATGGCTTTGCCCTTAATTAATAATTTGGTAAAACTCCACTCGGGGCCTGGCCAGGGAAGTTCAGCAGGGACTGCTAAGGCTGGGCTGCTGCCGGGGTTGGGGGGCCAGGCTGGTGAGCACTTCCCCGCCAGCAAGTGTGGGCTCCCCCAAACATTCCCAGGTGGCACCCCTTCACCCTGAGTTCCTGTTTGAAAGACCAGAGCCTGGGGGGAGACAGGGATGGGTGAGGGGTGTCTGCAGCTTGGGCACTGCCCCTGGAGGAGAGGGTGACTCAGGCCTCAGGGCACCCGTCAGATACCCCTTCCTGCCCCAAACACCACAGCTTATTCTAAAAGCATCGGTCCCACTGATAAGAGGCTCAGAGAGGCGAGGTGGCTTACCCAAGCACACACAGCACACAAGTACAGAGGCCTTGGTCTGGAACCCAGGGCCCTGGTTGCCTGTGCACAGCCACTTCCACCAGGACAAGGAGCCCCAGGCCAGGCCCTTCAGGGACTCTTCCGCAGAGGAGGCAGGACACAGGCCCTGGGGTGGGCGTGTACCAGCTACCAGGGTGTGAGGGGCGAGGCTGGCTCTCCTGGAGCTCATGCTGCCCTTGGCCCTGGAGGACGGGGCCCCCATGAGAGGTGCGTGGCTCAGGTCAGATGCTGTGCAAGGGGCCAAGGCCCAGCTCAGACCCAGATTCAAATAGTCCAATGCCTGTGGCCAGAGCAGGGGTGGGGCTTGGGACAGCTAGGACCACCAGAGGGGCCCCTCCCTGGGGCCTGACCTTGGCCAGATCCTAAAGGACCACTCCAGCCCTGGTGTGTCTTCTGATCCTGAGTGCCACAGGAGAGGGGACGCAGGACAGCTGGGGTCTCAGAGGCTCCAAAGGCCAGGCCCACCTGCTTCTTGGAGTCTTTCCCTCCCAGCCTCCAGGCAGGGTGGGGGCCTGGGAAAGGGACACAGAGGCCCGCAAGTGAGCAGGAAAATCTATTTGGATCTGACTTGAATTATTAAGTGGTTCAAGAATATTCTTAGCTCTGGGCAGGCTGTGGTCTGTAGAGACGGACTTTACCACGGCCCTATTTTTAAAGTTCTGTGGGTCGGAGTCAGAGTCGAGACGTCACTGCACTTAGGGCCCCCCTGCACGCCCCTCTGCCTGCCGCCGGGGAGTAGGGTGGGGACAGGGCAGGGGGGCACATGCCAACCCTGCAGACCCCCACCCTGCAGGGGAAGGGCGTGTGACGCAGGGATGGGAAGTTGGGGCTCCCCCACCTACCAGGTGCCCAGGCCCACCCCTGCCCAGCCCCTGGCCCGTGAACCTGCTCCCCCAATTCTAGCCCCCCTTGACCCTCACACCCTGTTTCCCCTGCTTCAATCCCCTGCACTCTACTCCCCCAAACCCGCCCCCCTCCCCAGAGCAGCCTTGGGGAAAGGGGCTGGGCCAGCTCAGGGCTGCCACTGCACATCCCCACGGTGGGCTGGCATCTCTGCAAGATGCTTTTGACTGAAGAAAAAAAATCAAGCTTTTGAAGAATTCAAGTTAGTTTTATTCAAAGGTCTTACTGAGAATCCTAGACCCAGGTCCCAGCCCGGGAGCAGCCTTAGAGAGCTCCTGTTTGACTGCCCGGCTCAGTGTCTCGGCCCACTGCTTGGTTACGGGGGCCGGGGCTCAGGACCTGCACAGTCACATCCATCCAGCTGGCTCCGAAGTTACATTACAGCAGAATCACATCAAGGTTTGGGCATAAGAGCACTTCTGGTTACAGATTACAGAAGCATAATCGCTAACCTTGGCCAACATTTTCTCATGTGCACGAAAAGCCAAGGACCAGGGTCCTTCACCTTTTAAGGAATACAGTGACTCAGGCAACAGACGCGGGGCCGTGTGTTCTTTCCTGTTTTGTTTTCAAAGCGTCTCTCTGGAGAGCTGCAGTGTCACAGAGTAAGGGCCCACAGAAATGAGCACACACTTAGGTTTGCTGCTGACACGCCCTGCCTCTCCTCATGTGGTTCATGTGGCCATCAGCCGGGGCTGAAGACCCCTGGCACACACCTGCACCCCAAACGGACTACAGGTGCCGCTTTCATTTCAACTCTCACCCATTTAGGGTTCGGAGCCCCACACCCACTTAACCCCAAGCCCAGTGGCAAAGCTTCCTGAGAGGCCCGGAACCGCCAGCCATGAGTTCTACACCACCCCCACTGTCCTCCTGAAACCCTGCTCCCCCAAAGACAGGCCTTACTGAGGACTTGGTGGGGTGCTGGTCAGGAACTGCCCGGTCTTTGGGGAGGGGGTGCTGGCTGTCCGCCTGGGGAGAGCCTGGGAAAGGCATGCAGGCAGATGTGGTTGGAGCTCCGACTCTCTGACTCTTGGGCTTAGGTGAGTCCTCAGCAGGTGCCCTGCACTCCTGGTCCCCTTTCCCAGCCAGATCACTGCTCAGCATCTGCAGAGTCAAGGAGGACTCTCCCAAAACCATGCACGGCCAGATGGCCCAAGTTAAAAGAAGATGCCAGTGACTAAAAGCAGGAGTGAAGGCAGGGACGTTCTCAGAGACCTCACACACATCAATAAAATCCCGTGAACGACGGTATGCCAACAGATGAGATAACATGGACGAAACGGAAAAACTCCAAGAAACACACAAGCTAGCAACTGACTCAAGGATGGACAATCCGAACGATCTATAACAAATACATAGATTGAATCGAATCAAAATCCTCCCAAAGACCCAAGACCAGATAGGCTTACTGGCAAATTCTACCAAAGGTTCTAGCAAGAATTAACACCAATCTCTCTCTTCCAAAAAAAACGGAGGAGAGAACATTTCCTAACCCAATCTATGAGGCTAATATTATCCTGATATCAAAACCAAAGGAAGACATCATAAGAAAACACCAGACCAATATCCCTTATAAATACAGATGTAAAAATCCGCACCAAAATACAAGCAAATCACATTCAGCAGCAGAGTAAATGGATTATACACCATGACCGAGTTAGATGTATTCCACAAATGGAAACTGGCTCAACATATGAAAATCAATCAATGTAACACCTCATATTCACAGAAGAACACAGGATCTTTTCAATAGAGGCCAGAAAAGCATTTGACAAAATCCAGTACCCTTTAAGGATAAAAACACTTAACAAATTAGGACTAGAAGGGACCGTCTTCAGCTGGATGAAGAGCATCCTTGAAAATCTAACAGCTCACATCACATCTAGTGGTGAAAGACTGCAAACGTTCCCTTAAGATCAGGAACAAGACAAGGACGTGTGCTCTCACCACCACGTTCGATCAGGAACGAGACGAGGACGTGTGCTCTCACCACCGCGTTCGATCAGGAACGAGACGAGGATGTGTGCTCTCACCACCGCGTTCGATCAGGAACGAGACGAGGACGTGTGCTCTCACCACCGCGTTCGATCAGGAATGAGACGAGGACGTGTGCTCTCACCACCACGTTCAACAAAGTGCTAGACGTTCCAGCCAGAGCAATGAGGCAAGAAAAAGAAATAAAAGGCGTTCAGAGTGGAAAGGAGGAAGTGGAAATGGGCCAGGTGCAGTGGCTCGCGCCTGTAATCTCAGCACTTGGGGAGGCCGAGGTGGGAGGAAAGCTTGAGCCCAGGAGTTGGAGACCAGCCTGGGTAACATGGTGAGACCCTGTCTTTACAAAAAAATCTTGAAAAACTAGGCCGGACACAATGGCTCACGCCTGTAATCCCAGCACTTTGGGAGGCTGAGGCAGGTGGATCACGAGGTCAGGAGATCGAGACCATCCTGGCTAACACGGTGAAACCCCGTCTCTACTGAAAAAAAAAAAAAAATTAGCTGGGCGTGGTGGCGGGCGCCTGTAGTCCCAGCTACTCAGGAGGCTGAGGCAGGAGAATGGCGTGAACCCGGGAGGCGGAGCTTGCAGTGAGCCGAGATCACGCCACCGCACACCAGCCTGGGCGACACAGCGAGACTCTGTCTCAAAAAAAAAAATTAGCCAGGCATGGTGGCACATGCTTGTAGTCCCAGCTACTCTGGAGGCTGAGCCAGGAGGATTGCTTGAGCCCAAGAGGTCGAGGCTGCAGTGAGCCATGATCACACCCCTGCACTCCAGTCTTGGCAACAGAGCGAGACCCTGTCTCAACAACAAAGCAAAATGGTCTGGGACAACTGGCTACTCACAGGTATGACATGGGACCTGCTCCCTTACACCATACACAAATTTAAGTCAAAATGGATCAAAGACTTAAAGGTAAGAAGCACTAAAACTATACATTTCTTAGAAGGAAATGTAGGTGTAAATTTTCATGGCCTTGAATTAGTCAATGGCTTCTTAAATCTAACATCAAAAGCATAAGCAACAAAATAGATGGACTTCATCAAATTTAAAAACTTTCATGCATCAAAGGACACTAACAAGAAAATAATGACAACCCACAGGAAAAAATATTTGTAAACTAAAGAAGTGATCAATATCTAGGATTCAGAACATATAAAGAACTTCTGCAACTCAACAAGATGACAACCCAATTTTTAAAATGGGCAAAGGATTTGAATAGATGCTTTGCTCACGAGGATATACAAATGGTTACTAGACATGAGAAGGCGCTCACCACCATTAGCCATCAGGAAATGCAAATCAAATGCACAATGAAATACCACTTTTTTTTTGAGGCAGGGTCTCATTGTCACCCAGGCTGGAATGCAGTGGCACAATCACGGTTCACTGCAACCTCAACCTCCTGGGCTTAAGTGATCCTCCCACCTCAACCTCCCGAGTAGCTGTGATTATAGGAGTGCATCACCATGCCTGGTTAATTTTTTAGTTTTCTGTAGAGATGAGGTCTCACTATGTTGCCCAGGCTGGTCTCAAACTCCTGGGCTCAAGTGATCCTCCTGTCACAGCCTTCCAAAGTGCTGGGATTACAGGCATGAACCACTCACTGTGCCCAGCCGAAACACCAGTTTCTACTCCAAGGAATGGCTAGAATCTAAGCGGCAGATAATAGCAAGTGGTGGTGAGGGTGTGCAGAACCTGGAACCCTTGGGCATTGCTGGTGGGGATGTGAACTGATGTAGCTGCTATGGAAAAGTCTGGCAGTTTCTCAGAAAGTTAAACACAGGGTCACCACATGACCCAGAAATTCTACTCCTAGGTATATATACCCAAGGCAACTGAAAACATGTTTACACAAAAGCGTGTACATCAGTCTTCATTGCAGCATTATTCACAAAAGCCCTGAATGGAAAAAACCCAAATATCCACCAGGATTAACAAAATGTTTATACTGATCCATATGATGGAATATGACTCAGCCATAAAGAAGAATGAGGTCCTGACACCTGGCACGACACAGGTGCATCTTGAAAACATTATGCCAAGAGAAGGAAGCCAGACAGAAAAGACTACACGGTGATTCCACGCCTGCATGGCGCCCACAGCAGGCCTGTCCAGAGACACACGGTGATTCCACGTCGGCATGGTGCCCACAACAGGCCTGTCCAGAGACAGGAAGCCCTTGCTGGGTGCCAGGGTCTGGGGAAGGGAGAACGGGGAGTGACTACTAATGGATATGGGGTTTCCCTTTGGGGTAAAAAACCGTTCTGGAACTAAACAGTAATGATGGTTGCACATGATTGTGAATATACCAAAAGTCAATGAGTTGTAGTGGAAATGATGACTTTTATCTCAAAACAAACATAAACTACTCACGTAAAAATTGTCTGCAAACTTATCTCCAGGCTCTGGCCTGCTCCTTCTTGCAAGGGGAGGGGAAAATGAAGGACCCCCTGACCAGGTCCTGGCCAGGCCCTCAGCTGGGGAGGCCCACCTGACACCCATGGTCCTTGAGGAACCAACGGTTTTAAGCAGAGCCTGACCTCCAGCCCCAGAGGAGCCCAGAGCCATCTCTGCCCCCCTCACAGAGGTGGGTCATTGGGGTTGAAGCTACTGCTCTTTGTGCAAAGCCTACCACATGCCAGGCAGTTGTGGGCATTTCTTCTGAGTCTCCCGGCCCCCTGGGAAGCTCCCCTGTTGGAGTGAAGCCCCAGGGCGCAGGAGGTGTGGTCCTGTCTGGCTCCAGAGGAAGGGGGCAGCCAGGCCTCCCTTCGAGGACCTGAGTTCTGATGGCTTGGGATGGCGTGAGGAGCTGCCAGCTCAGGTGGGAGCCTGGTAGATGAGACCTCCCTGACCTGGCTTCATCCTCTCATCACTGGGGTTGGCACAGCATGGCGGACTGACGGCCTTGTGGGCCTCACCTCTCCAAACCAACAGCCTTCCCTCACCAAGGACTCACCATGTGCCAAGGCTCCCTGCTGAGCCCTTACACACTTCACCTGGTGGAATATCCCCCACCACATGGGCAGGTACTGACCCCTGTGGGATGCGTTTTGAGCTTTGCTCAAGGCCAGCCTGGAAGAGACAGTGGGATCTCAGCCAGCTCTGCCCAGCTTCCACACTGTGCTTCTAATGCCTCTAATTCCCTGCCACCTGTGCTCCCGGAGCTCTGGACAGGGAAAGCTCTAGAAGTCAGGAGGGCATTCTGTGGGAATGCCAGTGAGTGTGGAGAGGGGAGAGGCATTTGTTTGGGGCAGGGGGTGCTGAGCCTCCCAAGGGTCCTACTGGCTTGGGGCACACACATGGCATCCTGGACACCAGGCTCTGGGTGTGTCTGGGGTGGTGGAGCCCTTTGACTCAGGAGGTAGGTGGAATGAGGCACCAGCTGGGTGCCATGTTTCCCTTTCCCACGAGTGCCCTCGGGGAGGTGGAATGGGAGCGAGCAGAAACCTGGGTACTGCTGGGCCACCTGCAGTCAGCAGCTCCCCTGCCTAGACCCCCACACGCCCCCATGACTCCATCTCCCACGACTCTGCTTGAGGCAAGGTCCCCCATCGCCAGCATTGGCTCTGTCCACTCCCTGCCTGAGGAGCCCTGTTCTTCCAAGGACCATGCAATGGTCTCACCTATGCCTCAGTGGGCCTGGGGGCCAGCATGAGGGGTCCCCAGAGCGGTGCCTAAGCCCCGGACTCACGGGCAATGACACGGGACCTCTGCCTCCCTGTCCCCCAACCTGGACGGCATGCCCCAGGACAACGGCTGTGCTCGGTTGGTGTTACTGCCGGGAGAGCCCAGCCCAGCCTGCTTGTGCTGGTGACATTCAGAGGTTTCAGGGGAACACCTCTGGAGGCTGTCCACGGCCCTGCTCTCCCTCCCATCCAGACAGGACTCCACAGGGGTGCTGGGAGGCAGATCCTTGCCAAAGATGCTAGGTGGGCAGACGCCCTTCCCTCCGACCACTGATGCCTCATTCCTGGGCCCAGCCAGGTGCTGGACTCCACCACCCCATGCCCCATTTATTAGGAGTGTACCGAGTGTCCACCGCTGGGCAAGAGACCTATGTGTATCCCCACCTTTAACCCCCAAAGCTTCTGAAGCAGGTGTTCATGTTCCCGGTGAGGAAACAGGTTCCAGGTGGACACGGCTGCAGCTCTCGGCTTATCAGGTGCTGCCCTGGACTCTCCCAAGGGGACCTTCAGCGCCCACCAGACAGGCACATCTAGACCGGTCTGCACCCCACATGTGGCTGTCCCCGAGGCTCACACAGCTCCACAGCTGACACCCCTCCCAACTTGAGCTAGAGGCAGACAGGGTCCACACAACCTCAAAGCCGGCCTCACCGGCTGTCAACTCCACCCCTCTCCCACCCCAAGGACTCTCTGGGGACACTCTCCCCACACTGGCCTGAGTTCCAAGGCCCTTCCTGTCTGCTGCCTCTCCCTTTCCAAGGCAAGTGGAAAGGGAGGGCCGTGAGCCGTCCCCATCCACTAGCTCCTGCCCCTTTCGGTGGGAAGGGCAGAGATTCCTCTGCCACGGTGAGGGGAGCCTCAGTCCACCGGTGGGGTCCTCACTGAAAGCTAGATCCCCGACAGGCCCAAGTGCCCAGGGCTGAGTGAGGCCAGTCCGGGGCCACTGACACCCTGAAGCATGGAGGGCCTGAGGGGCCGCACTGGGGCTCCCTCTCGCCCCACACTGCTCATCTGGTTCCGGCCAGCGTTGCCGATGGATGGCAGCCACAACAGTCCACCTAGTTCCCGCTCTCTCCTGTGCCCCCCGTGACTTTAGGCACAAGGTGCCCGCAGAGCCCCTCGGCATCCGCTCCCCCCAGCCCCACTTGTCCTGGAGTGAGTCTACTTCTTATAGAAATTTCTAGAATAGAGTCTGCTCCATCAAGGAAGGGCAGCTACACAGCCTGGGCCTCTTTTCCAGAGCCTCTGCCCCTGCAGCCCAGCCCTCCAAAGCAGCTTTCGAGTGAGCGCAGGCGGGTGGGGCCAGCACTCCCCGGCCCTGAGTGCTGCTGCCTGTGTACCTGTTCCCTCAGGCCCAGGCTCGCCCTGCTCCTCAGGAACACCAGGATAGCACCTTCTTGAAGGGGCATGGAGGCGCGCCAGAGACCCGGCCTCCCTGGATTCTTGTCCCAAGCTGTCAAATCATGATCACCGGCCCCTTCTTGTAGAGGTCAGGTGAATGGCAAGAAAGGATTCCAGGGACTTCTTCATGCTCTGTGGCAGATTCCAGCATCCTCAGGGGGCCTGGGATCTGGAGGCCAGCCGGCATGTCAAGGGCTGGGGGGTGCTTGCAAGGTGCCCAGGGGCTGGGGCTGGGCTGCAGGTGGGCCATCCCCTTTGCCCCCACTCCTCAGCTGGCGCCTCTAGCCCACACCAAGAGAAGATGAAGTGGCCAGACAGGGGCCTAGGGCTGCTTTCCCACAGTGGAGACAGTTTTGAGGCTGTGCCTCTGGGGCAAGGCAGGCAAGGACAGAGGACAGTGATCAACTTTCAGAGCCTGTGGGGACGGTGCCACCCCCGATCCTAGCCCCCGCCGGGCACAGAGCCTGGCACCCAACCCCTCAGGCACCAGTGCCACCCTGTCTGGCCTCCTGCCCCACAGCCCAGACTGCCCGTGTGCTGCCCCCGTCCTCGGCCCCCTCCAGGCTGAGATGAGGCTCTCTGCTCCCTCTTCCTGGGACAGGCTGGAGGATGGCCAGGACTGGGGTCAGGGGTCATGGCAGGCAGTGAGCAGGTGCTAAAGCCCAGCTACCCCAGCTAGGACCCCTCCCGTGTCAGGGCAGAGGTGGTTCAGTGTGGCTGGGGCTGAGGACCTGCTTTAAAAATGAACCCTGATTTTGCAAGTAAACCTCAGGGTAAAGAGATCAATGGAAATAAATAAACAAACAAACAAATATGTGAAATAAAAAATGAATCCTGAGAAGAATAAAAAAGAGCAAGCAAGTTCCATCTATTGAAAGGGGTGGGCAAAGCACAGGCTGCAGGGGTCGTGCAGGCTGCAGCTCCGAGTCCCCTTCGTCGGCTCCGGGAAAGCGTCTCATGCGCTCTCAGGATCTGGCACTTGCCCCCATAGAGATCTGTCCTCTGAGGCACCGTGACCACAGCTGACCAGCCGATGACGGAGCAAAGAGGGGCCGTGGTCACCTCTGCCCCACCTGGTGCTGGGCTGTGCTGCGGCGTCCCCCTGGGGTGGTGCGGTCAGCCTGTCTTTGGGGACTGGGTGCTCCACCTGCGGCTGAGATGAGGTTCCCCTAAGTCCCTAGACCACCCCCAGGGGTGGTCAGTGTCCTGAGGCCAGAACGGGGTGGCCGGTGGCCTTCTTGTCTTCATGGTGCCCAGTTCCACCCTACTGCCAGTCCTTGCCCGCCTGCTCCTGGGAGCCTGGCCTTGGGGCTGTCCTGGGGCCTGGGCTGTGGTCCTGTGGGGGCTGGCCCTCACCTGAGGACTCTCCGGAGTCTCCTTTGGGGCATGCCACTGGCCTCTGCGCCTTCGGGCTCCTGGTGATGACATTGAGAAAGGGACAGCATCAGATGCTAGCGCCTACCTGACACCCCCTCACACCCCAGATGGGGTCTGGGAACTGCGCTTGGCCTGGACACTCAGGACCTGCTACAGCCCAGGGCAGAGGGCAGGGCAGAGCACGCTGCTCAGACACGCAGCTTGCATTCAAGCGGGCCGGCCTCCAACTCTGGGAGAGCTTGGGGGGTCCCCGCCACCTGCTCCCTCAGTTCTCAAAGCAGCCTAGGGAGGCCTGGGAACAGCCCCTGGCTTAGAGGGAAAATGAGCACGAAGGAACCGCAGCCCTTCAGTAACTAATCGTGGGCGAGGGCAGGGCGAATCCCAGGCCTGGGGCCTCCTGCGATCTTTGCCTAGGGAGTGGGGGTGTCCTCTCAGCCTGGAGGCTCAGATGCAGGGCCTGGAATCCAAACTGCCCACACTGAGAGAAGAGGAAGTAGCCAGACTGAATTCTGCTTTACTCCTTATCAACACTCAGTGTCCCAGCCTCCTCATCTGTAAAGTGGGGTCACAGTACTTGTCTCACATCAAGGTTGCTAGCAGGATCAAACCATCTGCAATGGTTTTAAGACAATGCCTTGCACTGTTAGCGGTGACTGTGCCAGGCACACTGTCACTCTAACTTACAAGAACCAGTGGGACAAGAATTACAGAGCCTATCCCGACGATGAGGAAGCTGAGGCTCGAAGAGTGCAAACGCCACAGCTGGCTATGCAGGGCTGGATCATGTCTGACTCCGAGGCCACGCCTTTTCTGCAGAGCCCACGTCCTGGTACCTCACAGGCTAAGTGGACTGAGGAAGGCTGGGGATAGCCCTATTGGGAGGTAGGGCTTGGACCAGACAGGGCCGTAGTTCCAGGGCTTTGCGTGGAGGCAGTGGTGTTTCTGGAGAGTTCCCACGAGAATAGGAGTCTACCCCACTCCACTCTCCTCCCTCTTTGAAGACCTCTCCTGTGTCCCCTGCCTTCCCTGGCCCTGCACTGTCTGTCCTGAGCCACAATATTGCAACAAGGAGAGGCTGAGCCACCGGAAACAGCCCATGCAGGTGTCTGTGAGATGCCCCTTTAGTGCCCCAGCCTCCCTGGGTGCTCACCTCGGTGTGGGTGGCCCGGGGAGTCCCAGCGACTTGCGGATGTGCTCTCGGGAGCAGATGTCAGCCTGGGGGAGACAGACGTGCTGCTGGGTGCTGAGCTGGTCTCTAGACCAGTTTCCCACCAGGAGCTGCTGCTGGCAATGCCTCCATCCCCCACAGAAGCCCACTCAGGACACACAGGTCACAGCCAGTTCTTCAGGCTCAGGAGCCGCGGCCCTGTCAGCGAGTGTGGGACAGGCATGCCTGGGACTTTGGGGTCAAAGCCCCGCAATGGCAGCTCTCAAACCGAGCTGGGCAGTCCCTGAAGGGCCTGAGTAGCTGGTGAGTGGACAGGCTGAGTGAGGGGGTCCTGGGTCTCCTCCCCACCAGTGGCAGTTGGAGCTGCTCAGCCTTCACTGGTTTCCAGTCTGTGCTTCCCTGTAGGCTCTGCGCAAGCCGAGGCTTCCCTGCTAACACTTGCTTCTCTGGGGGCTCTGAGCCCAGCTGGTCTGTCCTCTCCCTGACTAGATCAGCAGTAACCCCTGTCCCGTCTCCAGAATCACCAAGATAAAAGAGGGCGGTGGGCCACAGGCTGGGATGGGGGCAGACCCTAGCAGGGAGGGACACTGAACAGGGCTCAGGTCTGAGTGGGAACCCCCGGGGGCATGGGGGGTCTGGCCCTGGGAAGTCCCCCTGATCCCAGCTCAGATGAGCTTAGATTAGCTTCAGGGCTGCACGACTCATGGAAAGCAACGGCTAATCCCCCAGCCTGCTCCTGCTTCCATTCATGGGGGAAGTGGGGCAGCGGTAGGCGGGGCCAGCACCTCTCACCTTCCCCTGGAGCGGCCCAGCCTGGCCTGGCAGGAGAGCCTGGACCTGGCAACCAGGAGCGCCGCAGCGCCTGTGACCATGGGGCCACCAAGACGGCCCGGCGCGGAGCCAGGGAGAGAGCAGACCAACACTAACCCCGTCTGTGCTCTCCCAGGACCTTCTGGAACAGAGCAGGAGGTGAACCTGTTGAGAGGTGAGTGAGCTCAGGAAGAAAATGGACCGAGAGACAGAGCCAGCCCTGCAGGACACGATCCTCGGCTCACGCCCAACAGTAAGAAGCTGCGGGCTCCTGGTACGGGGTGGCTGCATATCCCAACTGGTTGCGGCTTTCCTTCCTCTGGAGGGTGGGCCCAGGATTTGGCAGGCTCTTTGCTGGTGCTAGGCACAGATCCTTGCTCTATTTCTAGATGCTTAAGGTACTCACAGGCCAGGTGTCCCCTCCCTTGCAAGGATGGGCCACTGTCCTACTCTGGGGCGCGCTGAGGCAGAAAAAGGTACAGGAGCTCCAGGAACTGTGCTGTCTGCAGCAGCAGCACGACCTAAAGTTCCTGTGGCTGAAGGCCTGGGGGACAGTTTCTTGGGTTCTCTCTCGGAAGACCACACGGCTGAGTTGGAATGGAGGAAGAAAGGCCTCTTTCCTGGGGGCTGGGGACACAGCTCACAGGCTTGAGAGTCCACACACCTGTGCCCTGAGCAAAGCCCTGCAAGGCTGTGGAGCCCGCTCTCAGACGCCACCACTGAGCACAGCTCCCCAGGGCGAGGGCCATTGTGGTATGTGGGCTGCTGCTGCCCCCTGGAGGCCACACTGCGCGCCAGCAGCCGGAAGGCCCCGGCCCGAAGGTGGTGGCCTGGGGGTTTTCCACCGGTGCTGCGGCTGCCCCAGGGCAGGCTGCAGGGCAAGCGGTGGGGTAAGATGGGGAAGGGGCAGACACCAGGGAGGCTCAGGGGCTGGGCTGCTGGAAGCAGCATGGCTTGTGCAGACCTGCGTCCACAGCCTCCACAGCACGCACAGCGGCCACCTAAAAAGGCCAATCTGCGGGCGCCCCGCTGCCAACTCACAGCCATCCAAGTCCCTGTGGGTGACGTCTGAAACCCTGGCGCACCCCAAGATGCTCACGGGCTCCCACCCACTCTGTACTTCACTGCCATCTGGCTCCGGCCACACCTTCCTGCTGAGTTTTTGTTTTTTAAAGTTTTTTTGAGATAAGGTCTTGCTCTGTCACCCAGGCTGGAGTGCAGTGGCCCAATCAGGGCACACTACAGCCTCGACCTCCTGGGCTCAGGTGATCCTCCCGCCTCAGCCTCCTAAGTAGCAGAGACCACAGGCACGCACCACCACACTTGGCTAATTTGTTTTTACGTTTTTTTTGTAGAGACGGGGTCTATGTTGCCTAGGGCGCCCTCAAACTCCTGGGCTCAAGTGATCCTCCCACCTCTGTCTCCCAAAGTGTTGGGGTTACAGGCGTGAGCCACCCTCCGGGCCCCCCATTTCTTGAGCACATCAAACTCCTTCCTGCCCAGGGCTGTCCTTCCCCTTCCTCCAGCGGGTCTCTTCCTAAGACTGACTTTTCTTGAACCCTCACTCTGTGGGCTTCTCTGGGACAGCATCCACCCGTGTCTTGTGGTCCCCTGGTCCTATCGAGGCTGTCTGTGGGCATCTCGTGCCAGCTGTCTCTCCCTGGCCCACAGGCTGAGTCCTTTCTCAGCTGAGCTGATGGCTTCAGCAGAGTTCTCACCCTTCCTGGGGGACCGAACACCAGTTTTGTGCTGGGTCCTGGGGCGGGCATACCCAAGTCCCCAGACTGGCGTCTCTGGGGCCTGCACAGCTTTCCTGCAGGAGCCTCCTGGCTCAAGTTCAGCTGCTCCCTCTGGGACCTGAGGGGCTGGCTGGGAACTGGCAGGACACCTCACCACCTGAGCTAACATCACTGATTCTCCAAGCTGGCCTGTATCTGGGTGCAGGAGGCTCAGAGAGGCTGGGAGGCTGAGTGCATGGGGTGCAGGGCCTGGGGATGAACTCTTGGGAGCCCTGCACCCCCCAGTCTACTGTCCTGACTGCAGGGCCCAGCAAGCTCTCCAGCAAGATGTCTGTGACCTGTCCTCGGCCCAGGAACCCCCGTCCTCATGTCACTGCACTCTGACCCCAGCTGAGCTGCTGGGGAGCCCTGAACAGCAGGTGGCAGGAAGCAGAGGAGCCTGTGCTGCCTCCCCGCATCCCCAGCACACCCACCTGGCGCACGGGCTCTGGGATCCGGAACCTGCAGCAGCAGCAAGTCAGGCGCACAGCGGCCTCCAGGCTCATCCTGTGGCCCACGGAGATGTAGAGGGGCCTGGTGCTGCGGTCGTGGCTCCTCAGGGCCTGTGACAAGGAAGGCGAGGGCTGTCCTGTGGGCTGGGCCACCGGGACCAGGGTCAGGACAGCCTCAGCAGCTGGAGCTCTGACAAAATGTCCTGGGGGCAAGGGGGAAGCTGAAGGGGCAGTGCTCTCAGGGGCCAGGGCCTGCCCACCCTCAGGGCGCCTTCCTGCTGCTTGTCCCTGGGGGAGGGTGGGCTCCCTCAGCACGGCTGGAGGAAAGAAACACAAACATCACACCCTGGACTCAGTCAGAGGCAGGAGGATGGATGGACGGGCAGGCGGGGGGTTGATGTGGGCAAGTGTGAGTGCACGCGTGTCTGCATGCACCTGTGTCTGCCTGCAAAGGATCCCCTACCCCGGGGCTTTGGAGGAGCTCAGGGCCCTAGCTACTCACCATTCCCAGGACAGTCCCAGAGTCTCCCAGCAGAGGGAATGAGTCTCCTCGAGTCTGCAGGAGTCGGATCTGGAAAATGGAGGGAAAAATGGGGAAAAAAACCCCTCTCTTCTTGGTGAAGGGCTGAAGGCAAGTCTCTATTTTTTGAGACGGAGTGTCGCACTGTTGCCCAGGCTGAAGTACAGTGGCGCGATCTCAGCTCACTGCAACCTCTGCCTCCCGTGTTCAAGCGATTCTCCCACCTCAGCCTCCTGAGTAGCTGGGACTACAGGCATGTGCCACCACGCCCGGCTAATTTTTTGTATTTTTAGTAGAGATGGGGTTTCACCATGCTAGCCAGGATGGTCTCGATCTCCTAATCGCGTGATCCACCCACTTCGGCCTCCCAAAGTGCTGGGATTACAGGAGTGAGCCACCGCAACCGGCCCAGGTCTCTTTATTTTTAAAACCCAGTCACTGGGCCAGGAAAGGGAAGGGGACTGATCTTGGAGGTGAGCCACAGCCCAGGCAAAGCCACACCACCTGAGACGACACTGAGCGTGCAGGCGGTGAAGTGGTCTTGTCCCTGAGCTGAGGGTGCTGCCCACAAGACCCTGTTCAAACCTGATGATGGGGCTTAGAACAAGGGCAACAATCTGCCCAGGGCCGCTGTGCCAGGCTGGCAGCCACACAGGTGCCGCCACTGCCCAGTGATGGGTGCTGAGCCCGCTTCCTTCCTGTGGCTTCTCTCCTGCTTTGGGCACATCTGACACAGCTCAACAGGCTGGTATTTCTGGCGGCGGTGGACTGGCTCATTGAGTGGGTCTAAGGTCCCCATCAACTCAACAGATTTTTATTAAGCAACTTCTCCATGCAGGCACCTGAGAGCTAGGAGGAATGAGAGACACAGTCTCTGCTCTCAGAATCTGCCATCCAGTGAAACAGCTGGGGGTGTCAACAGCTCCCTCCATTGTGAGTGTCTCACTCCCAGTGCCAACATGGGGTCCCAGAGGAGGAAGATGCAGGGGAAGGTGAGGTAGGAAGAGTGTGGGTGGCAGCTCCAGGCAGGTCTTGGCGGGAGGGGGGCCTGGAGGCTGTGGTACCTGAGCATGCAGGGGAGGAGACAGGGGCTGGGGCAAGGCGGGGTGGGGAAAGCACCAAGTGCGCCCGGGACAGCCTGGAAGCCCGTCCTGTCCCCAGTAACTGGAGGACTTAGCCCTACTTGGTGTGCCACGGTGGCTCAGAGGCAAGGGGGACCAGAGAGGCAGGCACACCCAGGAGGCAGGAGAGGAGCTCAGAGCGCCCTCAGCTGAGACAGGCAATGCAGCACCCAGAGGAAAGCAGGTCTTTCTTACTCCAGGCCACAAGCCAGGGATGAGGAGGGCAGCGTCAGCAGGCAAGGGCTGGTCCAGAAGTGTCCTCATGCCCAGGGCCACCACAGCCCCGCCACTGAGCTGCCGGGCATGGCCTGCAGCAGGCCCCTCCTCACCTTCTCCTTGTGCAGGGCGTTGTTCTCCAGCCCATCCACCTGCAGAAGTTTCTTGGCCACCCCAACACACGGCAGGTCTGTAAGGACGCCAAGGTGGCAGGCCACCCCAAAGCCTGCCAGAGAGAAAGGAGGGTGGGGTTGGGGAGGTGGGGCTGGGGCCTGGCACAGGGATTCAGGACAAGCCAGTCTTACCAAAAGCTTCCCTAAGTGAGCAGAGGTCTGTGGACAGGCAGAGGGCTGGGGAAACCAGATCTAAGTCCCAAGCAGACCTGGGCGAAAGCCCCCTGTGCCCGATGTCCTGGGTGCAAGGCCGTGGAGGAAGCCTCCTTCTCTCTGACACGGTCAGTGCCAGGGTCAGCACCTCGCTGGCGTGCTGGGATACTGCAGCTCTCCGGTCATTTCCTGCACCTCCCAGCTTCCTCTTCCCTCGACGGTGGCCTGCCAGCGCTGGCACGAGCATGTGGGTCGGCACATGACAACCCTTTGGCTCTGCACCCATGTGCGAGGGCAGCAGCCAGGGCCGAGTCACACTTGCTGGCCAGGAAGGCCCAATGTCACCCCTCCTGGGCCCTCTCTGGGTGCTGCTGCGCCGCCCGCAGCTCTGTATGTAACAGTAAAAGAGCCCATCTCCCTAGGCCGGGCGCGGTGGCTCACGCCTGAAATCCCAGCACTTTGGGAGGCCGAGGCAGGCGGATCACGAGGTCAGGAGATCAAGACCATCCTGGCTAACACGTGAAACCCCGTCTCTCCTAAAAATACAAAAAAATTAGCCGGGCGTGGTGATGGGCACCTGTAGTCTCAGCTACTCAGGAGGCTGAGGCAGGAGAGTGGCATGAACCCGGGAGGCGGAGGTTGCAGTGAGCCGAGATCGCGCCACTGCACTCCAGCCTGGGCGACAGAGCGAGACTCCGTCTCAAAAAAAAAAGAGCCCATCTCCCTCAGCCACGCTCCCTAGGCCAAGGTTCCTGGCATCAGTGGGGGCCTGGGTACACCTGTCTAGTTGTGGACAAGGGGCCTGACGGGCCATGCAGGTTGGGCGGCTGGCAGGGAAGGCCACTCTGAGCCCGGGCCCTGGGACATCTTTTGGTGATCAGGTCAGAACTGGATAGTGGCACCTGGAGATGAGCCAGCACAGGGCACTGTAGAGAAGGCAGTGGCGGACAGGAAAGAGGTAAGGGGTGAAGCGAAAGTAGACAGTCCTTTACCGGCGGTGGGGGAGGCGGGGCTGAGCGCACTGCGCGTCCCCGTTGCGCCGAGAAAGAAGCCATTGGAGGGGGCTGGCGGCAGAGGCCGAGGGCCCAGCATTTTCTGTGGGGGACGACAGAGGTGCCCTCTCCCCCCGCTCTTCCCCACAGTGCCCTCCCTGGACCTCCAAGAGCAGGATTACCTCGGTGGTGGAGTACCCCGTTTCCATCCACAAGAAGGACCTATGGAGCCACAGGGAGAGTCACAGTCAGCTGAGCTGCCCCTCGGCCCTCAGGACAGGGCCATCCCTGAGGCAAGAAGGGGGCACTGTCTCTGGGGTCCAGCTTTTTAGAAATCCTCATTCCTCTCTTCCAGGAAGCTCATGAGTCTCTCCCTGCCACTGTGGTGGTGGCGACCTGCAGCAGCCTTCCCTCCCCCAGGGGGAAGGAGGGACCTTTCTCTCGTCCTAGGGATGAGACACCTGCCTGGGGCATGAGGCCCGGCTCCTTCTCCCGCAGCTGCTGCACCAGCTCCAGCAAGAAGGGCACCTCTCGGAAGGCCAGGAAGCCCGACACGTAGGGGGCTGTGAGGCTGACCATGCGGCTCTCCTCATACACCACCTGACACCAGGCACGCAGCTCAGTGGGAAGCACAGCCTTCGGCCACCTGCTCCATCCCCAGTCCGTCCATGCCCTGCCCCCCTCATCCTTCCCTCTCCCTTACGTCACCCTCATGGCTCCCCTTCCCTGCCTCACCTATGAGATGATGGGTTTGGAAGAAGGAACTAGAAGATGTACCCTGCAAATTGGTGGTGGGCAGGTACCCCCGGGACCTGGTCCATAGGAGCAGACCCCCCCAGGACCTGGTCCGTAGCAGCAGCTCCCCCGGGACCTGGTCTGTAGCAACAGCACCCCCACCCCGCCCCCACCGGGACCTGGTCCATAGCAGCAGCCCCCTGGGACCCGGTCCATATGAGAACCCCCACCCCGGACCCGGTCCACTGGAGGAGCCCCAACTCCCAGACCTGATGTGTATAGTAGGAGCCCCTGGGACCTGGTCCATAGGAGGATTCCCTGGTATCTGGTCTGTATGAGGAGCCCCCAGGACCTGGTCCATAGGAGGATTCCCCGGGATCTGGTCTGTATGAGGATTCCCCGGGACCCGGTCCATAGGAAGATTCCCCGGGATCTAGTTCATAGGATGAGCCCCTGAAGCCTAGACTGTAGAAGGATTCCCTGGAATCTAGTCCATAGGAGGAGCCTCCGGGACCTGGTCCATAGGAGGATTCCCTGGGATCAGGTCCGCGGGAGCCCCCCAGGACCTGGTCTTCATCAGAAGCAAGGCTAAGGCTGCTGGCTGCATCACCTCTGCCTGCCCCTTGCTTTCCTGGTGTCTCCTCCTTTGTGTATTGAAGCCGATGCCCCACCCCACCCCTCCATGGGTTGTTGGAGGCTTAAAGAAGACACAGTGTTGGCCAGGCGTGGTGGCTCACGCCTGTAATCCCAGCACTTTGGGAGGCCGAGGCGGACGATCACCTGAGGTTGGGAGTTCAAGACCAGCCTGACCAACATGGAGAAACCCCGTGTTTACTAAAAATACAAAATTATCTGGGCGTGGTGGCGCATGCCTGTAATCCCAGCTACTCGGGAGGCTGAGGCAGGAGAACTGCTTGAACCCAGGAGGCAGAGGCTGCAGTTTAGAGCACAACATGGCAGGCCTGAGTCTCCTAACCTTGTGTTTTCCTTAGTCACACTGCCCTTAATGTGAAGACGTTTCCCACTATGTCCACATTCTGCAGACCTGTCTACCTTCCTGCAGTTTTGTTACTGAATCCCCCAAATCTCTTGGTGACAGCTTTCAAATCACAACTTCCACTCCTCACTTGTGGCTGGATCAATAATTAAACACACCAAAGCAGACGGAGTGCTCTGTATTAGCACAGAGGGTTGGGGATCATTCTCACAACATCTTCATCAATGACTCAATGGGGAAACTGATCAAATCTGCCCATGACCCAAAGTGGGGAGGGTCCATTCTGATAACAGAATTTGGGTTCACAGAGAAGCCAGCAGGCTGGATCACTGACATCCCCACAGAGTAAAAGTCACTTTGCACAGTGACATGTGGAATTCAAGTGTGGCCTGAGTTCCCACAGGAGGGGCGTGGCTGCTTACATCTGAATCTCTCCCATAATGTTATCATTCAGGTGACATTATGGGATGACTATGATGTGTAATCAGTATGATAATGACACTGTGGCTGTGGAGGAGAATGTCATTCTCAGGACAGGCCTGCTGATGTCTTCTGAGCTGTCACAGTCGCTGGGATGTACGGTACACACGCACACAAAGAGCGCATGTGCGCGAGAGAGAATATTCCAGAGCAGCAACAGCTGAACCTAAGTAGAAGGAATACAGGTGTCCAACGTATCCTTTTCCAATTTGGGGGGATGTATGTACATTTTCAAATTAAAAATCTGGGAAAAGAAAAATCACTGTATGATTAGCGTAGGGGGCAGGTCTGGATGACCAGCAATCTCAACATAAGCCAGTGACCTGGTGCCCCTCAAAAGCTACCAGTGTTTCCAGCTACACCGACTGAAATGGCGTGGGTGACAGTTAGGTCTAGGGACTTGGGTAGACCACATCCAAGTTCCTGCATTTGATTCTGAGTGCAGACGGAAAGATGGATTGTGTGAACGGAGGGCATGACCAGAGGGCCACTGACCAGTGAAGAAGCTGGACGTCATCGCAGCCTCTTGGGACAGTGTGGTCAAGGAGCAGGCAGCTGTTTCCAGCAGCAGAAGGGCTGACAAGCAGAAGGCAGGGAAGATCCGTTCTGTTTTGCTACCTGAAGGCAGAACTGATCGATGGGAGTCACAGACAAGTAGGAGTCAGCTCCCTGCGGAGCAGAACACACTAGCCATTGCTCAGCGTCCAGCACACAACAGGCTCCACCAGGCCTGTGGAGCAGCACACACCAGCCATCGCTCAGCATCTGGCATGGAATGGGCTCCGCCAGAGGCCTGCGGAGCAGCACACACCAGCCATGGCTCAGCATCTGGCACAGAACGGGCTCCGCCATCGTTTGTCAGGGATGCTAAGGACAGTGTTCTTCACGGTGGGAAAAGCAGGCCAGTGGTTCTCCAGCCCAGCTCTGCTTCAGAATCACAGGAAAGCTTATTTTAAAAAGCAGATTCTTATGCTATACTCTGGGAGAGTTTTTCCCCCAGTAAGTGGGGTAGGGCTCTGGAATCTGTTTTTTTTTTTTTTTTTTTGACAGAGTCCTGCTCTGTTGCTCAGGCTGGAGTGCACTGACGCGATCTCGGCTCACTGCAAGCTCCGCCTCCCAGGTTCACGCCATTCTCCTGCCTCAGCCTCCCGAGTAGCTGGGACTACAGGTGCCCGCCACCATGCCCGGCTGATTTTTTTTGTATTTTTAGTAGACACAGGGTTTCACCGTGTTAGCCAGGATGGTCTCGATCGCCTGACCTCGTGATCCAGCCGCCTCAGCCTCCCAAAGTGCTGGGATTACAGGCATGAACCACTGCGCCCGGCCTGTTTTTTTTCCTAACAGGTTTACTGAGATACAATTAACATACCATAAAGTTCACTTGTTTAAAACATATAATGCGATGGTTTTGGTATTTACAGAGTTGTGCAATATCACTACAATCTAACTTTAGAACATTTTCCTTAACCCCTAAATAAACCTCATCCTCATCAGCAGTCACTTCCCATCCATCCCACCCCAACTCCAAGGCCCAAGGATCCACTTTCTGTCTCTGTGGATGTGCCTACGGAATCTGTTTCTCAACACACTTCTGGGTGATTCTGCTCCTGCAGGTCCACGGTCGGGCATTCAGGAACCAGTGGACCAGACTGTTCCAAGATCCTTTCCTAGTCTAAGCTTTCATAGCCGGAACAATGAATACCGACGAAGTAGCAGGTGCTTTGCTTGGTGCTGGGGTTGTAAAAGAAATATGGTACACCCTACTCTTGAGAACCTACAGTCAGTGGGAAAAATGGAATCATAAATGACTAACTTTAATACAATGTGAGAAGCGCTCTAACAGCATGTGCATTCAAAAGAGGCCCAGGATGCAGATGAGGTGATTAATTTGCAGCCAGGAGAAGTTGGAGGGGGAAGGGAATGCTGTGTTAACTGCTTTCCATGCATTTCATGTACTGCTCATCACAATTCTGTGAGCTGGATATTAATACCACTATCATCCTCAAGTCAGAAAAAAGGAGACAGAGGCCTAGAGGGCAAAGTGGGGAGTGGCAGAGTTGGGTGTGAGCATGAGTAGTCAGGACCCTAAGACTGTGTCCCCACTCCCTATGCTAGCCTACACAATGGCCAGGGGACCTCTTAGAGTAGGGGCTGCTGAATATCCCAATCTTAGCACACAGTAGGCACTCAGTACATTTTTGCTTGATTTGGACTGAAAAGGGCCTCCCAAGTAAAGCACAAAGCCATGGAAGCAGGAAGACGTTTGTCACCTTCGGGAGTCAGCAGAGGAGCAATGCGAGTGACGCCAAGAGGCTTCCGGAGCTGTTGACTCTTATGTGAATCATGAGCCCACTGTCCATTCACACACGTATCTCTTGAAGGAAGAGTCCAGCGTCTTCCTCATGCTATCCATGGTGGGCAAAGCAACATGGTTTCTACCATCATGGAGTTTATATTCCAGTAGGGAAGACAGGCCAGTTCCATCCCAGCAAGACAAGAGGAAGCAGAGGGTTGCTACGGTCTAAATGCTGGTGTCCTCCCCAAATTCCTATGTTGAAATTATAACCCATAGGTGATGGTATTACGAGGTGGGGCCTCTAGGGAGGTGAGTGGATCACCATGTGAGAACACGGTTAAGAAGCTGGCCCTGTGCAACCTGAAAGAGCGCCGTCACCACAACCTGATTGCGCTGGCACCCTGATCTTGAGCCTCCAGCCTCCAGAACTGTGAGAAATAAATTCCTGCTGTGGGTAGGCCACCCAGTCTAAGGTATTCTATTACAGCAGCCCAAACGGACTAAGACATGGTGCTGAGGGACAAGTCCTCGTCTTGTGGGATGAGAGGGAGCTTAGTGGAGGACGTCATGTCTAAACTGAGCCCAAAGAGATGAGTAGTAGTTAGCCAGATGGAAACCCTTCCAGAAGAAACATTACTGCAAAGGTCAGGCCGCCAAATACAGCGTAGCAAACACGTGAGGGACTCACAGTGGGCTGTAGGAGGTGGGAAGAACTGAGAATAGTGGTGAGGGCTGAGCCTCCAGCGTCATATTAAATTACGCAGGGGACAGGTCATGACGGGCCTTGAAGCCATGCCAACCAGAGTGAACTTTATTCACCATGAGGTCATGAGAAGGGCACTTCAATGTTCTAAGAGGACTTGTGGGCTGGGTGTGGTGGTTCCCACCTGTAATCTCAGCACTTGGGGAGGCCAAGGTAGGAGGATCCCTTGAGCCCAGGAGCTGGAGACCACCCTGGGCAACATAGTGAGATCCTGTCTCTACAAAAAATAAAAAAATAAGCCGGGTGTAGTGGCTCACACCTGTGGTCCTAGCTACTCAGGCTAAGGTGGGAGGATCACTTGAGTCCAGGAGGTTGAGATCAGATCTTGACAGTGAGCCAAGATTATGCCACTGCACTTCAGCCTGGGCACAGAGTGGGGGAAGGGGAAAGGAAGGAAAGAGAGACAGAGAGAGGAAGGAAGGGAGGAAGGAAGGAAGGAAGGAAGGGAGGGAGGGAGGGAGGGAGGGGACTTGTTGCTTTTGAGGAAAATACTTGCTTTTTAGGAAAATTGGTCTGCTGGCAGTATGGAAAAGAAACCACTGAGGAGGAACATTTGAGCCAGGGCACCCATGAAAATGCTGCTCAGGAACCCACAGGAGTGATGGTGGCACAGCCAGGGAAGGAGCAGAGGGGAAACAGACAAGGGGACAGATTCCAGCGACATTTAAGAGGCAGAATAAAAGCGAGCTAGTGTGCAACTGGACGCGAGAGGAACGGAGGGGCCCAGGAGGATGCAGATCTCCAGCTTGGGCAACTGGGAGCGTGGTGGACAGGTCACTGAGATGAAGAACCCAAGATAACAATCAGACTTGAAGATAAAGCTCATGAGCTGATTCTTAATAGTCACAGAATTCCCTTAATTTTTGCCTTTTTTTCCCTTCCAAGACTCCCCAGACTTTTTTTTTTTTTTTTTTTTTTTGAGATGGAGTTTCGCTCTTGTTGCCGAGGCTGGAGTGCAATGGCGTGATGTTGGCTCACCGCAACCTCCGCCTCCCGGGTTCAAGCGATTCTCCCGCCTCAGCCTTCCGAGTAGCTGGGATTACAGGTATATGCCACCACACCCGTCTAATTTTGTATTTTTAGTAGAGACCGGGTTTCTCCATGTTGGTCAGGCTGGTCTCGAACTCCCGACCTCAGGTGATTCCCCCGCCTCAGCCTCCCAAAGTGCTGGGATTGCAGGCGTGAGCCACCGCGCCCGGCCAACTCCCCAGACTATTAATGACATCCTACAAAACGAGAAGCCGGGTTCTACGCTTGCACTGCTCCCTGTCCCGGAGACCGCACGCCCGAGCCCACCGAGGGGCCCGCCTCGAGCTCGGCGTCCTCCCAGGTTACCTCGAGCTCAGGGAAGCTGAGCACCACCAGGGAAGCACAAGCGCGGACACTGTCCCCTTTCACGAAGGACACGTCAACGCCCCCGACCCTCTGCAGACCCGAGAAGGCGGGGTCTCGCTGCCACGCCTCGGTGTCCCGGTCTACGACGTGGGCCTTCAGCCGAGCTTGCTCCCTAGGAGGACAGAAGCGTCAAACTTGGTCGGGGTCACACCTCAGACTCTGCCTCCTCCACCCGCGCGGCTGCAGCGGACAGAGCGCCTCTGCCGGGTCTTCTCCCGCTTCAAGGGAAAGCAAGGGACATACCGCCGAGGCCACAGTCCCTAGGAGCCCAGGCGGCGGAGACCCGCGCAAGCGCAGGCCAGACAAACTGGCCGGAAGCGAGAACCGCGCCCACCCCGCGGACTACAATTCCTGAGATCCCTCCGCTTCCGCGCCGGAAACTGGGCTTTGCTTTGGAGTCTCGGGCGGTGGCAGCTCCGATTCCACAGCCTGAAGACTATGAGCTCGGAGGGTCCGCGAAGGGCCGCCCGGCCTCGGCCCCCGCCTCCTGCGCGTCGCCTGACAGCATTACCGTTTCCACAGTGACAGCGTTTCCTCCGGCGGCCCTCCCGCCGCCTCCAGGGCCATGGCTTCGTCCCGGGCACCCCTTCCGCACGTCACTTCCGGAAGCGACTCGCTCTGACGCCGTCCGCCCTCGTTGCCATGGAGACGCTTGCGCTTTCCCGGGCCGCACTTCCCACCCGGGTCTTCAGAAGCCCGTGGCCGCTGGGTGAGCCCCTGCGTGAACGCACACGCACGCACACGGCTTCAGGTTGCCCCGCGGCGCCGCGCGCGATATCGGCTCGGATCCCGGGAGGCCGTCCGCCCCTTTTTCAGCGGATAGCTGAGGCCAGGTAAGTGACCGCGCGAGGACCCGGGAACTCCGTGACGCCCGTCCCGCCTCTGCTGTCCCCGCCGCAAGCGCTGCGCTCTGCACGGCGAGAGGGGCCTCTTGCCCTGTTGAGAGCCGGCGGGCACGGCACTTCTGCGCTTGGAAAAGGGTGGTCCAGCACTGCAGGTCCCACTCCTTGGCCCGGTCAGCGTCCGCCTTTGCTGAACCCCGAAAGGATTCACCAGGTCCAGGACAGCCCGGCAGTTGCCTCAGGAGCACTTACTGAGCGCCTGTCGTTGACGCCCCCACCTCGATGGCAGCTCAGGGGTGCCCTCAAGCTTTTGAGGGCAGGTGTCGTGTATTTAAATTCTTCACAGTTTAGCGGGCTGGACTCACGGGGGTGCTGCAGACTTGGACGGGGTTTCATCTGGGTCGGACCTTGCTGGGCAGAAAGCTTCTCCTACCAGACAAAGTACGGCGACCTTGGGGGGTCTTGGTTCTTACCTCGTGTTCCTCATTGAATGAGTGTTGGTTCAGTGCTCTCGCTGTGCCAGGTGTTGTGCGAAGTACTGTGAGGGAGAATATGTATTTATTTGTGGGGAGCCGACTTTAAACCGGTGGTTGGGAAAGGCCTGAGAGGCGATATTGAAGACACCTGAAGGGTGAGTGAAAGAGCACGGCGGGTGAGTGGAGCAGCTTTCTCGTGCAGGTCCCGGGGTGGGAAAGAGGTTGGTGTATTTGAAGCACTGAAAGGCAGCCACTGAAGCTGAAGTGTAGCAGTTTAACCCATGGTTTTATATTCTCCTGGGAGGATTCAGAAGGGTGTATGTGTGTATGTATATATAATAGCCTGAATATAAACGTCAAGGGTGTTAGGTTTTGAAGGGAAGGTGAAGGTTAAAGAATGACGCACAGTGAGATTGCCGGCGCGCGGGCGGCTCTACAGCAACACAGGTGTATTGCAAACACCTGTCGGGGGCCAGCTTAATGCCAGAGCCCACCAGCGATTACAGGCTGGGGTACTCATAGGCCTGGGCAGGAGGGATCTAGGCAGTATGGCTTGCTGTCCGGGAAGATGTTAACGTGTTCCCAGGATGAGGTGGTTCCGGCAGAATGTGGTGTTCCTGGCGCTTTGTCCCAGCAGAATATGTTAAGAGGCAGGCTGTTTCTCATGGCTCGAACCCCCGTGGAATGTTTCACTTTGACCAAGGTCTACAAAATGGAAAGGGGCTTACAAAATGACGCAGTTTGGACTAACAAAGGGGAAAATACAGAGGATGAAATTAGACTCTAGAGGTTGAGGCTCAGGAAAGGCTTCATACAGCTTTGGGAACTGACAAGGCTTTGAAAGCAGGGTCAGTTTTCAGCGAATGAGCGTCACCCACTGCACCCTGCGCACCCTGCTCCCCTGCTGCGGTGTCTTTCCCACCAGAGTGTAGCAGGACAAGCCGCAGACAAAACCCCTCAGACACCGAGTTAAAGAAGGGCTTTATTCAGCTGGGAGCTTCGGCAAGACTCACGTCTCCAACAACCGAGCTCCCCGAGTGAGCAATTCCTGTCCCTTTTAAGGGCTCACAACTCTTCAGGGGTCTGCGTGAGAGGGTCGTGATTGATTGAGCAAGCAGGGGGTACGTGACTGGGGGCTGCATGCACCCGTAATTAGAACGGAACAGAACAGGACAGGGATTTTCACGGTGCTTTTCTATATAACGTCTGTAATCTATAGATAGCATCACTGATTAGGTCAGGCGTCGATCTTTAACTACCAGGCCCAGGGTGTGGTGCAGGCTGTCTGCTTGTGGATTTCATTTCTGCCTTTTAGTTTTTACTTCTCTCTTTGGAGGCAGAAATTGGGCGTAAAACAATATGAGGGGTGGTCTCCCTTATTCTCCCTCTCTGAGAATCTCACTCAGTAGTGGGAGTTGTCACTTTTATTTTTACTACCTATGTTTTCTTGCAAGACAGATCGATAGTGATTCATATAGTACAGTTGTGCTGAAGCATTTTGGTGAACTAAGGTAGCGATGAAGCTTTTTATCATTTGAAGAAGTATGGGTAGCAAACAAGGGAGCAGAACGCAGGTTTCTATTGCTATTGTAACTCCTAATATAAGAGTTTTAAATCTTTTTAGTGCTGGGAACCATTTTCCAAACATGGCCCCAGGACCAAATCCATGCCACACTTGCACGGGCACATGTGCCAGTTTTGTCATATTTCTAACTGTGTCTTCAACTAATTGCCCTCGATCATCTATGTGTAGACAGCAATTAGTAAGGTTAAATTTTTTACAGACCTCTCCTTCAGCTGCTAGCAAGTAGTCGAGAGCCAATCTATTTTGATAGATAGCATTTCTCATCTGAGTTTCTTGCCAGGCCAGAATAGTCAAGGCTCTGCCGGTCTTATTAGTGATTATTTCTAAGACAGCTTGTAACCGTATGATTCGGTTGAGCATGTAAATGGGGGTCGGGTATCCCTAGGAGCCATCTTGTGCCTAAGTACCAGGCCCATAATATTGTATGATTCTTTCAGGGGGCCATGTATTATCTTTTGAATTTTTTATAGCTATGCTTCTCTTTTTGCGGGAAGCACAGACAGGGAAGCCCAGGAGTTCGCCTGTCTTTATGGGCAGTAGGAAGAAAGATGGTTTAATAGTGCCAATAACATGACTACCTGCCCACTGGTCGGGTAATTTGGTGTAAACTCTATGCCTACATATCCAGTATAATCCAGTGGGGGCTGTCCAGTCCCTGTGGGACTCCGGGTGGGTTCACACAGTTTGCAACTTTGGGAATTTACTAAATGGATTTTTCTTAGTGTGGTTTGAACTCCACTAGGTGGCTGTTTTTGTAGTAGTATTATACAGTTTTTGCCTAAGCAGCTGAGTCTTCCCACAGGAAAGGTGAAGTCCTTCCCCACTCTTGCTATATACAGTATTGTCTAATGATTGAGGCTTTTAGGACCCAGAAGTTATCAGGGTGATTCTTTTGAGCCGGGAATTCATCAGGAACTGGGTCTGTAGGTACTAATTCTCGGGCTTCCCGTGGCCATTGATCTCCCATTACAGTTCGTCCACACACATAACATGAAGTGACATTGAGAGACTGGGCCACATGCTCGGCTAATTGCAAAAACAAATGTCTTGTTTTTCCTGGAATTTCTGGTGCAGGCACATTCAGTTGATCATAGAAGGTTTGAAATACTGTCTCAGGAGAGCGTTTATAAATTTCTCCTCAAACCATGATATTTACTCAAGGATCCAGTTCAGCCCCATTGATTCCTAGGGTTACATGCTCCCCTTTTTTCCAGCGAGGATCAAGGGGGTTGGTTATTACTAGTTCTAAGGGGTTACACTGACCACTGGTACAGGAAGGGCCACTTTTTCCTTTTTGAAGGTGGACAGGATCCTTTTTATTTTTTATTTAAGTAGCCTAAATGACACAAGACCAGTATTTACATTTATTTCCACACAGTTTTAATTTATGACAAATGTACTTATTTTTTGTCATATGGCCTCTTTTCTAATTAAGGGAACCACATTCTATTTTTAACTTATTACTATTAATGACAGCACAGGCATCAAACTTTAAAGTGACTTGTTTGGGCACCCCTTTTTCTTTCATTTTGGCTAACACTTTACTCGTATCGTTTATGAGTCCCTACCAGTCCTCAGTCCTTAATCTTATTTCAAAAGCTGTGGTCATGGGAGACTCAGGTCATAACACACATCAGGTTGGTCATTTCTTGGGCTACATACCTTGCATAGAATAGCATTATACAAACTTTTTTTTTTTTTAGAGTCCTGGTACACTTACAATAATCATAAAATAATAGGACTGTGGCAACTTTTTGTCCTACCTCAGTGACTTGATGTATACACTGGGAACAGTCCTCAGTCTGAGGAAGGTCAGTTGAAGTCCTTACTGTACAAGTCCAAATTTTAAGGAAAATGAGTCCCACGATGAGTTTTCTCATGCTTCGGCCGTGTGTGGACCAGTCAGCTTCCAGTTGTGACTGGAGCAGGGCTTGTCGTCTTCCTCAGAGTCACTTTGCAGGGGCTGGCGAAGCTGCTTCCGTCCACGTACCACTCACAGCCTACTGATGTTCAAGGATGGTCTCGGAGGTTGCGCCTGCTAGAATAAACTGAGTCCAACACCTCTACACAGTTATGTTCAACTGGGCTCTCTCATATCAGGAGCAAGGTGGCGGGGTTTAGCGTGTTGCAAACTGCAGTGGTTATGTGGGGATTTTCACGTAGCAAGCTTTGGTACTTGGTTAATCTAGCATTTGTTAACCAGTGATGACCTTTGGTAGTCATTAAAGTTACCACAGCGTGGGGGGCCTTTATATTCAGGTTTTGTCCAAGGGTTAGTTTATCTGCTTCTTGTGCTAACAGGGCCGTTGCTGCCAGGGCCCTTAGACACGGGGGCCAGGCTTTGGAAACCCCGTCTAGTTGTTTTGAGAGATAGGCCACTGGCCTTAGCCAGGGTCCCACAGTCTGGGTTAAAACTCCAACTGCATTTTTTCTCTTTCTGACACATAGGGTGTAAAGGGTTTTGTCAGGTCTGATAGCCCCAGGGCTGGGGCCTACGTTTTTCTTTTAACTCATGAAAAGCTTGTTGCTGTTTGTTGTAATAGATGTAGTTTATCCAATTTACATTTTTATTAACTGTCATCTACCAAAATATTGACTCAAATCCTGCCGCTATTTGATTTCAAGTTTTAAATTGATCTAGTATTCCCCGTGGGACTCCAATTGCGTCTAAATGGAAATGAGAGTCGAAAGACCCATAAGGGGCTTCTCTTGCTTTACGATGTCTTATTTTTCCTCCCTCTGGTTGATGGAATGCCAGGGTGAAAGGGATAGCCAATCGGACTAAAGTACAAGCGCCACTCCAGTTATTCGGCAGAGTGCCCAGTAAAGGTCCACCACAATACCACCACACATCCGCTCACATCCACTCAGGGATGAACAAGGGCTGGCTGATTGATAGGCTCTTGAAAATTTTTAAGCTCACTGCATCCCTTCAGGTTTCCAAGGAATGCTAAGTTTCCTCCCTGTCATGAGAGACACGAAGTGAACTTAGTATTGGGAGACGGCGGCTCGATGGCCCTCGGGGGCTGACCCGCAAGGCGCCAGACTTTCGGATACAGCAGAGAGAGCTTGGCACAACTTATTACTCCAGGCTGTAGAATCCTGGAGAAGAGCTACCATGCAGCCACACCTGGTCGACTGGAGGACCACCTTAGTGGAAAGGGGACAATCAGGACCTCTGGCCTGCCATGTGCACAAGCGTAACAGTTGCTTTTGTTTAACGTGCGGATGGAATATTTGATCCATTTCAACCAGGCATTTGCATCTTGGTATGCTGTCTTAATTGCCAAAGTTTGTTTTAAGTCTTTAACTAATATGAACTTCTAGTAAAATGAATGTATGATTTTGGGAAATTACAAAAACTGGTTGGGGCAGTCCATTCTTGCTCTTTAGTGGTCCACAGAATGTTGGACCAACTACGGCATAAAAGCTCTACATTGGGGAGCAAGACTCCTGGTTGACACTGGAGTCTTTATTGAAATTCCCCCGGATTAAATGGTCCTAATTTACTAATGCCCAGTCTGAGGAGAGTCAGGAGGGACAGAAGTACTTTTCTGAAGTAGAGAGCTGTCTTCGACTTGGCAAGTCCCCACAGGGTATAACAAGACAAGCATTAAATGCAATAGTTTGAGGTGAAATTGATTTGGTTGTGTTAATAACCAGATGGTCAGCAATAGAGCGAGGAAAGAAGAAAGAGTAATAGAATAGATAAAAGAGTTAAATATTTCTTAGCTTTAGTTTGGTAGGGTTTTCCCCTTGGACTGGGGCCCACGACTCCGGAGGGGGTGGAGCTTTGACTCGGGTGTGATGAGTCCATCCCTTTTCCACTGTAGGGACAGCAGTCTCGGTGGTTAGCAGCACAAGGTCGGGTCCTTCCTAGGCTGGCTTGTTTTCTTTCCTCCCTTTGTTTTCTTTCTTTCCTTTGATAAGAAAAACTTTTCCTTTGAAAAATTTGTTTTCTTTCCTCCCTTTGATAAGAAGGTGATCTTCAGGCTGGTGCTGGTTTACTGGAAATTCTAGGGCTGGCACCTGTGCTAAAAGGCTTTTAGTTTTGAGGGAAAGGAAAGTGGAAGACAAACCAAGTATATAATTTCTAAGAAATTGATTTTTTGTTTCAAATGTGGGGACATCAAGAGTGGACTTTATAGGCTTTGGTGCCTTTTTACTGAGAAATTTCCTTTACCACCTATTTTTATTAGTTTTTGGACCAAAGAAAGCCAAACACTGTTTTATATTTAATAATGCTTTCTGTATGATTTTTATACCAGATAAGCTAAATTTCACCTTTATATTAGTGTGCTATTAATGTTAAACTTAGTTTTAATAAAACTTTGTATACATATTTATTCAATTTTTAATGTCAGACCGTAAGGTAAGATTTTTATAGACTCTTTTTAACCTTTTATAATCTTTGTTAAAGAGCAAGTTAGTGCTTTAAGAAAAACCCATTGTGTTTTTACTTTAATGTCCAGTTCACAGAAAAACTGGATGATACCCCTTTAACTTTAGCTAATACGTTTACACACAGAATTTTTTTATAATTAATGTTTTAAAACTTGCTTAAACCTTCAAAACAATTTTTTTAACCTTTTAATCTAGGTAAAAATTTACATTCTTATGCCTTCTTATAATCCTTTTACCAAAGGTATATTTACTTTTCTTATACACCTTGTGTTAGCGCCTCCGTGTGAAAAGCCCACCAAACAGGCTTTGTGTGAGCAACAAGGCTGTTTATTTCACCTGGGTGCAGGCGGGCTGATTCTGAAAAGAGTCAGCAAAGGGTGGTGGATTATCATTAGTTCTTACAGGTTTGGGGTAGGCGGTTGGGTTAGGAGCAATGTTTTGCCGGCAGGGGGTGGATCTCACAAAGTACACTCTCAAGGGTGGGGAGAATTACAAAGAACCTTCTTAAGGGTGGGAGAGATTACAAAGTACATTGATCAGTTAGGATGGGGCAGAAACAAATCACAATGGTGGAATGTCATCAGTTAAGGCTATTTTCACTTCCTTTGTGGATCTTCAGTTGCTTCAGGCCATCTGGATGTATATGCAGGTCACGGGATATGATGGCTTAGCTTGGGCTCAGAGGGCTGACATTCCTGTCTTCTTATATTAATAAGAAAAGCAAAACAAAATAGTGGTGAAGTGTTGGAGCAGTGACAAATTTTGGGGGTGGTATGGAGAGATAATGGGCGATGTTTCTCAAGGCTGCTTCGAGCGGGATCAGGGGCGGTGTGGGAACCTACAGTGGGAGAGATTCAACTGAAGAAAGATTTTGGGGTTGTTAGAAGGAGCATTTGTCATATAGAATTACTGATGATGGCCTGGATGCGGTTTTATATGAATTGAGAAACTAAACGAAAGACACAAGGTCCGAATAAAAGAAGGAGAAAAATAGGTATTAAAGGACTAAGAATTGGGAGTACCCAGGACGTCCAATTAGAGAGTGTCCAAGGGGGTTCAATGTTATTGTTTGCTTGGTTGGCGAGCTTTTGGGCTCTATCCTTGAGTTTTTTTATGTTGTCATATAGCAGGCCAGATTGATTTAGGTAAAAACAACACTCTTCATTTAAAAATATACAGAGTCCTCCTTTTTCAGCAGTGAGTAAATCGCGGCCTTGGCCGTTCTGGAGGACAACTGCAGCTAAAGAGTTAACCTGGGCTTGGAGAACAGATAAAGTTTGTGATCTATCTGTAGTGCTAGCAGAGAAGTCATTAGAGAGGCTGCGGACTGTTGTGACAGAGGTTGAGATGCCTGCTATTCCAGTTCCAAGTGCAATACTGGAGGCAGAAAGTCCTAGACCAATAAGTAAAGGGATTAGTGGGATGACTCTTTTTTGTTGTGTTGATGTCATGAGGGGGACAGGCAGTTGTTCGTTCCCATCTGCAAACTGGATTTTGGAGGTAAGGAAGACTAGAGTACATGTGCCCATCCATTTGGCAGGTAGGCACATGTAGGTGGAAGAGCCACATAAAAAGAAGAGACCTTGTGTCAGGCAGAACTGGAAATGTAAAGTGAAAAGGTGAGAGGGTGTACTGAAAGAGGAATCCTGCATCCAGAATCCTAGCGATCCAGCAAGGGCAGCAGCCGTTAGAGGTTGTAATGGGGATTGATGGTGCAACTGCGTAGAGGGAGGGGTTTGGTTTTCATGGTGTATGAGAAAGCGCATAGTGTCTACAAGTAACCTTTCGCTGCTATTCATGGGGCAGGGTATAAGCAAGCAAGAGGAGGGGCTAGGAGGAGATTCAGACGAGCAGGGGAGGGTGGTAGCCAAGGATGGGGTGAGATGCAGGGTAGGTGTCTTCCTAAACAATAGTGACTGCCAATGTTTTTTAGTTTGTCAATAATGATAGAGGGCTTGTCAGTAATGCGAAGTTGGAATGCTCCCATCTGTTTGGTAATGTGTGTGGCTGGGTTCTGGAGACAAAGAGTAAAGGAACATTTGGACGGTGGAAGGTTGCCTAAAGGGATTCCAGCAGGCTGTTGTCGGGAGATGCATAAAGAAACGGCAACAGGGATAGTTGTTTGTGTGGTTGGGGTCCAAATATGGGAGGAGTGGAATTGACATAAGGAGAAAGATGCCGTAAGTAGATGCGGAGAAGTGTGGCAGCTCGTTGGTGTGAAATGTCTGGGGAGTTCTCACCAAATCTGTCTAGAAAATAAAGAAGTTCCTCAGGCGGGTAAAGATGAGGGTTATTAAAGGAGGTTCTGAGTTGCAGGGAGACGGGAGAGGTAGCCCAGTCAGCCTGTAGAGCAGGGATGGCTGTGTAAAAGCAGGAGGAAAGGGAAACGCGTAGCCAACAATTCTTTGCTAGAAAAGGATTGGAGGCAGTGAGGAGAGAGTGGGTGAGATTGATAGTATGCTGGAGGTAACTGGGGAGAGGTAGAGAGTGGCATAAGAATGGGAATGAGAATAAGAGTGAATATAAAAGTAAAGAATAGAACTTCATCAGGGTGGAAGTGTTGGAGGGTGCCCTGCCACCAAAGATCATCTATCCACTCCAAGCAGGAGTCAAGAGTGGCGGTTTGGGGATATCACCAGGAGATATCAGCTGTGATGTCTTGGAGAAACAATGTAAACTGGCAGTGTAAACAAGAGCAGGTCATTTATGAGTAGTTGAGAATGGTGAATAGGAGTATGACTAGACAGAAGATAGTAGGGATGACAGGTTTTTGGGGCACAGTCCAAGTAGTGGGGGTGACTGCGTAAAGCCCTGTTGCGAAGAGTAGGGTAAGGATGGATAGACCTAATAGAATGAAGGGATGTATTAGGCTCATAAGGGTTATTGTTCTTCAGAAATGCGAGTGAGTTTAAGGGAAGTAGGGGAGAGTACTTGCGACTTCCAGGAGGAAGAGGAGATATCGGACTGGCTGTCTGACGGACACAGCTTTATTCTGGAACGGTGAACCCAGTGGGGAGGGTTCTGCAGGCAGATGGTGGTTGGGGGTACTATAGATGTTTAAGTAGGGTCCGGTCCATCGAGGTTGTAGAGTTTGAGGGGTCAGATTATTAACAAGAACTGACCATCCAGCTAGGGTGTCTTCATGTGGCTGGGAATCTGGAGTAGGCAAGAGAAGATTAGCAGCCTGGCGAATTTCCTGTCTAGCCTGCTGAAAGACTGGAAGATAGTTGCCTAGAGGGCTGGTGTCTGGGATGAGGTTGGGGCTGAGCAAGAAAGTGCGTCCACATAAAAGTTTAAATGGACTGTACCGTGTAGCTTCTTGAGGACAGGCTCTAATTCTGAGAAGGGCAAGAGGTAGAAGTACTGTCCAGTCCTTTTTAAGCTGGAGGCTGAGCTTGGTGAGGTGTGTCTGTAAAAGACCATTAGTCCCTTCTACCTTTCCTGAAGATTGAGATGGTAAGGGATATGAAGGTTCCACTGAATACCAAGAGCCTGAGAAACTGCTTGGGTGATTTGACTAATAAAGGCCGGTCCGTTATCAGACTGTATAGAGGTGGGAAGGCCAAACCGAGGAATTATGTCTGACAGAAGAGAAGAAATGACTGCGGTGGCCTTCCCAGACCCTGTGGGAAAGGCCTCTACGCATCCAGTGAAAGCATCTATCCAGACCAAGAGGTATTTTAGTTTCCTGACTCGGGGCCTGTGAGTAAAGTCAATTTGCCGGTCCTGGGCAGGGGCAAATCCCCGCGCTTGATGTGTAGGGAGGGAGGGGGCCTGAACAATCCTTGAGGAGTAGTAGAATAGCAGATGGAACACTGAGAAGTGATTTCCTTGAGGATAGATTTCCACGATGGAAAGGAAATGAGAGGTTCTAAGAGACAGGCTAGCGGCTTGTAACCTACATGGAAGAGGTTGTGAAATGATGATAGAATAGAATGGGCCTGTGAGGCTGGAAGGAGATATTTTCCTTTGTCTAAGAACCATTTACATTGTGTGGGAAGAGATTGATAGGTGGAAGTTTCAGTGGGAGAGTAGGTAGGAGTGACCGATGAGAAGGAGAAAAACTGGCCGTGAGGGACAGAAGTTGGAAAACTAAGCTGCTTCTTTAGCTAACTTATCAGCATAAGTGTTGCCCTGAATGATGGGATCTGATGCCTTTTGATGGCTCTTGCAGTAAATGACTCCAGATTCCTTTGGAAGTAAAGCGACCTTGAGAAGAATTTTTATTAAAGAGGCATTAATGATGGAGGACCCTTACATAGTGAGGAAACCTCTCTCTGCCCATATAACAGCATGGTGGTGCATGCTGACTCTATGGAAGGCATAGAGTCAGTATAAATATTGACACGTACTCCTTCTGCAAGAGTGAGGGCTTGAGTTAAGGCAATGAGTTTGGCTTGCTGAGAGGTAGTGGAGGGGGGCAGAGTGGTAGCCTCAATGATAGGTGTGGAAGTTACTATAGCATAGCCTGCCTTTGCTGGTGAGTGGCGATTAGGCCTGGTGGAACTGCCATCAATAAACCAAGTGTGATCAGGGTGAGGAACAGGAAAGAAGGAAATATGGGGAAATTGAGTAAATGCTAGGTGGATTAGAGAGATACAGTCATGGGGGGTCAGGTGTGGTATCAGGAATAATGTGGGGGCTAGCCTAAAACAGTAAGGTCAAGTTGTTTGGACAGAAGGGCTGCAGGGGCCGTTCCTGGCTCTTGTGTAAGAATTCTGACTGCACAACCCTGCACTTTGGCTGTATGTAATGAAAAAGTGTTGGGATGAGTTAGGGAGAGCTAGTGTGGGAGCAGCTTCTAGGGCTGTTTTCAGGGAACGGAAAGAGGAGTGGCGAAAGGATTTAGGATCTGTGGGGTCAGCTGGGTTTGCTTTTGTGAGTTTATATGATGGTTTAGTCAGGATGGTAAAGCTAGGTATCCAAAGGCGGAGTATCTAACCATGCCTAGGAAGGAAAGGAGCTGTTGCTTTGTAGAAGGGGTCGGGGTTTGGGAGATTAGCTAGACACGATCAGCAGGGAGAGCACTGTGTTTTCATGAAGAATTAAGTCGAGATAGGTAAAGGATGAGGAAGAAATTTGGGCTTGACTGAAGTAACGGGGGGGGGGGGGGCTGTCCGTGAAGCCTTGTGGCAGTACAGCCCAGGTAATTTGCTGAGCCTGATGGGTGTCCGGGTCAGTCCAAGTGAAAATGAAGAGAGGCTGGGATGAAGGGTGCAAAGGAATAGTAAAGAAAGCATGTTTGAGATCCAGAACAGAATGGGTTATGTAGATTATGTACATATGTAGATATGTACATATCTACATAATAATATATGTAGAGGGGTTCTGGAGGGAGGTATTGAGGATAGAAGAGTATATGGCTTTGGCGCCACAGGGTGGATAGGCAAGACAATTTGGTTGATAAGGTGCAGATTCTGAAATTAACCTGTAAGGCTTGTCCAGTTTTTGGAACAGGTAAAATGGGGGAATTATAAGGAGTGTTTATGGGTTTTAAAAGGCCATGCTATAACAGGCGAGTGATAACAGGCTTTAATCCTTTTAAAGTGTGCTGTGGGATGGGATATTGGCATTGAGTGGGGTAAGAGTGATTAGGTTTTAATGGGATGGTAAGGGGTGCATGATTGGTTGCCAAGGTGGGAGTAGAGGTGTCCTATACTTGTGGATTAAGGTGGGGAGATCCAAGGGGAGGGTGTGAAGGCGGCTTTGAACTGGAGAAAAGGGTGGCAATGAGGTGTGGTTGTAGGCTAGGAATAGTCAGGGAAGCAGATAATTTAGTTAAAATGTCTCAATCTAGTAAGGGATCTGGGCAGGTGGGGATAACTAAAAAGGGGTGCATAAAAGAATGTTGTCCAAGTTGGCACCAGAGTTGGGGAATTTAAGAGGTTTAGAAGCCTGGCCGCCAATACCCACAACAGTTACGGAGGCAAGGGAAACAGGCCCTTGAAAAAAAGGTTAATGTGGAGTGGGTAGCCTCTGTATTGATTAAGAAAGGGACAGACTTATCCTCCACTGTAAGAGTTACCCAAAGTGTCTGTGATGGTCCAGGGGCTCCCGAGGCGATGGGCAGCGTCAGTCTTCAGCCACTAAGCCGAGGAGATCTGGGAAGGAGTTGGCCAAGGAACGTTGGGTTTGGGCTCCAGGTGCTTTAGGAGCAGCGGCGATGTGAGTCGGACAGTCCGACCTCCAGTGGGGGCGCGCACAGACAGGGCACAGCTTAGGAGGAATCCCAGGCTGCGGGCATTCCTTGGCCCAGTGGCCAGGCTTTTGGCATTTGAAGCAAGGCCCACGAGGATGTTTTGAAGGAGCCCCTGGGAGCTGTGGCTTGGATGTTCTGAAGTTCTTGTATGCTGGAGACGTGGTTGTGGGCTGTCTTACAGCAGAGGCGAGTAGCTGTAACTCAGAAATGCGTTGCTGTCTGGCTACCTCCTATTATTGTACACCTTGAAGGTGAGGTTGATTAATTCCTGTTGTGGGGTATGAGGGCTGGATTCCAGTTTTTGAATCTTTTTTCTAACATCAGGAGCTGACTGGGTGATAAAATGCATATTAAGAATAAGGCGGCCTCCTGGCCCCTCTGGGTCTAGGGCGGTAAAGCGTCTAAGGGTTACTGCCAAGTGGGCCATGAACTGGGCTGGGTTTTCATCTTCACCTCGGGTAGTTTCTTGTTTGTCATAATTAACAGCTTTGTAAGCTGCCTTTTTAAGCCCTTCAACTAGGCAGGAAACCATGTAATCTCGCGTAGCTATACCTGGGGAATCTGCCTGGTAGTTCCACTGGGGATCTTCTCGGGGAACTGCTCTGATGCCCTCCTGGAGGTCTGGCTCGTGAAGCCGGTGGTTGTCAGTGTGAGATTGGGCTAGAGAAAAAACTCTTTCCCATTTATCTGGGGAGAGGGTAGAAGTTAGGATGACATTTCAGTCACTCCAGGTTAAACTGTAGGACAGAGTTAGATATCGGAATTCCTGTATGTATTTAGTGGGGTCTGATGAGAAAGAGCCTAAACGCTGGCTGATTTGGGAAAGGTCTGATAGAGAAAAAGGCACATGTACCCTGACATATGCCTTCAGCTCCAGCCACCTCTCTATGAGGAAATTGTTGGGCAGATGGGGGAGAGCTGGTCGCAGAAAGAAACTGTAAACCGGACCGGGTGTGGGAGGGAGGTAATAGAAGGGTTATAGGGTGGGGAGCAGAGGCTGAAGAAGAGCTGGAGCCTGATCAGCCTGGCGGGGAGCGAGCTGAGGAGGAGCAGCCTGGGGAGGAGGTGAGGGGTCAGATGGGTCAGCAGAAAAGGAAGATTCACAAGACTCAGCAACGCTCGAGGTTGGGACTGAAGGGACAGGCGGGAGGGAAAGGAGGAGGATTTGGGATGAGTCACAGTGGGAACAGAGACTAGGGAGGGAACGAAGTCTGAAAAATGCCTGGACGTAAGGCACCTCAGACTATTTGCCCATTTTTCGACAAAAATTATCTAGGTCTTGCAGGATGGAGAAATCAAAAGTGCCATTTTCTGGCCATTTAGAACCATTGTCGAGTTCGTACTGGGGCCAAGCGGTGTTGCAGAAGAAAATAAGATGCTTAGATTTTAGGTCAAGTGAGAGTTGAAGAGGTTTTAAGTTCTTGAGAACACAGGCTAAGGGAGAAGAAGGAGGAATGGAGGGTGAAAGGTTGCCCACAGTGAAGGAGGCCAGTTTAAAGAGAAGGGTAGAGACACGGAGAAGGGGGGTAGGGAGCAGCCGTGGGCTGCAATGTGGGTGAGCAGCCAAAGCAGGTTGTCCCCGCAATTGACTTGCCACCAAGGGAATGTGGGTGAATGACCAAGGCAGGCATCCCCACAGTGATTAGACACCAGTGGAGTGTGGGTGAATAATCAGGCAGGCGTCCCTGCAGTCATTAAACACCAGGGGAAGACTGTCTTGCCGAGTCCGTGACTGGCGCCGGAGTTTTGGGTCCACGGATAAAATATGTCTCCTTTGTCTCTACTAGAGAGGAAAAAGAACTGGAATTGGAAGGACAGGGAGACTGAAGGGTAGCGAGAGAGGCTGGAGAAGAGAGTGAAAAGACCACTTACCCGATTTGAAATTCATGAGATGTTCCTTGGGCTGGTTGGTCTGAGAACCCGAGGTTGTACGTGGATCTCCTCATGGAGTGAGGATGAGGACAGGGGACCGGTCTCTGTAAGGAGTACTCCCGTCCCGGATCTTTGGTACCAAATGTCACGCACGTCACACGCATCCGTGTGAAGAGACCACCAAACAGGCTTTGTGTGAGCAACAAGGCTGTTTATTTCACCTGGGTGCAGGCGGGCTGAGTCCAAAAAGAGAGTCAGCAAAGTGTGGTGGGATTATCATTAGTTCTTGTAGGTTTGGGATAGGCGGTGGAGTTAGGAGCAATGTTTTGCAGGCAGGGGGTGGATCTCACAAAGTACATTCTCAAGGGTGGGATTACAAAGAATTACGAAGAACCTTCTTAAGGGTGGGAGAGATTACAAAGTACATTGATCAGTTAGGATGGGGCAGAAACAAATCACAATGGTGGAATGTCATCAGTTAAGGCTATTTTCACTTCCTTTGTGGATCTTCAGTTGCTTCAGGCCATCTGGATGTATACGTGCAGGTCCCTGGGGATATGATGGCTTAGCTTGGGCTCAGAGGCCTGACACTTGCACATAAACTGTTTTTTTTTTCTTTCAATAGTTTTACATTTAGGAGGCCTAGTTACTTTTAAATTATACAACATTTCTTGCATAATTTTTTATAACATTTTTCTCTTTCACGACTTTCGCAGACAATTCTTCGACATGCCTCAACTTTCTGACTTATTACAAACATTTCTTTCTTTAAACAACCAGTTAATTTATTTCAGGACAAGAATTTACCATATAACACTCTTTTTATGTAAATTCTGCCCCTTCTTTTTTTTTTTCCTGAAGATGATAACCATTCTTTTCCAAAGCGAACTTCTTTTATGTCTGTGGACTAGACTGTCTGAGGCCACAAGATCAGAAATTACTATAATACATGTTACACTGTTAACTTTTAGCAAACTTTACTTTTGTTGAAAACCTTGTAAGCTTGGGATTTTAATTATCCTTTGCTATTAGTAAGACCTCGTTTTGTCAAAATTAACTTAGAATTCGTATAGATGGCTTTTTTTTTTTCCTTTAATTACCTGGGAGGAACCATAGATCATCCTTTCCTGAAGGGAGTTCCTCCTAGGTATGGTAGGGCCTTTGTACGGTAATTAAGATTTAGATCCCCTGTTAGGAAACCTGCTGGGTTAAGGGAATTTTCAGTAGTTAAAGTTAAATCATCCTTTTTTTTTTTTCCTTAGGCTACTTCTGAACTGGTGAGGTGTGCTCACAATGAGGTTTCCTGTAAAAGTTATTTTTTTACTTTTTTCTGTTAGCAAAGCAGTTGCAGCTACAGATTGAATGCATTTGAGCCATCCACGGGTTACTGGGTTAAGGATTTTTGATGGGAAGGCCTCAGTGCTTTCGGGATATGCCCTTGTTTACACTGACAACAAAGTGGTATTGGAGTGTTACAGGGTTACAGAGAATACTTTCAATTATCAATTATAGGTTTTAAATTTATCTTGGCTTTTAAAGGAATAGGGTACAGTGTTGTTGTTGTTTCTAACTACTTGTATATATATCTCTTTTTTTCTTTTTTTCCTCTTGATTTTCTGTCTCTTTCTCTTTGACTTTCCTTTTGCCTCTGTCTCTTTCTCTCTCTCTCTCTGACTCCCTCTTTGTCTGTCTCTTCCTCTTTCTCTCTCTGCTGGTCTTTCCTTGCCTCTGCCAGCCACTTATGCTGCTGTTCTCTCAACCACTGTTGGGGCGGGCGGGTGGGGAGTCTAAAACCAGCTGTAACCAAGTGTCTGTGTACGGGAACTGGTGTGGGTACCCTGGCTTACAGGTTACCTTGTGCCATACCTTTGAAACAAGGGACCTGTCCAGGCTTCACTCTGATGGCCAACCTACCTCTAATGCTGGCCAGTCTATCTTACACAAAGTTTTAAGTTTTCCTGGTGTCATAGTACTCCATAGTCTCCCTTAAATCCTTTCCTGAAATTTTTCAGCATAGTTCCTAGTGGGGTGGTCTTACTTTGTGCTTGACCCATGCTTCTTCAAGACAAAACATTACGCTCACCCTACACGCATACCACAAAACAAAGAACAGGTAAAAAGGGCACACACACACTTTTACAGTTTACACCAAACCAAAATCAAAACCAAAATCAGAGTATCAGGATATCCAAGTCAGGTCAAAACCAAAACCAAAGTATCAAGCAATCCAAGTCAAGTCAAAAACAAAAACCAGAGTGCCAGTACAGGCACGCCGTGGGTGATCAGGCCACGCTTCCCCTCAAATGGAGTGGGCAAGTTCCAAAGACCAGTCTTACCAAGTTTCAGATGTCTGGACTCCAAGTGGCAGTTCCTTCCCGGTGTTCAGCCACTGCGTTGATCCTCCTCGGGGGCCTGCTACACACTGCTCTGGCCAGGCATTCCACTGGGGCAATTGCCTGCCTGAGAGCGCTCTCAGGATCCATGTCGCTCAAGCTGGCTGGAGTCCTCCACAGGGATGCTCCACAGGGCAGGCCTAAGCCGTCTGAGGGGCTGCCTCAACCATCCATTAATCACCTAGATTCCTGGTCAGGGAACCAAGAAATGTAGCAGGACAAGCTGCAGAGAAAACCCCTCAGACACGAGTTAAAGAAGGGCTTTATTCAGCCGGGCGCTTCGGCAAGACTCATGTCTCCAACAACTGAGCTCCCCGAGTGAGCAATTCCTGTCCCTTTTAAGGGCTCACAACTCTTAAGGGGTCTGCGTGAGAGGGTCGTGATTGATTGAGCAAGCAGGGGGTACGTGACTGGGGGCTGCATGCACCCGTAATTAGAACGGAACAGAACAGGACAGGGATTTTCACGGTGCTTTTCTATATAATGTCTGTAATCTATAGATAGCATCACTGATTAGGTCAGGCGTCGATCTTTAACTACCAGGCCCAGGGTGTGGTGCAGGCTGTCTGCTTGTGGATTTCATTTCTGCCTTTTAGTTTTTACTTCTCTCTTTGGAGGCAGAAATTGGGCGTAAGACAATATGTGGGGTGGTCTCCTCCCTTAAGAGCACTGACAGATATTTCACAGACGAGGAAACTGAAGCTTAGAGAGGTCGAGCCACTTGCCCATGGCTGTAGAACTGGCAAATGGGAGAGCCAGGACCCACATTCAGGCCTGTCTGGGCTGGGCTGTGTGTCAGCTTTGTTGGGTTCCAGAGTGGTCAGGGTGAAGGAGCCCTTGGATTTGGTAATTAGGAGTCACTCATGGACCTGTGGCGATGGGGCAAAGATCGTGGGTTCTGAGGAAGTGGCTGTCCTCTGGGTTGAGGTTCTGTTGCGCTTCAGGGCACAGGTAGCAGTGATCATGAAGGAATACTGGGGAAGGTAGGACCCTTATAGTAAGTTTAGGTGTGAGGGGAAGCACAGCAGGGCTGAAGGCGTTTTTTATGGGCTGTGGAGCACCTGAGCAGGGGCAGCCTGGTGGAGCACTTGCTGGACCCAGGGCCCCTCCAGTCTCTCCTGCTTCCCCCTGCTTTGGCCCCAGGTTGCTTTCGCATACACCCCCACCTCCTCAAAAGGGCTATCCCCAGCATATCCTGCAGAGAGGGTGATTAGGTGTGACTTCTGACCAAAGTTGCTCTGGTTGGGGGGGGGGGGTGGGGGGGAAATGCACTTTCCTGGCGCTTGTTTTTCCAGCTGGAAACGGGATTCGTAATGGTAATGGTTGAACTTAATGAACGTGATAGGATGAGAATAATGCAGAATGCAATATAAATGCTAATCATGGCTTGGATTGTTACTCAGCTCGAGGCTCAGGTTTTCTCCAGCCACCTCCCCAGTTATGCAACCTTCACACTTTATGTATCAAATCAGAGGTGTTTTCCTTCAGCACACTAGTGCCTGTGTGCATGGCTAGACTTGGGTGGCTTTACCTACTTGGCCCTGAGCTGACATTTTCTTCCCAATATTTATCACTGGAAGTTTGTTTCTAAATTGGAATTGCCTGAACATACAGGAGTAACTGAAATAGCTCAGGGCCGTCTCGGTTAACACATGCACAAAGTCTCATAACTATTCATGAAAGGCAAATAATTTGCACACACAATAAGGTCCTTATTTTATTTTTTTTTGAGACAGGGTCTCACTCTGTCACCCAGGTTGGAGTGCAGTGGTGCAATCATAGCTCACTGCAGCCTCAAACTCCCAGGCTCAAGCAATCCTCATACCTCAGCCTCCCAGGTAGCTGGGATTACAGGTGTGCACACCTAATTTTTTCAGTCAGGTCTCAAAGAGAAGGAGATAATGATCAGTTGTGAAGATTTTCAGGTAAATCACCACCAAGGTAGGGCTGAAAGCAGAAAGAACTCTGCAGCAGGGAACTGTCCAGGGAGGCGGGTATGAGTGGGAGTGAGGATGAATAAAGGGTTGGGAGGGGGAAGGTCAGGGTTGGTGATGAGGCATCCATGGCGGAAACGGGAACTGCAGGGTGAGGTGAGGCTGGCGCAGGGCAGACAAAGTGAGTCTTCCGGTGCAGGCCAGCATGCCTCCTCTTCTTGCTGTGGTTCTAGACCACAGGTTTCTCGCCTGGAAGAACCTTTCCTTTTTGGAAGAGAAAATGCAGTTTTCCCCCTGAAGGGGCATTTTTAGCACTCCAACGTCAGTGGGCTCCTGGAAGGGTTACTGTTTATCTCTTACCCCGCAAGTGGACTCAGGGGTGAAGTTAGTTAGCTCCTACCTGTACCCCGTTAGCTGCAGCCCCGCTGTGTCCAGTGAAGTCATTTCAGGCAGGGCATGGGGGACTCCTTCTGAGGCAGAGGTGTAAGCGTTTCAGTCCCAGATCGGCTACAGGGAGTGGCGCTCAGCTCCACTGTGGAGTCGCCAGGATGCTGTCATTTTGTCCAGAGGAAAAGTCCACCGTCTCACATGTGAAGGCAGAGCCTGTTTTCTGTGTGCACAGTCTGAACACACTACTTCATGGGTGCTTCTAAAGGACATTTCCACAAAGAACACAAACGATTCCCAAAAGCCTAGCTGATGTCTATGTGCCATAAATAGAAGCTCTGCCCCCAGAGAGAAGAGTTCTTTAGCAGCAAAACTCCAGTTTATTAAGACAGGTGTGACAAGTAAAATAAAATTCATTTTTTTTTTTTTTGCCTCTGCTAGGCCAGTATATTTCTGTACAAACAAGATAATGCAAGATTTGACAGTTAAGGCTTTGAAGCACAGCACACAAAATGAAACAATTTAAAACCCCTTCATAAAAATGGGAAAAATTCCCAGGCCAAAGGAAAAAAAAAGCCTTCACAGAAAGAGACTGACACTCGACTCCCCCCCTGCTGAGGTGTGGCCAGTGAGTCTGGGTGTGAGCTGCCACCTGACAGCCAGCTCTGAGGTATCAAAGGAGCTCCGAGTGCAAGTTGAAGACTTCAGCAAGCCAGCCCCCGGCCCCCACACCCGTTCATAGGCAGTCGGAATGCAGATCTCGGTGGCAGGTGGCTCTGCACAGTCCAGAGTGATAAAACAATCACAGATGACTAAATGCCAGGGACTGTGTGAAGTCAGTTACTGCCTGCAGTCTGGGTCACTCTGCCCTTCATCAGACACTGGTGGCACCATGACAGTGAGGAGAACGGAGCACAGTTCCTTCCGTGCCTCCTGCCGGCGCTGCTCAAGGTGTGCATGGCTGAGTCCTGGACAAGCATTTTGTATTTTTGTAGTTCTCACTCCTTAGGCCCAATTTCAAGTTAAGTCGTTAACTCATTTAGAATGAATATTAAGGATACTGCCTCTAACATATCAATAGCTGTGCTGAGCTGTCTAGGAAGAGAAATTAGTCCAGAGAGGTCCTAAGTATCAAAGCAGATTTTGTAAAGAAAAAAGGCAACACGTCAGTGAGAAAAGCAGCACAAGATCCGGGCTCGGGGACTCTTTTCCCTCTTTCCGAAACATAACTGGTTTTGTATGTGCTCTGAGTCCTAGTTTTTATGTCTTGGCTGAGAACCACAGAAAGGACTAGATATTCATACATGCGAGAGCACACTGAGACTGCATGTTTATTTGGCATAATGCTAGAAAAAAGTCCGCAAAGAACTGCCAGAACCAGGCCTGTGACCAAGTTTACAGTCATCTAGTTTCTCTCACAATTTCAAAATGTCAGATCAGAAGAATCTTTGGCGATTAATCCACTCTCCATTTTATGCGTGAGAAAACCAAGGCCCTGATGGTGTCCCTGGTCCAAGTCCAGTGCCTTTCACAATGAGGCTTTTGGCTCTTACCCTCTGAAGTGGGGCAGTGGCTCACTGTGAGGGGAGAGGGTCAGATCTTGTTAGTTTGATCTTAAGGCACTCACAAAATGCCCTGATTTTTCTTGTCTTTGTGAGAAGACAAAAAACAGTCTGGTAGTTTTTCACATCATCGTGGGAACCCAGAAATATATGTACAGTACTCAGAATTTAAGGGAATGGAAGAAAGAAGAAAATGAGATTCTCTTTTGTGAGTACAGAATTAGAAGAAAAAAAAAAAGAGGGGTGGGCAGTGCCAGAGGCGAACGGGCACAGGTCATTACTGCGTGTGTGGCTGAGCTACAAGTCTCCTGGAATGTAAACAATGTTGGTTTATTTCCAATTTCATCTAATCTTCATTGTCATCTCTCAATGAACAGTACTCATAAAATGATGAGAAAGTTTCAGAACATGTATGTACATGGTTCAGAAACAGCTCGGCTTTCAAAAAGCTGTCAGCTCAGGTAGCACGCCTTGGTCTTGAATTCGGTGCTACGCTGACAGCTCTCCTTCTGAATGCAAAGGCACCAGTCCATGATCAAGTCCACGCCGCAGACGAGGAGAGAGGAGTCTTCTCTCCAAAGTCATCCAAAGATAGCTGAGGAAATAATTCTATCTCATTTCTCGATTCCATTTCAGCACAGCAGCTGTTTTCCACACTGAGACACAGCTGGCGAGCAGTATCTCTTCTGGGAACTGAGATGCCATTTCAGGAAGAATTTCACTTTCTTTAGTTTGCATGTAACTTACGAGAGTGTCTCTCAGGCTGAAAAACCAAAGAAGAGAGCATTTAAAACAGTCTCCTCAGCATGGTGGCTCACGTGTGTAAGCCCAGCACTGTGTGGCTCACGTGTGTAAGCCCAGCACTGTGGGAGGCTGAGGTGGGTGGGTCAGTGGAGGTCAGGAGTTCAAGACCAGCCTGGGCAACATGGCGAAACCCTGTCTCTAGCAAAAATACAAAAATTAGCTGGGCACGTGGTGGTGTATGCCTATAGTCCGAAGCTACTCAGGAGGCTGAGGTGGGAGGACCACTTGAGTCCAGGAGGTGGAGGCTACAGCGAGCTGAGATTGCACAACTGCACTCCAGCCTGGGCCACAGTGAGATCCTGTCTCAAAAAAAAAGGCTCCCATATAACATAAGGGGACCAATCAGTCCCCTCATGTTACTTTTTCCCGTTGTCATCAGCAGAACCAAAATGCTCGTTAAGACTTAAAATCCTAGGCCAGGCGCAGTGGCTCACGCCTATAATCCTAGCACTTTGGGAGGCTGAGGCAGGTGGATCACTTGAAGTCAGGAGTTCGAGACCAGCCTAGCCAACATGGAGAAACCCTGTCTCTAGTAAAAATACAAAAATTAGCCAGGCATGGCGGTGGGTGCCTGTAATCCCAGCTACTCGGGAGGCTGAGGCAGGAAAATCACTTGAACCCAGGAGGTGGAGCTTGCAGTGAGCCGAGATTGCACCACTGCACTCCAGCCTGGGCGACAGAGCGAGAAAAAAAAAAAACCCAGAAATCCTGAGGAGCAGTTTAAGGTCAATGACCTGAGCTCCTGAACTGGGACTAGCATCCTGGGTTCAAGGCTCTGGTGCCTGACTGCTGCTTCCCACATGCAGTACACAAACACGACAGAAGCCCACGGAGCAAGCCCTGTGCTGGCCCCTTCACATGACTTTAGGCCCTCTAGCAAGGTGATGTTTATTTACAGGGTTGCATAAACAAGGCCTCACCATTCAAAAAACCTTGTATTCTATTACATGTTTCACATTAACAAAGACTGGAAATTCTCTAGGAAAGGGATCTTTTTTATCTACATGAAAAGCACAGGCTAGTAAAGACTTGTTGAAAAAGTTGAAAGAACATAAATGTATATGGTATATGCCACATAGCATAATGGAGGAAGATAGCAAATAGGAAACATATTGGTGAGGAAGACTGGAGTTTGATGATCTAGTCAGGAAAACATCAAGTTAAATCCTTACTTTACACCTAAACATAAACTGGTGAATAAAACAAGTATGTGAAAGCACAAGAAGAGAGAGGACAGGCCGGGCGCAGTGGCTCACGCCTGTAATCCTAGCACTTTGGGAGGCCGAGACGGGCAGATCACTTGAGGTCAGGAGATCGAGACCAGCCTGGTCAACATGGTGAAACCCGTCTCTACTAAAAGTACAAAAAAATTAGCCGGGCAGGTGCATGCCTGTAGTCCCAGCTACTCGGGAGGCTGAGGCAGGAGAATCGCTTGAACCCAGGAGGCAGAGGTTGCAGTGAGCTAAGATGACACCATTGCACTCTAGCCTGGATGACACAGCAAGACTCCATCTCAAAAAAAAAAAAAAAAAAAAAAAAAAAAGGCTAGTTTATAATCCTGGGATAAGGAAGATCCTAGTAAGTGTTTTTGTATAGAGACCCTTTATAGGAAAATTCTGTCAGATTTGACTTCATAAAATTAAAGGCTGAAATAGAGCACTGTGGCACACGGCAGAGAAGATGAACCCCTGTTCTATGCAAAGAGCTCTCACAACCATTACAGAGACAAAGCGCAAAAGAAAAAGATACGAAGAGGTAATTTAGGCTGGGTGTGGTGGCCAAAGCTTGTGAATCACTTGAGGTCAGGAGCTCGAGACCAGCCTGGCCACGTGGAGAAACCCCGTCTCTGTACTAAAATAGAAAAAATTAGCTGGGCGTGATGGTTGGCACCTGTAATCCCAGCTACTAGGGAGGCTAAGGCAGGAGAATCGATTGAACCCAGAAGGCAGCGGTTGCACTAAGCCAAGATTGCGCCACTGCACTCCAGCTTGGGTGGGAGTGAGACACGGTCTCAAAAAATAAAACATAAAGGCAATTCAGAGGATGATATACAAATGGGTGATAAATATAAAAAACATGTTCAGCCTCACGGTAAATGGGGAAATACAACTGAAAATGAGATACCATTTTGGCCTTTAGATTGGCAACTATGTAAAAGATGGATAATATCCAATGTTGAGTATTCTCATACACTCTTTATACATTGGTATAGCTTTTTCTATTCTTTTTTTTGTTTGTTTTTGAGATGAAGTCTCCCTCTGTTGCCCAGGCTGGAGTGCAGTGGTGCGATCTCAGCTCACTGCAATCTCCACCTCCCAGGTTAAAGCAATTCTCCTGCCTCAGCCTCCTGAGTAGGTGGGACTGCAGGTGTGTACCACCATGCCTGGCTAATTTTTGTATTTTTAGTAGAAACAGAGTTTCACCAGTTGGCCAGGCTGGTCTTGAACTCCTGACCTCAGGTGATCCACCCACCTCGGCCTCCCAAAGTGCTGGGATTACAGGGTAAGCCTCCACACCCGGCCTAGGATAGCTTTTTCTATCAAATTTAAAATGTACCTCTCTTTGACATAGTCTACTTGTTATAAAATTAGAATATATGACTTTTAGGCTGGGTGTAGTGGCTCACGCCTTTTCATTCTAGCACTTTGAGAGGCCAAAGCGGGCAGATCATTTCAGGCCAGGAGTTCGAGACCAGCCTGGCCAACACAGTGAAACTCTGTCTCTACTAAAAATACAAAAATTAGCCAGGCATGGTGGTACACGCCTGTAGTCCCAGCTATTTGGGAAGCTGAGGCATGAGACTCGCTTGAACCTGGGAGGCAGAGGTTGCAGTGAGCCAAGGTTGCAGTGAGTTGAGATTACTCCACTGCACTCCAGCCTGGGTAACAGGGCAAGACTCTTGTCTGAAAAACACTTGTGTAATTGCTTAAAGAAAACCCAGTAGAGATTAAAACCAAAAAGCCAGTCCTCAGGTGCCCTGGTAATGACAAAAAGCAGGAAATGGGATTCTGTGGTAAGAAAAGAACTATTTTTGTGTCTATAGAAGATCACAGGAGAGACAGCACAACATTGTGTCTGCCCCGCCCCATAGGTGTGCAAATCCATACCTCCACTGAGGGCGGAAGCGCTCCTCGGTTTGGGTTTGGGGGTTCTTTAGTTTCAAGATTATCATTTCGTGCAGCTCTAGCAGGAAGGCGTCTAGGCCAGTCTGATTTAGGAATGTGCTGAGGAGCTTAGCATTTTCCGGGCTCAGATCCGCTTTGTACCTTGAACTGATTTCCCCAAATGGCTCCTAAAACGACGGAAGAGCAAATGAAGCATTAAAGCCTGCAGGGAGAAGGGAGCGCAGTCCCTCTGTCCAGCAGAGAGGAAGAGACCAGACTTACTTTGTGCAGCCGCAGCAGCTGTTCAGACTTATGAGCAGACAGGAACTGCCAGAGGGCAATGGTGTGTTTTAACTGGCATCTGTTTAAGGCCTGCAGAAGGAATAGAATTCCTGAGTGGGGGCTGAGGTCTCACACCCCCACTCATGTCGTGCACCAGGGAGCCTGAGTGCTCTCCACACAGGCATTCTTCTCTTCGTTCTGCCCTGTACTAATGTGATCTCCCTCCTTGTGAAGGCCATCTCTGTCCTATCTACCAGTTCCCTCCTGCGGCACCTCACAGCCCGCTCACATCACGCTGTTTGCAGGGGCCTCATGTACTCAGTCACATTTGGGCTCTATCTAGACTGCTGGCATTTCTAGCGCGTGTCTGTCTCTACTGTCCCTGGTGTGTCCTGTTTATGCTGGACTGACTGGGTGAGCAGTTGTTCTTGTCTCCCCATCCTTTTCAGGAGCGCCTAGAGTGGCACTCCCTGAATGCTCCTATCCCTCGCGGGAAGCAGGAGACCAGGGTGAGGGGCTGTGCTGATTTCCTTTTCGGTGTGAGACCCACCTTTAACACGTGAATCGTCTGATCACCCATTTGCAGGATGTCTTGAGTATACACATTCAGCTGCATGTTTGGATCCCCACCAGCTGTGCTCAGAAACCCCAGAGTGACTTCTACGACAGACAGCACTTCACAGGCATCGCTGTAGGACTGCAGCTGTCCACTGATGGCACTAATGACCGAGCTGGGGAGGGAGTCCTGGGAAATGAAAAGCAGGAGAGGGATGTCTGTGGGCTGGGTTTCTGGCATCTCACCACCTGGTAAGAGAGCCGAGCCCCTTCACTGCCCAAGCCACATGCGGGGGGCCAACTCTCTAACAGCTGACACTTGGGCGCACGGTGTGCAGGCAGTTCCTGGAGGCCATGGAGACACACAGGTCTACCTATCAGTACCCGCATGCGGAGAGCAGGAACAAATCGGTTCCATGGACTTCCCGCTTCAGCAGGCATGGCCATGCATCAACATCATTCCTAAGAATCAAACCCACAAGATGTCAATCTGCTTTTACTCTACAAGAAAACTTGCTGATTTGCTGTCTTGCTTGCTCTCTGTAAGGGAGGCCGCAGAAACTGTGGGCTCACAGCAAACACCCGGGGCAAGGCTGGAGTAGGCCTAACACGGAGGGAAACACACTGAGAAGGCAGAAAGCCCCGTGCACAGGATCAGGTTTATCGGGATCACCTGTGCCATTTTGTTCTTGATGTCCATAAAGAGATGTTCATAGTTCCAGTCGTGTCTGTACACCAGAGTGGGTATTCCCTAAATTGGGAAAGAAAAAAGTTTTTTAAAATTAAATCCATCGTGGACATTTCCAGCAGATGACAAACAGAATCTGCAGCCGGAAAACTGCAGCGTAGTGCCGCGCTGCCCTGTGTATCCCTTGGCTAAGAGCGCCCCTCTCCGTCATTAACCCACCATCTATGGAAATAGTAACACAACCGGGAATCCAGCGGAGTCCTCACAGCCAATTACATGACAAGATATTGTCACATCATCGTGGCCTGCTTCGCCACAGGAGGCGCTAGGGCAACAGGTATTTGTGCATATCCCATTCATTTATTCATTCAGCCACTAAAGGCACAGACCATGCACAGGCAGTCACTCTGCCAGAGGAAATGGCTGTGAGAATGAATTAAAAACAGCCTTTGGGAGGCAGAGACGGGCAGATCACGAAGTCAAGAGATCGAGACCATCCTGGCTAACATGGTGAAACCCCGTCTCTACTAAAAATACAAAAAAATTAGCCGGGCATGGTGGCGGGCGCCTGTAGTCCCAGCTACTCGGGAGGCTGCGGCAGGAGAATGGCATGAGTGAACCCGGGAGGTGGAGCTTGCAGCAAGCTGAGATTGCGCCACTGCAATCCAGCCTGGGTGACAGAGCGAGACTCCGTCTCAAAAAAAAAAAAAAAAAAAAAAAATCCATGGGCTCTCACAGTTCCTGGCCCAGTTGCGGGTGGTACCGTACATAAGTACAGTAGATATGACTGCAGCTGGAAGGAACAAGTGCGTCCAGTCAAAGAACAGAGATGGGAAAGTGCCTGCTGTGTGGCTTCAGTGCATGAGGTCACGGGATGCAGTTCAGGGAAATGGGCTAAGTGGCTGGAGGCAGGGCTGGAAGGTTGGGCTGGGCCGAGCTACAGGGCCTCCCATACCAGACAACAGAGTGTCGGCTTTATCCCATATGCCATGAGAGGCCAGGCAGGTCCATCCGGCACAGGATGAAGAGAGCCAGATGTGGGTTTTAGGCCGTGGACTGAAGAACCTGGAGGTGGGCACCAGTTAGGAGTGGCTAGCAGTCCAACGTACAGGATGCTTTTAACTACAGGGTGGGCTTTGGCAGTCAGGTGAGGACACACAGAAGGCACAGCTAATGGCATCTGCTGGCAGGTTACCCATGGAGGCTGAAGGAAGAGGGGCTGTGGGGGTGGTGGTGCCATTAACTGGTAGAATCAAGACCTCAACAATCAGCTGGGTGCAGTGGCTCACGCCTATAATCCCAGCACTTTGGGAGGCCTAGGCGGGTGGATCCCTTGATCCCAAGAGTTCGAGACCAGCCGGGCAACGTGGTGAAGCCCCATCTCTACCAAAAAATACACAAATTAGCTGGGCATGGTGGTGCACACTTGTGATCTCAGCTATTTGGGAAGCTGATGTGAGAGGATCGCTTGAGCCCAGAGGTGGAGGCTTGGCACCACTGCCCTGCAGCCTCGGTGACAGAGTGAGACCCTGTTTCAAAAAAAGACCTCAACAGTTCCTTGGGGGACTGAGGTGCAGATGGCCCTGCAGGAGAGGGCTCAGGAGAGCCCTGCGGCCCGGAGATACAGGTGGCGTGGTGGCCTCGGGAGCTGCAGGTGTGAGGGAGGAGATACAGACCAGACTGCAGGGTGAGGTGCTGCTTCCCTCTCTCGAGAAACACACCAAGGGCTGCTTGTTCACAACAGACACACCAAATGAGCAGCAGTGGCAGGAGTCAGCCCTACCTTGAGGCTCAGCCGGGGCTTGCCCTGGAGGAAGCGGCTGACGATCTGCCGCTGAATCTTCTCCAGATCGAACTCCTGCACGGTCTCTCTGCCCTCCTCCACCTGGTACTGGCAGTTGGAGAGAATCAGTGGAGTCAGGTCCCGCTCCACTTCATAACTGATGACATGCAGTTCAGTGACCTCGGCGGCATCCACGGAATAGCTGAGGGGCAGAAAGACAGCGCTCAGCGTCCAGGCCAGGCATGCGGGCCTAGGGCTCTATGTTGCAGGGAGCAGGCTCCCATTTCTCACAGTTGGAGCAGTGGAAAACCCTACCCAAGTATGGGGCGGGTCACTGGTGGGGGCGGCTGAAGGAGTGAGTGTCTGTTAGGGAAGGGGCTGAAGCTTGCTTGTGTCTGCCCCACTGGGCTTAGGGACTCTGGGCTGAGCAGGCACCACTTCCTGGTGGCTCGTGCACAAACCTGTTGTTTTCCTTGGAGAGTTTTTCCACGGCGTAGACAATTTCATTGTGTAGGCGAATCAAGTAGCTGACGAGAGCGGTAGCACAGAGGCCCAGGCCCCGTCGGCGTGGCAAGAGGATCTCAAACTCAGTGTCCAGATCCAAGTCAGTGCTGCAGTAGTCTTTGGGTAGGTTGATCTCACCTTTAAACGACAGGGTTATGCTTAAGCAGAGAGGAGTTCCAACTCCTCACAGAATCTAGGCGTGGGGAGGAGGGATGCAGAAGCCATCAGCTCCACACACAGCCGGGAGCCGGGTCTCGGTTCTGCCCCATCTCATATGCTGATAGAGTTTCAAATGCTTTCAGCTCCCTTTTGATGCCATATTTAGGGACTGAAGAGTACTGAGGGTTTATTTTCCTGACACATTATTTTACTTATCCAGACACCACCATCAAAAGAGACACAAGTTAAGCGTTAACAGTGCTGGCTGGGCGCAGTGGCTCCCGCTTGTAATCCTAGCACTTTGGGAGGCCGAGGCGGGTGGATTGCCTGAGCTTGGGAGTTTGAGACCAGCCTGGGCAACATGGTGAAACCCTGTCTCTACTAGGGGCTGAGGCAGGAGAATTGCTTGAATCCGGGAGGCAGAGGTTGCAGTGAGCCGAGATGGTGCCACTGCACTCCAGCCTGGCGACAGAGCAAGACTCCATCTCAAAAACAAACAAACACAGTGCTGGGTGTTGACAGGGATGGGCCGAGTCAGGCTGACGAGAAGAGCTTTCAGACGAGGCTCTCCTGGAACGCTTAGTGGTACAGGGGACAGGATACTAACCGTTCGTCTCAAGCGATCTCCTCAGTTTGTTCCATGTGGACAGAAAGACTGTGATCCTGTTGTGAAGCAGCTGCCTCAACCCATCTGTTGAACAGAATACTTGGTAAGAACCGTATGATAGCAACCCCCTGAAAGGGCCAAACCACCCTAGTTACATGCTCTGCCGAGAGCCCATCTTTCCTGCTTTGTGCAGTCACAAGCATGTCTGAGGTGCTGTTTGAAGGAGTGAGCCGAGTTTGAGGAGCTAGAGAGGGAGGTGCTTTTCAGCTGTGGCGAAAGCTTCTAATATGTTTTTGGGGTTCAAGCACCCTTCACCGCATGGTAAGGGCTTAGGCTATAGAGCACCCATCAGCGCCTCCTCCCCTCCGCCCCACCCTGTTCCCCTATGCAGTGATCCTTTCGAACCGCCAAATGCGGGACAGTCCTGGTCCTGTCAGAGCAGAGCCACACCTGAGCTGTGCTTGCTGAGGAAGCCTCTGATGGAGCTGTATTCAACTTGCTGGACGTTCTGGAACTGCTTCACTAGATCCCTTTGCAAGGCCAAAATCTCAGGCAGGAACTTTACCAGCCTCAGCTCTGCTTCCTGGAGAAGGGAAGACCACCCAGTAACAATTTTTATTTACCTAAAAAATGTTATTGGGGTTACAGACTTTGAGACTGGCTGCGAGACTTGTATTTGTAGCTTAATCTGGTCAGTGTCATTTCCTGTGATGCAGCGTGGAGCTTGAAAACGGGAAAAGTTCTTCCCACAAGTCTACAGACAGTGCAGTGTGCTAGAAATGGAGGGCGGCGAAGAGGGAGCCCAGCCTCTATGGAGCTGACGCATCAGCCGCGTCCATCAAAGGCTGATGAAGGAAATCTGTCCCTTGGGCCCATGTAACTGGCTGGGTACGGAGAGAAGCTGCTGAAAGAAGAGACCCAGAGCTTAGGCAGCGAGGGCTGGCCTTATTCCTGGGTGTCCTTCCGAAGACCTAGGATCTAAGCATCTTCGACGTAGTGAAACTGCATCTGAGAGAGAGGCCACAGTATTGACAGGAAGTCCTTCCTGTCATTGTGAACTCATACTCCTCAACTGACCAACAGAAGTTTCCAACTCGTCTTCATCCTTGCTAGACAGCAAATAATAGTCCATGGAGAGAAATGTTTAGACAATGTGTTGTAGAAAATGAAAGTGCAAATGGGTGAAAGTTAGGAAAGTATATTTCCAATTCCAACAGATGTGGCCAGTACACTTGACTGCTCCCCAGTACCCCAGCACCGCCGGCACACACCCACTCACTCCCGTCTTCCACGTACGCCTCGATGCTTAGGCACAGGGAGGAGTTTTGTTTGATCTGCCCATGCTCCAGCATTGTGGACAGAGAGGAACAGAGCGGCTGGGAAAGAGCTGCATCCTTTTCTGTCTGGCTGAGTGATGAGGGGAGGTCCTCTCCTGGCCTCCAGCTTCCCCACAGGTCACTGCTAATCCCAACGTGGGTGTGTATTTCGTCTGTGACTTTACGCTTCTGGCAATCATACAGTTTGATATGTATGAAGATCTCTAGCCCTGAGTCTTCTGCTACATCCTATTCAAAACCAAAGCACTGGAATAGTCTGTTAAGAATGATTATACTACGTAAAAGCCCAGGGCCTTCAGGCCTGCTGGGGAACTCTGCACCGAAAGAGGGAGGGAGCCACAGTAAGCCAGACATACCTTCTGCAGGAAATGCCAGAGGATGGGCACTCTTTCTTTGCCATTTTTCTGTTCCACAATGTGCTGGAGGTACTCAACTGTAATTCTTTTCCTGCAGCTCCAAATCTTAGAGCAATGGACCACACTTTTCCGGGGCAGGTGGGGCAGGAAGGTCACTGGGTCACCATATATTATTTTGGCCACAGGGTTAGAGCTGATACGCTTATCTTGGCTGATGAGATTATTCATGGTGGGAAGGGTTTTATCTAGATGCTGGATGGAGAAAATGAAAAAAAAAATTCTGGAAGTGAGGTATTGCTACAAACAGATTGTAACACCCAGTAACTCCACCAGTGGGTGTCTGCATATTAGGGCGTTTGTCCCCTGCTCTGAGCATGTAATCAGGTATTCCCTTTGATCTTCTAATTTCAGTGTTGTTTGTTTATAGATGTATGTCTCCCCAAACAGAATGAGATTCAGAAACCTATATTTCTCTTACTAACATTCTGGCTGCTAGATGAATAATTAATCTATGATTGTCAGTTCATTTTTAATGGGTATATATGTGATAGTTTATTTCTCTACCTCGTACATTACATTCTGCTGTAAAAAGTAATGGAGAGAAAAACACTGCCTGCACTTGCTGGATTCCCAGGAATTCCTCGGACTGACTTCATGACCAGCTGTAGGAGGGAAGAGCACTTGGGGACAGGAGGAGGATGGAGTGACTCGAGGTGGGGAGCATTGGAATCTGGGGCTCAGTCAAAGGCTCTTGCTGGCACCGCTACGAGGGGCAACAGGCAAGGAGCATTCAGCAGACGCCGGGACCCTTCCTTTCTGGACCGAGGAGCAACCCAGCTGTCAGCACTTACTGCTTACCTCCAGTTCAGGAGAAATCACAGCTGCGATTTCCTTTTCCCAGTTGTTCCTCATTTCTTTAGTTGACAATTCTGTGTCAAAATTTAAAAGCCCTACAAAAAAACTCCAAATGTGTAGGTTACCCAAGGCACAAAGAACACAGCAGTCTGCGTATAATAAACCCTAAATAAGTGTTTAATAGAAATAACACTCGTTTTGAGGTAATAGCTTTCTAAATTAATCTAAGTATTTTGAAGTAGTTCCTGTTGTTACCACCAACTTAATGACCTTTTGAAGATAACATCAATCTCTAAAAATTCCTCTATCCTACATAATTGTAATCTTAGACCCATTTTGAAAAAAATTACTGAAAGAACAGAACTTGAGCTCAATAGTAAGAGTGGCCCAGGCTACCGCCAGCCGTCTCAGCTGCTGCCACCCAAACCCTGAGGCAGACCACACAGATGTGGAGTGCTGCGGGAACTGTCCACCTGCTTCCAGGATTCTGTCATTTCATCAGTGTGACTCTGGGTGTGCTCACTTTGCTGAAATCCCACCAGAATAAGAGGCTTAAAATAAAATCAGATTGTTCAAAATGGAAAATAAATAGGAATGCCAGTTTCAGGCAAAGAAGTACCTGAGGTGGGAGCAGATTTTCTTGTCATGGGGCAGGACTTCTTCTTGCTATTATTGTTATTATTTTAAATTAACATTGTCCTCACAATGGTCATTGTGATTTTTGCAGATTAGCAAAAGAAAATCACTCTTAATTCCACCACTCACAGATAACCATATAACCATTTTACTAAGTTGTCTTACAGACCTTTTCTTTCTGTATGGATTTAAATTTTTAAAATAGAAAGTTAGCTCAGTGAATACAATATTTTATAGCTTTTTTTTTTTAACATAACTGTGGACATATAAACATTTAATAAATCAGCACACAACTGTGATGGTGATTGATCCTTTGACACGCACGCTCTGTGTGGACGACACGTGCTCCCAGCATGGTAGGGGAATGACCTACGGGGCTGACTTCGGAACTGAAGACTCCCCATATATGCACACTGAACACTTGCGTGCAGACGCTCCCGAATACCGCAGGTCTTAGCCAGGCAGGGGTGAATGGAGGGAACAGAGCAGCTCCTTCCAGCCTCTGGGCAAGCAGAGTGCTTCCTTTTTCCAGCCCCAGGCATCGCCTTCCCTAGACACGGTTTTCTCTCTGTGTGTTCTCTCATTCTTTCCAGCAACAGCACAGACAGAGCTCAGACTGGCTGTGTGTGGGGTGGCCCACAAGACAGCGAGCCTGCTTGCGCTGCCGTTGTGCTGTGTGATCCCCGCCCAGCCCTTGCCCCTTTCCTCACTTCTGCTAGAGAGCTGGTGCTGCTCTTGGAGAAGCCTGCGCAGGACGAGGTGGACCACGCCGATGGTCTCGTCGGCACTGTGTCCCAGCATCTTGGCCAACTGCTCCAGGTCCTTCAGGATGTGCTGCTGCAGAAAGCCTTTTGGATCCCTCACTGGAGGCTTAATGATGTTTATCAGAGCCTGTGGGGGCAACGGAACAGAGTGTTCAGCGGGGATCTGGTTTGTAGAGAAGATGGTGAGCCTGGTAGAGGCCATTGGGAGTGGAGCACCAGCATAGAGTCGGAAGGCGGTTTCTAAGATGAAAACGGCGGAGTGATCCAGGTGAAAGGAAGGCTAGCAAGCGGAACGGCTGCTGGCTTTTCTGTTGTTACAGTGAGATAAAGAATATCCAGATTGTACTGTTGGCCATCTTGGTTATGCAGTGTGCTCTTTCTTCCCTAGCTACAATGAAGACACAGGTAAAATAATGAAGATGTCAGCCTCTCTACTCCCAGATGTGGACCAGAGACACAGAGTGTTAATTTGAAGTGGATTCTGTATAATCTGGGGAGTAGTTCCCCCCATACCATCATACGCCACAGGGGGAAACATGAAGATGTATAACTTGTATATTACTTTGTAGACTAATTATCTCCAAAACGCATAGATGGCAGCTAGGACTCAAGACAAAAGGACTCCCTGGGAAGAAGCGAAAGCAGGTTCTTAACTGAGCCCATTGTTTGGCAGCACTGGGTTATACCTGGGAACTCTGGGACGCTCCCAGAAGCAGAGCCAAGTGAGTGAGTAGCCGGATAAGGAGGAAGACCACTGGGGGCAGCCCTCGGTCACATGTCACCACGTCTCTCCGCTGCGGGTTGCCCAGCACGTGGCCGGTCTGCGTTCTGTCTGCCTTGTCTCTGGAAAGAACGAGAGAACACAAGACAGAGGCTGAGGCTGGCCGCTTTGGCACGCTGCACTTTCTCAGCACTTGGAGTGAGGCTTACGGCTGAGAAGAGAGTTATGTGAAGAGTACTTGCTGTTCCACAAAGCCTGGACCATGTTCCTAAGAGTCTCTCTCATGATAGACTCGCCTTTCCGGTGGACCAGACCCGACCGCATTCTCAGCGTCAGGTGGCTGCGCTGTGTGGTATTGATGCTGATCCCCGGGCAGGGTGTTAAGACGCAGGCCTGGACCCGTCTTTTCCACTGAAGTCTTTGTCAGGAGAGGAGCGGTTGGGCTAAGAACAGCTAGAGTTTGGGAGGACAGTCGGCATCCCATGGGTGTCCATATTGTTCTCATCTCCCCAAAGGAAAAACCGGGATCTAAAGTCCGGCAGAGAGGAGATGCAGTGTGGCCGATGCTCTCAGTGGCAAAACTATTAGAGGATGGAGGACACTGTGACAGTTTCTGGAGATAACATGAAAGTATTTTAAGCTGTGACTGCAGGGAACAGTCAGAATGTGAGGCCCCCACGCAGGTCCCACTCACTCTCTGAAAGGAGCATTTAGAACCACATTCATCTCAGCATGGGATTGTGGGATCGGATTTGTACCTGGATTCTGAAGTCTGGTATTTCATAAGACTATGTCTGTCTCCTTCATTTTTCTCAAAAAATAAAAAATGGAGAAAGCTAAGATTGCTGGCAAGTGAGATGGCATCTGCTGAGACAGACGGATGCCCAGGTTTTGGTCCTGCAGACATAGATGTCCTCGTGAATTAGATCATCTGTTTATGTCATGCATATTTCTACAGAAGGTGCACCCAAGGCCCAAAAGGAAGACACCTGTATTCATATTAACAGCTGTTAAAGGGTAGCCTGCTTTGCATTTCAGGGCCCAGGGATCCAACAACAGATCAGATGCCTCCCTGCTGTGTGACTGCTGGGACTTTGGCATTGCTATTCAATATGACACAGGCCCACATGTACTGGAGTAATTAGTACTATCTTGAGTATCACTTTATCAGCTGGAATAAAAACAGCCCAACACCCCAAAGTTTGAGTACTTAGGAAATAGAATCCTGACCCACATACTTGACCAGATGAAAGCCGTCCCGAGGTTTGTGGTCAATGCCTCCAATCGGCGCATGGCAGTCAATGCAGATGCTCTGTTCCATCGGCCTGCCACACTAGGGTGAAGACAGGGCACTAGAACCACTTCTGGAGCAGTACCATTTTATGCACAAATGCCATCATGCAAATGAACACCTCCTTATCACCGGCAGACGTGAGCACCCTCAGATTGTCCCAGTGTGTGCTTGTTTCGGGTGGGTGGAGAACCCATGGGAACAGGGTAGGTACTCACTAATGTTGCACGTGGGCAAACTGGAACTGTTTTTTAAATAAGTGAGACAATTTAAGCTTTATTCCCAGAGTGACACTTTATAGACAAATATATAAAATTCAACCTTCCTTTCTTGTATTCAGCACTTTTTCCATCCCTCCATCTATCACACTAGCCTGTGGCACTTCATGATCTAATACCAAGAATACTAGAAGAGCTTCCAAACTGACTTCCTTATATTCATTTGGACTTTTTCATATATCAATTTTTATGAGACAGAGCCTCGCTCTGTCCTCCAGGCTGGAGTGCAGTGGCACCATCACGGCTCACTACAGCCTTGACCTCCCCAGGCTCAAGCAATCCTCCTACCTTAGCCTCCCAAGTAGCTGGGACCACACGCATGCACGCATGCACGCATGCACCACCATGCCCTGCTGATGCTTTGTGTTTTTTTGTAGAGACGGGGTTTCAACATGTTGCCCGGGCCAGTCTCAAACTCCTGGGATCTAGCAATCCACCTGCCTCAGCCTCCTGAAGTGCTGGGATTACAGGTGTGACCTACCACACCTGGCTTGGACTTTTTTATTTAAAAAAATCTAATCACATAATCTACTTCCAAAGGCTTATTTTTCAAAATCAGATATTGTGCCACAATATACTGAGAGTCACGGCTGATAACACACCAAACCAGTTACAGAATTTCAGAGCTGGGAGCATTCTTGGATAGACTCTATTTCAGCGTCCTCATTTCATGGACAAGGAAGTGATTGAAGCTCAGAAAAATGAAGTGTATGTAACAGTTTTTCTCCCTCCGTATCTCTTATATACATTATTAAATGACGTGTATCAGGCTGGGCACAGTGGCTCATAATCCCAACACTTTGGGAGGCCGAGGCGGGAGGATCGCTTGAGCCCAGGAGTTCAATGTTTATAGTGAGCTATGATCATGTCACTCTGCACTCCAGCCTGGGTAAGAGAGCCAGACATATCTCAACCAAGTAAGTAATACTAATAACTAACTACCACGTGTCAGCTCAACCCACCAGCCTCTTGCTCAGCAAGTACAGATACTGTGTATGGAGGGCTCTAGGCTAGATGCTTGGGAATCCAGAGAGGAATAATCAACAGTTCTTCCCCCATGGCGCACAGCCTACACGTGGCTTTTTCCTTTGGCATCTGGACCACACCTCCTCTGAGGGCTAATAATGCAGCCTGTGGTCCAGGCAACACCTTGCCATTCTATCAAGACAAGGCTCACTGACCCCATGCTGCAGTGGCTAGAAAGAATGGCTAGCAGCAGTTCCCAACCAGTAGCAATTTTCTTTCCTAGGGGACCTTTGTCAATGTCTGGTTTTAGCTGTCACACTGGGAGGAGTGGGTGCTCCTGGCATCCAGGGACTCGAGGTCAGGCATACTGCCAGACAGCCTGCAGTGCACAGGACAGCCCACGCCGCAGAGCCACGTCCACAGTGCTGAGTCTGAGAAGCCCTGGGCTAGAAACCCTTAGCGCCATTGGCATTGCCCTGCTCAGAGCACCCTGGGCAGTCCTCGGTGAGCCTGTGCTCTCCTGGAAGGCCGAGAGCCTCACTCTCCTGACCCACGATCCCCCTCCTCCAACCCAGGAGTGCACGCCACCCCTCAAACCCTATCTTAAATACCAAGACTCACCTCTCCCACGGAGCAAGGATGGCCGTTGGGACAAGCTGTGAAGAGAACAGGACACACATTGGCTAATGAGGTTTCACCCAATGACCCACATTGAAAAGGGAAAGCTAACTCTCTACTCTCTGGCCCTGACCACAATATGAGAATGACTGTCCAGAGCATCCCACGCTAATTTGTTAAGTTACATGACACCTGCCTGAAGCTTAATAAATGTATGTTGTCAGTGAAAAATGTCTGAGTCTAATTTTATTAATTTTATCAAGTAAAGAGCAATTAGAATATAGGCCCATACCAGGGGTACTTTTGGAGGCAAGGTGGACAGGATTCTAGACCTTTCTATTTTCCTTGATTTTTTTTTTTTTGTCATGAGCATATTTTATAACAACTTTAAAAACTAGTTTTAAAATATTTACTCAGGCAACAGCAAAATTTACATGTCATGGGTTATATGAGTCAGTCTCCCGGTTCTATATTTCATATATTTCAGAAGAGCTTTGTGTCAAAAACTTTGTTTTGTGGTGGGCCTTTGAATGCGTCTCTGATGTGGTTCCCAGTCCCTCCCTTCTCCCAAAATGGCATATTCCAGAGAACAGAAGTGCATCACAGAGGGCCTTTTCCACACGACAAAGAAATGAAATGGTTTGGATCATCTAGCCGGCGGAGTGCCAGCTCCTTCAAGCCATTCGTCTTCTGCAGACGCCACCGGTAGAATGCAGGTGGTTTTGGACCCTGAGGCACAAACCACGTGGACCCCAAGTCGAACCCAATGCTTCATAGCATCTGGACACCCTTTGAAGCTCAAAGGAGTGTGGGGTCATCTAGACCCCAACACTTACTGTACCAGTGGACTCGCTCCAGACCCTTCCACCTCCGAGCTTGAGCCAGCAAGTCTTCAGGCATGGTTGGAAGAAAAGCATGCTGAAAAACAAGAAGACAGAGACAGCTCTAGATAAGTGAGCTTGTCACCTGGGTGCTGCTGCTCAGCAGGAGGCCTAGAGGAAGAAAGGGAACTCTGCTTTCCTTCTGCTGGACTTCTCAAGCTGTCTGTGAAGAAAACAGAACAGCTTCCTGTGAAATAACAAAGGGCAAGGCAAGTCTGTCACTATCTTGTGTGCTCAAGAATCAGGTGACACAAAGGCAGAGAACTGAGGAGATAAAGATGCTCAAGAGTTCCCACAGCTGCAGCTCGGTCTCTACAGTGACAAGCTCTGGGGGGTGTTCCAGTGAAGGCCGATGGAATTGTGGCCTACTCTTACCGCCATGGTGGCTGGGGAGAAGGCCAGATTCTTTAGGGGCTCCAAGAGTTCATTCTGTCCACACAGAAGGACGGCTGCAGCATGAATGGCCATTTCTGTCACCGTTCCATCAAGGTTGCTGTCACTAGGCCCCGCCCTCAACAATGGCACAGAATTGTCCACGAGCGATGTTGCAAAACGGCTGATATCAGGAGGTGAAAGGATCTTGCATTCGCCAATGAATTTGCTCACAGCTTCACATTGCTGACAGGAAAAAAACTTAACATTAAGATGTATCAAAGAATATTGTGTGAATTGCTCTTAGACATACACTGACACCAAATACACATCAAATATCAAGGTAAATATGGAGAAATCACCACCATTTGAGGGGGAAATTTTTCAGAGAAGAGAATTGTGCATATACAAACACAGCATCCACATACGTAAGCATTAATTTTGATATTCTATTCTGTTAAACATTATCTTATGTTCTTGGCTTTAGTTTTCATTATAATTCTACAAGCTTTGGGTTAAACAGCTTGGTTATGTGTTCCTCCACATAACAAGGTTGAGAACCTCTATCCTAGATAAAAAAATTATGGTATGATTTGTGTTGATAACTTTCATTCTATTCAATAAAATCCCTCCAAATACTGAGACTTTGAACACAGCCCTGCAGGCGGTTACTCACCTCTGGCGTGGGGTGGAGGCTTGCATTGTGGGATCTGTACAAAATAGCCACCTCTCTAAACAGTGTTAACAGGAAGTAGGCTGACTGCTGGCTTTGGGGGGTCTTGCAGGCCTGCAAAATCAAGGGTATCAAGTAAGAATTTAAAAGCTCAACACATCTTTTTTTTTTGAGATGGAGTCTTGCTCTGTCACCCAGGCTGGAGTGCAGTGGCATGATCTCGGCTCACTGCAACCTCTGCCTCTCGGGTTCAAGCGATTCTAACTCAGCCTCCCGAGTAGCTGGGACTACAGGCACACGCAACCATGTCCGGCTAATTCTTTTTTTTTTTCTTTTAGTAGACACGGGGTTTCACCATGTTTGCCAGGCTGGTCTCAAACTCCTGACCTTGTGATCTGCATGCCTCGGCCTCCCAAAGTGCTAGGATTATAGGATAGACGCCCCCGCACCGCTGCCTGCCAGATCTACCTAAGGGCCAGAGGCCCACGAAGTTTGCATGTGAAAAGAAACTTTTCACATGCCTCAGCCCTCAACCCACCAAAAGGGAAGGAGCCTTTTCCAGGCCTGGACACCTGGGGTCATGCCCCACATGGGCAGTCTTCTGGCGAGCAACTTTTGGGCTACAAAGTTCCTGAAATACTCTCAGATTAAACTCAACGCATATTTAGCAGCCAGCTTAATGACAGAAGCAACGGAATCACCATCTGTTCTTCTGACTCCTTCACTGGTCTTAGAAACTTCTGAGCAGAAAGAGGATTTTCCATTTCCTCTTTTCCTGGCACAGGGACTCAAAAAGGAAGCAAGACCAGACCAATTTAAAGGTTAGATTCTAAAAACATCTTTATATTTTTTAACTTCCCACACTACACCAACATATGTATTTTTATTAAACACACATGCATATCTGAATTATGAATACATCTAGGTATGAATTTTGCTATTAATAGTTGTGTCAGCATCTTTCTTAGACTGTTTTCCAGCAGGGTCTCAAAGGAAGTAATGGGCATAAATCAAAAGGCGCTGCTGATGGACTTGGCAGATCAGCAAGACACAGCAAATCTGTCAACCCAGCTCAACTGTCATAGCTGTCCTGTTCCAGCCACTGGTTCACGCACACTAGCCAGGTGCGCCCTGGAGGCTGTGGGCACGTGACTTCCAATACAGTGTCACGTGATGGGCTGCATCAGTGGTCCATCACCCTGCATCATTTGACATAAACCAGGGAACATGCAGGCTCCAAGGGATGCCACCTGGTATCAGAGAGAAGCCACGGGCCCATCCTACCTTCAGAGCAGTCTTAATGCCCAGTGGCTTGCACTCGAGGACAGCTTTGGCCACAGCATCACGGAGAGCCTTGTATTCATCGCCGTACACCAGGTACCTATCCATCTGGCCTGGGTGGTCCTGCCGCAGCCCCTGGAATACAGAGGTTAGTTGGGGGTGAACAATGGGAGGAATGTCTTGCAAAGAACCGTCTGAACGGGTACAGGAACCAGGTGGTTGATCATTCGAGGTTTAAAGGCAGCCAAGCTGGGATTCCCTGACCTGGCCTGAGGCAGGACAGTCTGGTGCCCTCTTCGCAGGGAGCTTCCTCCTCAGTAGACGAAGAGGTGCAAGTGCAGGGAATGCCTGCCGACGGCAGCGCTACCTGGGGAGGTGCTTGCTTCCTCCGTTTGCGGCGCACCGCACCACACCTGAGGCCGGGTGGCTCAAGTCATGTCAACTCTAAACCCCAGGTGGTAGTCAAACAGTGCCGGGGTTCTTAGTACCATTTTTGTATCCCCTGGACAATAAGAATTTGTTAATTTCTGGGTATCTGGAAAGGACCACTGAGAGGCCTTGAAGCCTCTTTTTTTTTTTTTTTTTTTTGAGACGGAGTCTCGCTCTATCGCCCAGGCGCTGGAGTGCAGTGGTGCAATCTCGGCTCACTGCAACCTCTGCCTCCCGGGTTCAAGTGATTCTCCTGCCTCAGCCTCCCGACTAGCTGGGATTACAAGCACCCACCATCATGTCCAGCTAATTTTTTTTTTCTTTGAAGTAGAGACAAGGTTTCACCATGTTGGCCAGGCTGGTCTTGACAAACTCCTGACCACAAGTGATCCGCCTGCCTCGGCCTCCCAAAGTGCTGGAATTACAGGTGAGAGCCACTGTGCCCAGCCTGGCCTTGAAGCCTCTTCTGCAATTCTTCTATTCCTAGTTCTTGCTCTTGCCTGTCTCTGCCTGCCAGAGGTAAAAAGGTCGCACCTTGCAAGCTGAACTACGTTTAATTCGCTGAAAGCAAAGGCCACAAGAATGTTCTACTTTCCTTGAGTGAAATTCAATTAGAAGTGATGCCTAATTAAAGAAGCTCTGAGGTGAGTGCCCTCACCTTGGCCCTACAGCAGGCAGTGTAAACATGATCACAAGCTGGGGCAAATCAGCTGAAGCACAGAGACAAAGGACCAGACAGACAAGCGGCAGGTTTCCTTCCTGGCTCTGGGGATGCTAAGGGCAGGCGGAACGCGGAAGCAGTGGCACCATCCCTGGGTGTGAGGGTGAGGTGTGGGGGTGTGAGGGTGAGGTGTGGGGGTATGAGGGTATGTGGTGGGGAAGGTGTGAGGGGGTGGGGTGTGGGGGGGGTAGGGTGTGAGGGTAGGGGGGTGTGTGGGTTTGGGGTGTATGGGGCTGTGGGGGTGCATGTTTGTGTGCTGCCCGGCCCCGCTTCTCACCTGCTGCTTGACAACGTCCTTGGGAAACACCCACTGGTGCGGGCGGCCGGGCTTGGAGAGGCCCTGCACGAACTCCATCCCCCGCTGGCTGCTGAGCTTCCGCACCAGGTACACCCGGTGCCAGTCGTTCTCCACCCGGATACAGAACTGCTTGACTTGCTGCAGGTAGCACTGCTTCTCCTTGGCCATCTCTGAGAGGCCAACGAGAAAGCGGGTGAGTGGCTGGTGACTTAGGGCATTTATTGTAGGACACAAGGCCAACCAGAGGGCATCGGACCTACCCACAGGCATTCACAGAAACACATCCAGGGGAGAGGGGATGTAGAAAAGCCCAGTAGTAGTCTATTCGAAGAACTAGTTTCCCATACTTCCTGAATTTCTAAATAACGGAGTCTTTAAACCCAAAGGAAAGCAAGGCAGAGAAGACTTGCCTGGGCCTCCCTCAGGCTCCGAGAGGAAATCTGCAGCTCTGTCGAGGCAGAGGCGGATCCGGGCCACCTCTTGCAGGTATTCAACCGAGGCCTCGTTGGCAGGCTCTCGGCCCCGGCTTGCTGGAGAATATGCCTTAAGGAAACGACCTTCCTCTTCTAGGTGGTTCAGTTCATCATTTCTGGAGTAAGCACTGGTCTTCTCAAGTATTGAATCCTGAGGAACAAGGAACAAGAAAGAAAAGGATATTATTTTTTTAAACATGGATGCCCCAAGCTTCTACAGTCGCCAATGTGACTGTGGAGAAGGAAGGATAGAAGAATGTTACTGTAGGTTTCAGTGTAAATTTCTTGACTTATGGAAACCTAACATTCCTTTTTATTTTAAGGACAAGAAGGAGGGGAAAAGTGAACCTATGAGGAAAAAAAATTATCTAATTTATTTACATTATAAAAATTTTGGATATAAAAATATGAAGATAAAAAGTATCCATAATGTCCCCACTCAATGATAACCACTGTTAACTTTGGCAGTATATTCTCCTAGGCTGTTCTGTTTTGTATGTATATGCAAGTAAATGCCAAAATATACGTTGCTGAAGGCAGAAGCCGCGTCTTTGAAACCTTTCTTCTTTTCTGCACGGAACAGAGCATTCGTTAATTATACTGACTAAAATTATATTCTGTAAATTTTAAACCATGTGGTTCAGATAGTTTCCAAAAGAAATTCAGGGAAGAGAGAGTTCACTTACCTCCAGGCAGTTGATGAAGAGCATGTACAGTTCAGTTTTATCTTCAGTTATGAATGCTTTCTTTTTTAACAGGGTCAAATATTCCTGAATATAATCTTTTACATCATGAAAGCTGCAGAAAGAGAAATATTATTCCTGGTTCTCTCAGATCTGGAGACATACCTTACTAAAAAAAAGAGCATCTATCTATCGGTCGTCTGTCCTGTGTGTGTGTGTGTATAAACATATACATACATATACGTGGTTTCTAAGATTTTATGGAAAACCTTTTAGCATAATACTGGAGGAATATAAAACTCACATTTTAGACCAGCTGTCCTCAAACTTTGGTTTCAGGACCCCTTTATAGTCTTAAAAATTGAGAACCCCGAAGAGCTTTTATGTGGGTTATATTATCAATATTTATGATATTAGGAATTATGAGACATTAAAAACAAAAGGTTTCAAAAATATACATTCATTTAAAATAACAATAAAGCTATTACATGTTAAATAACATTTAAAATATTTTCCAAAACATGAATCCGTGAGAAGAGTGGTTTGGTCTTCCATTCCTGTGCTGGCCCTGGGGCCTGGCTCCTGGAAGTCAGCGGCCTGCCTGCCCTGCTCCCCATCGCTGCAGCATATGGGAGAACATGAAGAAAATCTGTCCTCATATACTCGGAATAGCGAGGAACATTTTAATAGTTTTTGCAGCTGATTGTGGCTATTATTCCTTAATGCTGTGCCCACAGTGATAAATGGTCATGTCTAGAGGTTAGTTGCAATGTGGAGCCTGAAACTGTATCAGTGCATTTTTCAGTCAATTATGTTAAAATCAAAAAGGTCTGCCCATACTTTAAATAGATTTTTTTCTTTTTTGACCCACATGATTTCATGACATCAGGCATTGGTCATTTGGAAAATATTGGTTCACTGGGCTGTGCAGGTCTTGTAAAGGTTGACACATTTGTATTCTACGTTTTAAAAAAAAAAATCCATATTCATTAATATCACCACAAATTGCCCCAAAATGTCTTTAAGTATTCAAAAGCTCACAAGCTCATAGTGGAGAATATAAGCTTTTCAAAATTTTAATTTCAGCTTAAAAGCTTGAATGTTATCATCACCAACCAACATTGTCAGTTGTTTGGCTGAGGCTGGCTCACTTTGCTGATTTCCAGGAGAGGCCTGCCCAGCCCTGGACACCTGTATCATGTGCATCCTTCCTCCCAGCACGGGTGGCGGTCCATGAACACAGCAGCCGGCTGATAACCCAGGGCTTGTCATGAGTGATTTTCTGTGAGGCAACTGTCTACTCCGGTGTGTAGTGGGAGTGTTTTGTGTGTGCTTCCCATTTCCACAAAACGTTGAAAAGTCAAATCCTCAAGAGTCAAGATTTAGTAAAACTAAAATGAAACTGGCATGAAGAAAACCACGTGTGCATGGCGGTGAAGAAAACAATACCTCCAGCTACTGTGTCTTCACGTGAGGGGCCAGCAGTTTAACTCATCACCGCTTTTTGTAACATCATCATAAGTATCAACATGTTTTTTAAAAAAGGGCAAATTTATCTTAGTAATCTAATTTTTAAAATAGTTTTAACCTCAGAGACCTACCTCACACCCAAGGGTCCATACCAACACTTTGAGAACTGCAATATTAGATCCATACAAGTACCACAGGTGATACTATTCTTGGATGTCAACATCCTTTCCAAGGAAATAGAGCCCATGTTCAGGGGAATAGAAACTTAGGAGACATCTAGGACATTCAGGGTGAGCAGGATTCTAAGCTACCATCTGAAAAATCAGAAAGTTGCGCTGCTGTGGAACCAGGCTCAGCACCACAGATTCTGGCCTCTTGAGTTCCATGTCCCTCACGCCACTGTGGTCCCTTCACGGCACTGTTGGCTTCTTGCTAGATGCGTGTGCTTGTGGGAATACTAAACTCATGTGCCTATATGTGAAAATGTCAGAATACACAACCAGTACAAGTAACCAGGCTGTGTCTCACCGAAAAAGCTCCCCAAGATCATGTACTAGCTACTAGTCACGACAAGAAGACTTGGTAACAAAACGCTGCGATGAAGAGAAAAAGCCAGGGCTTTCCAGAAGCAAGTCTCCATGTTGTTCTTACCTGTACTTCAAAAGCAGTTTCAGTATCACTGAGCGGATGACAGGAGTCTTATCCACAACATCATTGAATGGAGAGAGAGATTTTGTGTGTTCACAGTGTCCTTAAACCAGAAAGAAAAAGGCAGCTCACTGCATGAGACATGCAGAAGCGAGATGAAGAAATGAGGGGCTAGGTTTACAGGAAGAAAGCAACCTACTCTGGGCAGCATCTCTTAAGCGCCCCTTTTGGACGAAGAGGAGAGAGAGCAGGCTCTCAATCACTTCCTTCTCAGGCGGAGCGTTGTCCTTGAAGCAAATGGTGGACACCAGGTCTACGAAGAAACTGTTGCACATCTGCCGGAAGCGGGCATGCTTTTCAATGGCTTCCCTTAGAACACGAGAAACAGAAGACAGGTGGATGGTGTTTCCCAAATGCCTCCTTACAGAATGACTTGAGATTTGCACAGCATTTCACTTTTTTTTTTTTTTTTGAGACGGAGTTTCACTCTTGTTGCCCAGGCTGGAGTACAGTGGCGCGATCTCCGCTCACTGCAACCTCCACCTCCCAGGTTCAAGTGATCCTCCTGCCTCAGCCTCCCAAGTAGCTGGGATTACAGGCACGCACCATCACGCCTGGCTAATTTTGTATTTTTAGTAGAGATGGGGTTTCACCGTGTTGGCCAGGCTGGTTTCGAACTGCTGACCTCAGGTGATCCACACACCTCGGCCTCCCAGAGTGCTGGGATTACAGGCGTGAGCCACCATGCCTGGCTGGCATTTTACTTTTAAATTGAAAGATTCAAGTCACTCCTCTCACCCGTTAGAGCTAGTCTTCAAAACCTCAGCAGATGATATTTACATGCATCCCTTTCTGGAAACACTTTGATCATTTGGACCCGGCAACAATACCCTTCAATATCCCAAAGTATGTCAAAGAACCCATCCACTGGGCTTGCCTGGTGCCCCACTTTTAGGAGGCCTGAGAAGGGGGGAAGGGGAAGGAAAGAAAACCAACCACTCACAGAGCCGGGCTGAGGCCTGCTGAGTCCAGAGAGCCAGAGCTGCTTTTAACCAGCTCCAAAAAGCTAGACAAGAAGTGGGTTGATCCTCAGGTCAGTGACTGTGAATGATACTGATGCATTAAAACCAGTGGCGTCGGCCAGGTGTGGTCACTCATGCCTGTAATCCCTGCACTTTGGGAGGCCAAGGCGGGTGGATCACCTGAGGTCAGGAGTTCGAGACCAGCCTGGCCAACATGGTGAAACCCTGTCTCTACTAAAAATACAAAAATTAGCCGGGCATGGTGGTGCATGCCTGTAATCCCAGCTACTTGGGAGGCTGAGGCAGGAGAATTGCCTGAACCCAGGAGGTGAAGGTTGCAGTGAGCTGAGATCGTGCCACTGTACTCCAGCCTGGGCAACAGAGTGAAACACTGTCTCAAAAAAAAAAAAAAAAACACTGGCGTCTACATTCCTTGGGCCTCTGGTGAGGACCTTTGTTAAGACTTTCTGGCTTAGTTCCTCTGAATTTGTTGTCTGAAATCTGTATGTGTATGTCTTGGGGAGAGAATAATCTTGAGATACCAGATATTTATGAAAGTACGTAAGTGGCGTCTCTTATGATAGTTCTCTGAGGTCAGGTTTTCTACCAAATGAAGGTTAATAGAGTTTATATTTCTGAATATTGTGTTTGCCAAAAAAGGAAAATGAAAAAAAGGATGCTTTCTTGAGAGAAAGGGTGTTGTACCTGTGCGCTTGGGAAACAGCTGGAGAGAATTCGTCTGGCAAGGCAGTTAAACAGTAGGGGCATATCATCTGCTCTGAGGCAAACCAGGCCCTGAGGCAGCGCAGGCAGTGCACGTGGTCGCAGGGCAGACAGACGGGGTCCTTTGCATCTCCCAGGCAGATGGAGCACGGCTGAATCCCAAACCTAGAATCCAAGAAGGGCAATCAGTTCTGAAGCAGAGAAACTGGCCAGAAGAAGTGAAAACCACGAGAGGTTCAGAATTCTCGCCTTCACAGATCCAAACCTAAGGTCTCACCTGCTGAGGGTCTTGCTGGCTGTCTCCTTGCATTCACAGAGAGTGCGCATCACGGCCTCAAAAGGCCCGTGCGTCTTCACGTCAGAGTTCTCTCGAAGACACTGAAGAAAGGCAGGGACAGGAGTCATTAGCAGGGGGGAGGGCTGAGGGCGGCCAGGCCGGGCGACAGAGGGAGCACCACATTCAGGGCCAAGGCTGCGCCGTGTGTGTGGGGTGTGGGGTGCGAGGCCTTTGTGATCCTGTGTTTAACGCTTGAACTCTGAATGCTCGTTTTGTGATTATGCTGCTTGTCAGGGGACTACATTCTCAAGTTACGATTTTCCCTCTTCTTTTTCTTTTAAGGTCTCCTCCGCTCTCACTAAGATATTTCAAACTTTAAGTAATAATAATGACCATCTGTATACCCCCCACCAAGCTTTAAGAAATCTCAGCATTTATGGAATATTTGCTTTAGATCATTTTTTAAAATTTTTAAATTTTTTAAAATTTTCTTTCAGCCTCCCAAGCTGCTGCGATAGATCATTTTTTAGAGAAACAAAACATTATGCATATAGTTACAACTTCACATCCCTCCGTCCCTCCCCAGAGATAACTATATTTCTAAATGTCTGCTTTTAGGATAGCTGTAAGCATATCTGAACATGGAGTTATTATTTTGAATGTTTTAAAACTTGATATCAATGATACCACGTTGTATAAAGGCTTCTGCAACTCATTCTCTTCATGATACCTTAGGTCCAGATCACTCCTGTACCCACTGATAAAGACACCAGTTACCTGTCTGCTGGTTAATGGGCATTTAGGTTTTTTGCAATTCCTGACAGTCCTGTATTCAACATTCTTGCATATGTCTGAGAGCAAATGAGAAGTTTCTCTAGGATATAGTTAGAAGTGGAAACACTGGTTTTTAGGCAATACACATCATCACTGTACAAGATAGTTTAATGGCTGTACTAATGGAATTTGATGGGCAGGCATGATGTTGGTATAGACATCTTAATATTATGTCTACCTTGGGCATTGTGAGCTCAAGGAGAGTTCCTTCCTGTTCCAAGTTTGACAAGGGTATTTCTTTCCAAATAATTTTATCAAATGCTTTCTCTCTACATTTTGAAATGATCATATAGAGTTTATCTTTTAATTTATATAACTGATGACATTTACAGATTTTTTTTTTTTTATTTTGAGCCATCCTTGAATTGCTGGGATTAATCTTACTTGGAAGTGATGTGTGTATTTTTAATATCCTAATAACTTTGTTAATCAACAACCCAATTCAAAAATGGGCAAAGGACTTGAATGGACATTTCTCCAGAGAAGACAGCAAATGCCCAACAAGCACATGAAGGATGCTCATCATAACTAGTCATTAGAGAAATGCAAATAAAAACCACAATGAATTATCACGGTGGCCATTATGAAAAAAATCAGATAGTAACAGGTGTTGCCCATGATGTGGAGAAATTCAGACCCTGGTGCCTGGCTGGTGGGGATGTAAGAAAGATGCTGCAGCCCCCGTGGAAAACAATACAGTGCCTCTGCATAAAGTTAAACAGAGTTATCAAATGATCCAGGAATTCCCCTTCAAGGTACATATCCAAAACAACTAAAAGCCAGCCATGCCCGCAGTCCCACCCGTGCCATCCTGCAGCAGTTCCGTCGACAACTTCCTGCCCGGCCGAGGGAGCCAGCCTCACGGCGGAAGGCAGGGCTTTCCCCCAAGCCTCTTGTTTCAAATGGTCCCAAGGGCTGCTCTTCAGCGGGGGCTGGGTAGGGGTACAAGTCAGGCTTCCAGCAGGAAAACTAACGAGGTAAGGTCTTTGGCTGTGGTTACCTGCACAGAGATCTGACTGGAAGGAAATAAACCAGAAACCCAGTAAGTTTCTGAGGCCATTTTATCGCCAAAAAAAACCCTCCCCACGTTCCTAACCTCCCAAATCCTGTGGGCATGTGAGCAGGCAGGGGCCAGCTCCTTTACCTTTGGGTTTATGGGCACCTGGCCCTTATGACCCACGCTGGACCTGGCTGAAAGCCCTGTGCATCTCCCAGAGCGCCGAGACATGATGAGACTTGGAGAGGCTGCATGCTGTGTGGGTGTGGGGAAAAGGGTGGAAGGGGGGCACCGGCTGTGTCCTACTATCCTCTCTCCGCCTTTTCCTTCAGCAGAAGAACTCAAGTTCCACCTGGAACATGACCATGCCACGAAAAACTCCTCAGTTTCTTGCAACCAGATAAGGCCGAGTGCCTAAGTTTAGGACCACGAGACACGAGCTGGTGTGGCGTGTGCGTGTCCGGGATTGGGCTCTTAAGGAAAACGGCCTGTCCTCTACCTCCCCTGCTTTCTGTCCCACAGGCTGTGACGCCAGGCCACGGGGTGGAAGCTGAACATTAGGGACAATGAAGGGACAAGACGGAGCGTGGGCACCTGACTCCGTGCCAGCCTCCGGGGAGCTGGTACCTTAGCCTTGGGCTGCTCATACCCATCCTGGGTGGGAAATCAGCTGATACTGTGTCTAAGCCGCTGATGTTTTGATAGGTCAGAGTCAACACATCCAGCATCCATGCTGGCCTCCTTTTAGTAAACCTTCCTGTGCTCCAAAGGTCGGACAGCCAGCGCTGCCTCTTCCAGACCCCCTGGCGGTGAGGGCTCTGGATGTGCTCACGTGAAGGTCACGGGTGCGGGTGAGGCAGAGGCTGAGGCTGTGTTTGGCTGAGTGGCCACTGTTGCTGGACACCACTGCGTGGCCACAGAGGGGCATCACTGTAGGGTCACAGGTTTCTTTCTGCAGACCACCCCACATTAGTAGCTTTATGAAGGGTGTTGAGTGACAGGCATGGTGGCTTCCTGTTCCTTGGTTCTGTTGACAGCACTGTTTTGAAGACCCCAAACCCCGGTGGCATTCTCTGACATCCTTGTCTCCATGACTATGAAAATGGTAACAGCTTCCACAGATGGCCAGGCTAGTGGTCTGTTCTGGGGTCACTCCAAAGGCCAGGTAATCCCTGCCGAAGGTTTCACAAGCATGTTCCCTGCGTCAGCCCCTTTCTGCACACAGTTCCTGGAATCACTTCTAAATGATATGCTCTGACTTAGCAATCAGCAGAGGGTAAATAATTAAACAATTAAACATGGAAAATGTAATGGCCTAGTGATGAAATCACCTTCCTTTGCATGTCTAGACAAAACGGTCAGAGCCAAAAGAGCGTCTCCCAGCCGCAGATCACTGTCAGTGCTGTTCTTCCTTTCGGAAAAGGGTGGATCCGTGCATGTGCTGAGGCCAGCCCAAGTACTCACCTTGTCTAGTAAGAAGACGTGCTCGGTCACCAGCCCCTGTAACTCGGGGACGCGGCTCTCGGTTCCTAGGAGCACGTGCTCCACGAAGAGTGCGGTGGAGAAAATCCGACTCCACTGGGCTCTGTCAAAAGAGGGCGCCACTCACTCACTCACTCGGCTCCCACCAAGGAACCCAAGGGTGAAACGAGGAGGGAGACGGGAGAAGAGATGCGGGACCCGGGGTCCAGGCCCAGCGGCTGGGATTACAAGCAAGCCCTATGTGACATACTTCCTGGCCCGCCCCCAGCTCTCGCTCTCAGACGCTCAGCTTAGCTGGGACTCGGTGTCCCACTGTGATGCCTCTGCATGGGGTACCACCACAACCCGCTCACTGCATGATCCTGCGCCTGTCAAGTCCCACCTCACCTTTAGGGAAGTGGACTCTGGCCCTGAGGGCCTGTCCTGCTCTGTGCACCTGCCCGCCCGGGGTGTCCTTTCTACCACAGCATTTCTCACACGGCATCACAATAGCCCGTCTGCCTTTCTACGGCCCCAGTACACAGTGCGCTCCCTGAATGCACAGCCGCCTCTCGTGTCTCCAGCACCCTAATGAGACGCCTGGCACTCACTAAGGGTTCGGCAAATGCGGAGTGAACGGGTGAGGACGGAGCCCCTCCCATGGCAGGAGCACCTGCCCGTCTTCTCATGGACATGCCTGGCACTTGGCAGGCTCCTGGTGAGCGCGCGCCAGATGAAGCAGTGGGTGAGGGCTCCTGGGTCTCACCTGACTTCCCTGATGACAGCCTGGGCCAGGCTCCCGCTGCCTTGCATGTGCTCATCGGAGCAGATGAGCTCCAGCGGCATGGAAAGATTCTTCACCAACTGTAGCCACGCCTGGGGACTGGGCTTCAGGGTGTTTCTTGTCAGCATCTCCGTGCAGGCCATTGCGGCAAATGCGTCCAGGGTCTGGGGAGACGGACAGCAGGGCGTGGCTGAGCGGTGCCCCTCCCACCGGCCCACCAGAGGCCCCGGCTGTTAGCTGCATGTATACTTGTGTCCCAGGCTTGCGACCTAAACTTTCATTGTCTAGGATGTGAGAAGCGTCAGCGAGATGTGTCCTTAACATCTCTGAATTCAGCTAAGGTATGTGCCTTGTGAAGAAATCTCCCACTTGGAACACAGCCCCAGAAGCTCTCCATTCCCAGAGTGGAGTTGGAAGCACCACAAGGCTTGCTCAGGGCAGGCGGAGGAGGGCCATACCATCTCACATCCAGCCAGCTCATGGTTCCAACGGGCTTCCATCAGGCTGTGGAGAACCTGAGGGTAGATGGTCAGGATTCTGGAAAAGTTCTGCAGACGGCTTCTGAAACGCTGGTAGGCAAGGTGCACCCACGGTAAGGAAACCTCTTCCTCGGGCGCTTCTGACGCCGCTTTCAGTTTCCTAGTGCAGGACCACAGAGCCATCTGCAGAAACTGGGATTCAAAAAAGCTTTTAGAATATATTTTTAAATTACAAAAATGGTATGTTTTCCCCGTGGGAAATCCGAACTATTGGAAAACCATAAAAGAGGAAATTAGAAACCATGTGTGCTATTCTGTCCCGTTTGCTTCTGTCCAGTTTTCTATCTGCCTCTCCTCCCACGTTAAGGTCACCGTGTCGTCTGGGCTTTTTGCCACTGAACATGACATCATGAACTTTCCCTATGACTGAGTATACTTGAAAAACATGGTTTTAATGGCTGCTCAATAACCCATCATACGGCCATACTTTAATTTGCCCATCCTGTATTTCCGGACAATTAAACTATTTCTTATTTTTCGAAGCAAAGCTGAAAAGGACATCCCTGTGAACCAAATATTTGTCCACATCTCCAGTAGTTTCCTCAGGACAGAGTCAGCAGTTCAGATCGGATAAGGTGCTCAACTGTTCTGCCACGCAGCCCTGCAGGGCGCCCACTGTGCACGCTACACTGTCAGCCGCGTGGCCTGGCTATTTCTTTGCAGCACTGGCCGGCGGCTGTTGTTTTTAAAAATCAGCTTTGCAAAATGAATACGTAAACATGATATCTAAAAACTGTTGTGTTGATTTGCTATTAATAGTAAGGCTAAGCAATTTTTCAAATGTTTCCTGGATGTTGATATGCTTAATGAGATTATAAAATTGTTGTTTTATAACGTTTACCCATTTTTTAAAACTTAGGGTATTTTCTTATTGATTCCTAAGAATATTAACCTCTAGTCATATTAGCTGTAAGGATGTTCTTAAATTTGTCACTCTCCTTTTTTATGTACTGAAGTTTAAAATTTTTAGGTAGTCAAAAGTATGACTTTCTATTGAATTTCACTTGTTTATTCTTACCCTGTAGGGTTAGTTACGTATTTAATTTTTTTCAAGAGAAACTCAACATTTAAAAAGAAGCTATGTCAAGGAAATTGGAGGTCTTCTCATGTTCACAGAAAGCTCCGTGTTTTAGGAGCCCCTGGGCGGTGGACTGAGGGTGTAGCACTGAATATTGAGAGGAGACTGGGCGACCCCTTCACCCACCGGCACCCTTCGCTGACCATGTTCTGTTCCCAGACTTCACAGCACCAGCTCCAGGCAGCTGAGGAAACGTCTCCGTGTCTGCATCCAGTCCCCATCATGCAAGCTCTACACCTGACCCTTAGCCAGTATCTAAACATCTACCTTTAATTCCTCCTCCGTTGACACACGCATGGTCAAGAGAATGAAATCCTTCAAGTAACACTGAAGAAGTTCCTGCTGCGGCTCTCCATGGAGCTGGGCAAGAAACCTGCCCAGAGGAGTCTGCTGAAAGATGTCCACGAACTTCTTGGGCAGTCCTGCAGAGAGGAAACCAAGGAGCGGCCTGGAGTGCGTCTAAGTCATGGCGCTCCCCTGCCTCCAGGGGGCTCCGGAGTGAAGGGGAATGGGGACGCCTTGTTGAATGGGAGCTCGTAGACAAAGGGGTACCAACTGCCTGATTTTGTAGGGAATTGAAGGAATAGTCACTGTCTAGACATTTAGGATATTTTTCTTTTTCCTTTTTTTTGGAGATGGAGTCTTACTCTGTTGCCCAGGCTGGAGTGCGGTGGGTAGCGTGATCTCTGCTCACTGCAACCTCCGCCTCCCAGGTTCAAGTGATTCTCCTGCCTCAGCCTACCAAGTAGCTGGGACTACAGGCATGCACCACCACACCCAGCTAATTTTTTGTATTTTTAGTAGAGACGGGGTTTCACCATGTTGGTCAGGCTGGTCTCGAACTCCTGACCTCAGGTGATCTGCCGGCCTTGGCCTCCCAAGGTGTTGTGAACCACTGCGCCTGGCCTAGGATATTTTTCCAGTGGAATAAAATAAAGGAAGGCGGAAACAGTGTCAAATTTAGGTCAGAAACAGCCAAGCTAGCCCCAAAGAGAAACATCTAGATAAGACTGAGTTGTATGTTGCATGGCTACATTGTATGTTGCATGGCTACAGGTCACAGCATGCTTCAGGAACCCCCGGGTCCAAGTAAATTAGGAACAAGTGGGCTGCTCTTCAGGGGCTGGGGGTCACAGAGCATGCAAGCCAGAAAGATCTGGCTTCTAGTGGGCGGGGTGCAGCCCCTAATTCGCATGCTGTCATAGAAAAGCAGGGTCAGTTGGGGTATTGTCCTGAGAAAGGAATATGCTCATGAGGAGAGAGACTGCTTTGAGAAAAAGTGGCAGAATGGTAACCTAGAAAAGAAGGCCACCCTGAGTCTTCCAAATGGTACGATAAGTAAACGTGGAAAAGACTATTGCATGTATGAAAGATGGCTTTTGTAAAAGTGTTGCGTTGTCGTTGGTTTTTCTGGACTAGGGCAAATCTTCTGGCATCTGGCAGCAGAGCTCAGCACTGTGTCTGGGCTGTGACTCGGGAGACACAGCTGGGAGGTGCCTCCTGATGGGGCACCTGGGAGTAGGGGATGCTCCAGGCGCTCGTGCCTTCTGAGAACGCCTCTCCTGGGGGCATCTTCCGAGTCCAGTGCCCCAGTCTGAGAAGGCCCAGAATGGGAATGACCAGCTGATAGAGGCGACAGTCCTCCTCTTGCCAGAACACACCCCATTTCGCCATATCCCTGGCCATCACGGCACTAAAAACCATCTCACAGGCTCCTGCTGCCATAGGATCGAAAGGTTTCTGGTCCCGCCGGGGCCTCTCACTCCTTCAGCAGAAACTTTAAAATGACGCGGTGACGTAAATTGGACGCTTACTGCACAAACAAAGTGTGAAAACTAAAAACTCCAAAATTCACCTTGCAATTCTAGCCACCCATCTGCTTTTCACTGTCAGGCAATCCCTTTGTGATTCACCTGTGCTGAATCTGACCTGTCTTGAGGTAGCCTCACCTTCTGCGTCTGTGATGTACTGAGCCTGGACCCACAGCTCCTCCAGATAGTCCTTGATTTTCCAGCTGAAAGGGACGTTGTTGGAAGCGTTCTCGGAAAGGTTCATGTGGTTCTGCACCACGATGTAGGCCATCTCACCTTTATGTCTGCAATAAGGTGAGGGATGATAAGAAGAGGGTTTGTGAGACGTCACTCAAAACACAAGATAAGATCTGCCACTGATGCCAGCTCTTCTCAGACCTCAAAAACAAAGGGGCCAACAGGCCAGGCAGACGGCGCTGATCTGTTTCACAGTACAGGGTTTCTGTTATGACAGAACTAGGGAACTGTCTTATGCAATCTTTGTTTCACAGGCAAAACAAAAACAAACCAAGGCTGACAGGGGTCAAGTGTGTTGCCCAAAATCTCGGGCAGAACCAAGTCTTCTGGTTCCTGAACCTGTCTGGCTTTGATAACTTGTAACACAGAGCACAACTTGTTAGAGTCTTTGCTTCATGAACATCAGCAGCGCCTTGTCTTTTAAATAAGTGTTTCCACTGGCAATTCAAATTCCATTTCTTTCTTTCTCTCACTCTTTCTTTCTTTACTTTCTTTCTCTCTTTCTCTCGCTCTTTCTTTCTCTTTCTTCCTTCTGTCTCCCTCCCTCTCTCACTCTTTTTTTTTTTTTTTTTTTTTTTTTTTTGAGATAGAGTCTCACTCTGTCACCACCCAGGCTAGAGTGCAGTGAGTGGTGTGATCCTATCTCACCTCAAACTCCTGGGCTCAAGCAATCCTCCCGCCTCAGCTTCTAGAGTAGCTGGGACTACAGGTGCGCACCACGTTATGCCTAATTTTTAAATTTTTTGTAGTGATGGGGTCTCACTATGTTGCCCAAGCTGGTCTTCAACCCCTGGGTTCAAGAAACTTTCCTGCCTCAGCCTACTAAATTGCTGGGGTTATAGGCATGAGCCACCGAGCCTGGGCACATTTATTTCTATATTCTTTATAAATCTACATCCAGAATTGAAGCCCCTGAAAGCTGAAGTGGAAGCTATTGGGAGCTGAGCCTGAGCCGCACATCATCAGGCCTGCGGAAGGGGGTGGGGGCTGTGCCGCTCCACCAGGGAATGAGGGACGGGGAGGGAGCACAGATCCCAGGGGTAAGGAGCACAGATTGTGGGGCTGTTCGCAGCGCACTGTCTCCGTGTCACGCCATGCTGGGTCTGGCTAGAACCAGTGCTCTGAAAGCAGGGAAATGAGGAGGGTGGAGATAAAACAGAAATTTCTCAGAGCTTCGTAAACTTCCTATTCTTTTTTTTTGAGACAGAGTCTTGCTCTGTCACCAGGCTGGAGTGCAGTGGCGCCATCTCGGCTCACTGCAACCTCCGCCTCCCAGGTTCAAGCAATTCTCCTGCCTCAGCCTCCCAAATAGCTGGGAATACAGGCACGCGCCACCACGCCCAGCTAATTTTTGTATTTTTAGTAGAGACGGGGTTTCACCACGTTGGCCAGGACGGTCTTGATCTCTTGACCTCATGATCCACCTGCCTCGGCCTCCCAAAGTGCTGGGATTACAGGCGTGAGCCACCATGCCCGGCCAAACTTCCTATTGTTACTGCAGAAAGCACCCATGTCAACGTTGCTCTGAAGTTGAGGGCTGCGTTTCACCCAGCACTTGGGAGAGCATATTAGGGTCCTGCTGTGTTCTGATAGTTTCTCTCCCCAGGGAAAGAAAGCCTTCCACTCACCTTTCATTATTCATCACAAGAGGAATGTTCAGAAGCATCGTGTCACTGAAAATAAACATCCAAAGATCTCTTGCCCAGGGCGGAGTATCTGGCCTGGTCAGTAACTCTAGGTTGCCGTCTCTGTCGATGAATGATATCATGCTCGCCAGCAGAGGGGTGACAGCACCTTGGACCCGCTTCCAGAGGGTGTGCCTGCAGCACAGAAGAGAGATGGGCCACCACGGGTCAGAGGAACCAGAGTGGCGGTCTGCCACCTTTTGACATTTTGTTCCTTCTTGAGCATTAACAAAACAACTAGTCTACTATTTACCACACTACAGCGACAGCAATAACTTGACATTTCCATCATTTTTAAGTCCTAGAAAACAGACTCACAAAGATGTCTAAGATTAGAGACGGAACTGGAATGGAACTTAATTCTACATCTAATAAACTGTCATTAGGTTACTGGAAGGGTGAAGTAGTGTTTGCTTTTTTATTTTTAAAACATGTATGTGAGGGTCTCACTCTGTCACGCCAACTGCGGTGTAGTGACACAATCATAGATCGTCATAACCTGGAATACCTGGGCTCAAACGATCCTCCCACCTCAGCCGTGCAAGTAGACAGGAACAACACACCCAGTGCCACCATGCCCAGCTAATTTTTAAATTTTATTTTATTTTTTGTTGAGATGGGGTCTCACTATGTTGCCCTAGCTGGCTGGTCTCAAACTCCTGGGCACAAGTAATCCTCCCGCCTTGGCCTCCCAAAGTATTGGGATTACAGGTGTGAGCCACCGCACTTATCTGCTTTATTTTTTGCAAGGCTGCATAATTTTTGTATGTAACTATTTTTCAGAACAAGTCATCGAGGTTCTCTAAATAAATAAAATTATGACGATTCATTTGGAAAAAATAAATATTTTAAAAATCTGTTGTAGATAGACTATAATACAGATGAAGAGACCAAAATGAATTTGTCCCAGATCAAACTAAACAAGAAGGCACATGTTTATCTGGAACTAAGTATTTGTTCCTGTTGATGTTTTTGTACACTAGATCTGAGTGTCTGATAGACAGGTGGATGGATAGATGGGCGGACGGACAGATGGGTGGATGGACAGGCAGGCGGAGGGATGGATGAATGCACAGATAGGCAGACAGAAAGATAATTGGTTAACTACAAGACATTTTGTTGTTATATATATTTTGTTGTATATATTTACATGTAACAATAATAGCTCTATTTCAAAATTCTTGTGTAAAGGATAAGAATTAAAAGGTGGCTGGGCACGGTGGCTCACGTCTAATCCCAGCACGTTGGGAGGCTGAGGCGGGCGGATCACCTGAGGTCAGGAGTTCGAGACCAGCCTGGCCAACATGGTGAAATCCCGTCTCTACTAAAAATACAAAAATTACAGTCGTGGTGGCAGGCACCTGTAATCCCAGCTACTCAGGAGGCTGAGCAGGAGAATCGCTTGAACCCGGGAGGCAGAAGTTGCAGTGAGCCAAAATCGCGCCATTGCACTCCAGCATGGGGGACGAGAGTGAGACTCTGTCTCGAAAAAAAAAAAACCCCACAAGGTAATTAATGTTGGGGGAAAAGCGAAGCCTCTCTTTTGAAGAGAATAAAAAGAAATACCTACATTTTTTAAATATATAGTACAGAGGAACCTGGCAAGAATTTTAAAATGTCTATTGGGAAAATAAAGCATCCCAGTGCACAGAGGGAGAAAACAGCAAACTAGGAAAAGTGTCGCGAACACAAAAGGCAGAAGGAAAACCCAGGCGCTGGGACAAGCGCTGGGAGAGGCGGGAGCCGCCGAGCCTGGTTCCGCCCTATCTGGAGCCGCTGAGCCTGGTTCTGCTGTATCTGGACAGGCAGGCAGAGTTCGGGACACAAAGGACTCTCAGGATTTGGGCTGTTTAATCCCGAGAGGGCAAAGGACTCCAGTCCCCAGAACACAGTGGTGGTGAATCGAGGTAGTCAGGGTGCTGCTGGCCCTGGGGCAGGTGAGCTGAGGGTGCGGGTCTGGCCACCACTCAGCGGCTGCGCAGGCCTCACGGTGACCACAGAACACGACGGAGCCAGGCCTAGTGCTGCGTGAACAGCAGAGTGGGGAAGAGCAGACTGAGGAGGTTCAGTGACTCAGGGCTGGTCCCGGGGAGTGGAGTCAGGGATTCAAAAGCATCAACAGGCCGGGCACACTGGCTCACGCCTGGAATCCCAGCACTTCGGGAGGCTGAGGCGAGTGGATCACCTGAGGTCAGGAGTTTGAGACCAGCCTGGCCAACATGGTGAAATCTCGCCTCTACTAAAAATACCAAAAGTAGCTGGGTGTGGTGGTGGGTGCCTATAGTCTCAGCTACTCAGGAGTCTGAGGCAGGAGAATCGCTTGAACCCAGGAGGTGGAAGTTTCAGTGAGCTGAGATCGCATCACTGCACTCCAGCCTGGGCGACAGAGTGAGACTCCGTCTCAAAAAAAAAAAAGCATCAAGAGAGTCCACAAGGAGGAACGGAGGGAAATGAAAATATTTCTGATCTCCTAAAATCCCTTCAGAAGGCGTGACAAGGAGAGAAACGAAGGATAACTAGAGAAAAAGTAGAATCAGAAAATCTCTGGTCACGAGGAAGGTGTCTGTAAGTCCCCATTCCCGTTCACCCCGCTTCTTCTCCTGTAAGCCCCCATTCCCGGTCACCCCGCTTTTTCCTCCATGAGCCCCCATTCCCATTCACCCCGCTTCTTCCTCCGTGAGCCCCCATTCCCGTCCACCCCGCTTCTTCCTCTGTAAGCCCCCATTCCCGGTCACCCCGCTTCTTCCCCCTGTAAGCCCCCATTCCCGTCCACCCCGCTTCTTCCCCTGTAAGCCCCCATTCCCACTCACCCCGCTTCTTCCCCTGTAAGCCCCCATTCCCACTCACCCCGCTTCTTCCTCCATAAGCCCCCATTCCCGTCCACCCCGCTTCTTCCCCCTGTAAGCCCCCATTCCCGGTCACCCCGCTTCTTCCTCTGTGAGCCCCCATTCCCGGTCACCCCTCTTCCTCCGTGAGCCCCGATTCCCATCCACCCCGCTTCTTCCTCCGTGAGCCCCCATTCCCATTCACCCCGCTTCTTCCCCTGTAAGCTCCCATTCCCGTTCACCCCGCTTCTTCCCCTGTAAGCCCCCATTACCGTTCACCCCGCTTCTTCCTCACGTTCCCTCCTGCAGATCACACCTGGCTGTAGGCCCAAAGCGAACCTATCACTGGCACAGAAGCTTGGACCTGGAAGGGGACTCATGGAGGAGTCCGCTGTCTTTTAGAGATGGGAAAACTGGGCCCAAATAACCAAGTCACTGGTTTCTTAGGCTTTCAGGCAGGAGGTCTGAGAGTCTGTCTTAAAGAGACCCTCTGTCTGGGGCCCAGAGCACCCCTCCTTCCTCAATACACGGCCACATCCAAGATAATCAAGGTTAGTCTCATGGGTGACAGAAAAATAACCATGGCAGTGAATATACTGCTGGGTCCTGGTTTTGCTGTTACCATTCTTCAAACAGCAGGACTGGGAAAATCCCGCCTGTCCCCTGCCTGCTCTGCACGTCATTTTAACTTCATGACTGAAAACAGCAGCCCTTTCTAGGGTTATCAACATGAATGTCGGTAAATGTTCTACTCTAAGAACAGATGTTTTACTTTTTTTAAGTTTTTAGTATGAAAAACTGTAAACACGAAATTAGAGGAAGAGTCCAGCACCTGCCATTTGGCCACTGTCCAGACCTACTGTGTGCTTCTTGGGGAAAAACTTTACAGCTTTGAATGGCTGAGAGGTTTGGAAAGAAACAGCTCAGTCCCCATGGCCCGGATGGAGAGAGGATCCCTGCAGGCAGGTCCCCATGCTGCCACCAGATTGGAGCCACTCCTTGCTTCCTTTAGTCACAGTACCTGAATGTGCCCGCCTCCTGGAGAGCGTCCTGGTTGCAGGCTTCCCTTGCCAACCACTCCAGAGGGTGAAACTGGCTCTCTTCTTGCTTCTTTAAAAAGACACTGAGGCGCATCTTGGATACCCGCAAGAAAGAGGCTGTACAAAGGCAGAAACAGACGTTCAGCATGGCCGTGGCTGAGCTGTTGGCTCCGGAGTGCTTCTGTCCCACCTCCCCCAGGAAGGGAAGTCCGTTGGCCAGGCCAATTCTAGAGCAAAATCTGAGAGATGCTCTTAGATTCCCACTGTGTCACTGCTTCTGCTGAGCCATGGAAACCTGAGAGGGTGTCCCCCAACACACAGTGAAATGATGCCCACTCCTCAGGAAGAGCCCACGTGGGGGCAGGGGCAAGAGGGGTGGGGAGGCTCATACCGTGGCACGCGTCATCCTCATTCAAGAGGCCCAGGAGGAGCACCACCCTCCGCATATTGCGCGTGCAGCTCTCGTTCTGGTCTCTGAGCATGCCCACGGCGCTCTGCACACAGCTTCTCAGCAGCCTGGTGGTGTCCAGGATCGACACCTGTTGGTGGAGACGGTTGGGTCATCCGTTTCTGCCACTGACACAGTGGGCAAAAGCCAAACCGCCCGTATGCGATGAGGGTCTCAATGCAGCAAACAGCACAGGGCGGCGGTCCTCACGGACAAAGAAGAGACGCCGACCTCCGCCCTGCACCCCCCAAACTGCCGGTGCAGATGCCCTTGACCCCCAGTAACCAGCAACAAGACCGTCACTGTGTGAGGAAAGTGGGGCGCCATCCTCACCCCTGCACAGCGGCGGCGACTCCTCTAGCTCCCAATGCAAAAGCGTTTAAAGATGCAGCTCAGAAGCATCACCAGCAGCACAAGGGGAGGTCCCAAGAACCAGAACTTACATCACTGCCTCCGAGTTCAGAGGTTTCCTTTCCCACCTTCTCAGAACTTTCTGTTTCCATGGCCTCCTCTGCCACCTCTGCCACCTCCCCTGATGTGCTGGCCTCCGTCTCCATCGCCTCCTCATGGCCGTCTTCCGCCCGGTGTTCCAAGCCCACTGCAGTCGAAGCAAACGTGATTGCGTTACCACTCAGAAGGTGGCACAGGGACTGGCAGCGGTGCCATCTGGGAGTCTGTGTGCTCAGCCTCCGAGTGCAGGCTTCCCCGGCCCCTGCTGTGGTGCTAGGTCCCCAGATGAGAGATCACGGTCATGAAGATCAGCCCCCAAGGCAGCCCCTTCCTTCCAGCCTGGGCTCTGGCGTGTTCTAGGTGCTCACTTCCATGGCTGGCCTGCTCACAGAGCTCTACCTCAGCCTGTGGTAAGCGCACCTGCTCGGCCCTGGTGCTCTATGATGAGCCACCAGTCAGTTCTGCAGATGTGTCCCCGAGCTCCTGCCGAGGGACGAAACACGGTGGCCCTGCTCCTAGTGCCATGTGCACGCCACGCTCCACACCTGCCATCTGCCCTTCCACCACCTGCTCCCCCAGGGGCTCCGCCTCGTGACTCACGCTCAGGCAAGTCTCCGGGCGCGAACAGCTGGCTGATGGTGACATGCTGCAGCCTGGTCACATCAGAAACCATGAGGGTGGATCTCCGGAGGTCATCGATGTGGACAGACTGCCACAGCCCTGTGAAGAGTGAAGCCACCCACAACTGTCTTTGTGTCTTTCCCGGCTGCTGCTCAGCCCTAAGCAGGGACATTGCACACCCTGGCTTGTCATTATCTTGCTGCGCAATGAATGACTGGCACCCTGAAGCCGAAACCCTGGAATGGGCCTGCGCAGAAACCACCCAACCCGATACTATACACGACCCGATTCTATGCCCATCGACAGCTTCACCATAAGCAGCAACGGTAAGACCTGCAATGGCCAGCGTGGGAAGGACGCATGGATAAGGCCTGTGGTTCTTTCACCCATGCATTGTTGTATTTGCTGTATCACAGTTAGTGAGGGGTGGGGGACACTGGCAAGGTCTGCCTTCCATTCTCCACGAAATTATTCAAGTAAACTTACTTTCCTGTTTCTGGAATACCAACTTTTCTATGTCATAAATAGCTGGTGACCATTCCTTGGAAAAAAAGAGATCTGAAGATAGTCCGACCCCCGCCACTCTCCCTCCCCGCCAAACAGGCGTATCGGTGCGTTCCTGACAGTGTCTGTCGGGAGTCGGGAGTCTCCACGCCGTGTGACCTACATGCTAAGAGGTGAGGAGCTTGCCTAGAGTCAGTCCAGGAGAGGTGCACGCAGCCTCCCATCCCAGGATTCATGTTTTCATGGTAATCAGTGGTAAGAAATCTAATTGCATCTGGAAAGAATCCTCTTGAGGTTAACAATAATATTCTAATTTCAGACTGTACAACACAGAACCAAATGAGAAACAGTTCCAACATGACTTAAATAAATACACTGACTGGGCTGGGTGCGGTGGCTCACACCTGTAATCCCAGCACTTTGGGAGGCTGGGGCGAGCGGATCATGAGGTCAACGGATTGAGACCATCTAGGCCAACGTGGTGAAACCCCGTCACTACTAAACATACAAAAATTAGCTGGGCATGGTGGCGCACGCCTGTAATGCCAGCTACTTGGGAGGCTGAGGCAGGAGAATCGCTTGAACCCAGGAGATTGAGGTTGTAGTGAGCTGAGATCGCGCCACTGCACTCCAGCCTGGTGACAGAGCAAGACTCCATCTCAAAAAATAAATAGATACAAATAAATAAATAAATACATAAATAAATACCCTGACTGATGTTCTGATCTCACCTCCGTGGAAGCCCACATAGGCTGTTCCTCTTCCCACCCGGGACAGTTTTGTGATGAAATAGACGAAGATACGGTCCTCATTTTCTCGTATTTTGTTGATTTCATTTATAACAGAATACCTATTTAAAGAAAAAAAAAAGAATACCTATTTTAAAAACAAACACACACACAAAAACAAGCAAATAAACAAAGCAAAGCTGTGCAGCTGCAGAAGGGTGTTCTCCGAGCTGTTGGTTCGGTCTCACGGCCACCCGTTCCGATGAGTTTTACATAAACTTCAGAGCCCTGCGATCGTGATTTCTTCTCTCACAAGGGGATGAGAAATCTTCTCTTAGCGGCTCGTTTTCTTCCCCATTCCTGTGTCCTCTGCTTTGAAGTGGCATTCCTTCGTTGACCAGAAACCCTATCTTGTGCTCCTCAATGGGCCTGCCCCGGTGCAGCTAAGGGTGAGGACAGCTGAACTTTCCATTCCTTCTTTTCTCTTAAGCGATGGGGGTCTTGCTGTGTTGCCCAGCCTGGTCTCAAACTCCTGGCCTCAAACGATCCTCCTGCCTCTGCTTCCCAAGTAGCTAGGATTACAGGAAACAGCCCCTGTACCCAGTGGACCTTTCCATTTCAACAAAGAGTTCTGTGCGCAATGCCATTCCCTTCAGATGACCAATGGCCAAAGCCAGTTTCTTGTTGAGATTTAAGCCACGAACTGAAATATGGCATCCAATGCTTCAAAAAGGTCCAGAAATCACTTTTACTTTAAGTAATAAAGGCACAAAGTTAATTCTAAGAGCATCAGACTTCCCCTACAAACACTATAAAAATATCCAATAAATAGGAAAAAAAGCATTTACCTACTGTTGTTTCCCTCGAACTTGAAATAAATTCAAATTGTATAATTCAAAATTAATAATGACCAAAACATGTCTACAAACACAGGCTTCAAAGGCATCCTTTTATAGCTTGTTAATGTTCCATTATTTACACCTCTCGCATTTCACCTTTTTTGTGGGGAGGACAGGCTCTTGCTCTGGCCCCTAGGCTGGACTGCAGTGGTGGGATCGCAGTTCACTGCAGCCTTGACCTCCCAGGCTCAAGCGATCCTCCCACCTCAGCCTTCTGAGCAGCTGGGACTAGAGGTGCACTGTGGAAGGCTAATTATTTTATTTTTTTAGAAATGAGGTCTTGCTCTGTTGCCCAGGCCCATTCCACTATTTTTGTAATGTTATTGGCCTTTTCTTTTTGTCTCTCTTCAGTTTCCCTAATCCCACTTGGGGGAATGAGGCGGGGGAAGAATTGTTATTTTTATTTCTATACTGATTATGATACTATACTGTCTTCAAGGAAAAAATTCTCTAGGACTTCCTACGTTTTGGGTTTTTTACATAGTTTCTGAGAAAAATACTAAAAACATACTTAGCTGAGGCAATGAGCTGGGCGCTACGGATTCCATCTTCAAAATCTGTCTGAAAAATGAGGATTTTACATTTGGCTGTATTCGTTAAACAGTTTCTGAAAGAAAAGGGAAGTTATTCAAGTGAGTTCTCTGTCTTAAAAAAATGGAAAAGAAAATTCCCCAAAGTGATGGGAAACATAAAGGCTACAAAGAAACAGCTACTCAGGTAGGATTTTCTTCAGTAAGAACAGATAGTCCAGGGGAGGAAACCCAAGGAATGCCTCCTAACGAGGTCCGAGGATGGTGCTCTCGGAGGAGGATGTTAGGCCAGACACCGCGTTGCAGAAGATGATGGAGATGAGAGGGATGCTGGGAGAGATTTAACAAGGATCTATTTCACAGTCACGTGACTGTGGCGCTCATTAACCGGCGCGGGTACCATCGCCACGCAGAAGCCACACGGCTGCGGCTGGGGAGGGAGAGGGCAGCAGGGAAGGCAGGGAACCTCACCGGACTTCTTTGAGGAATGAGTACTCGGTGTCAAACTGCTGCAGCCACAGGAGTGTGGGTTTCGGAGCCCTGCCTGTGACCTCTGATTCTAAAATTTCACAGTCGTGACTTGTTAGCAGCCTGGAGAAAGTGGTGATCTACAGAGTTAAGAAATGCAAATTACTTGCCAGACTTCAAGGAAAGGTTGCAAGTCTGCTGCCAGGTTTAGACAGATCCTAGAAACCTGCGATGTTCAGCGCGGTGCAGTTGCCACACAACGGCACAGAATCCAAACCCAAAGGAGTTTCCCAAAACACGGCAGCGCTGGGGCCGAGAGGCCCTACAGGGCCAAAGGCATTGGAGAGACGACCCCACCCTGCCCCGAGGGTGCCTTCCTCTCCTCCCCAGAGGCCCGTGTCTCTGCCTGCTTGGTCCGTACTTGAGATTCTCATGATCCCTTAGGGCTCAGCACAAATGCCATTTCCTGTTATAGTACGACTCATGCTTTCAGATGGAGTTCGTGGTTGGTGCTGTCCCCTTCCCCCAGATGTCAGCAATTCTCCTGTCCCAAAGGTCACTCCCCCATCACAGTGCAAGTCGAAACGTTCCTCGAGGCCTGCTGCTCTAGCCCAGGAATCCCTGCCTCACCACTGAGCTCAGATTCCTACGTCCAGCTGCACGATGCATAGAAACCTGTCCCCGGCGGACATCATCACTAGCCTCCCACAACCTGCTGTCCGTTCCTGCGGTATCTGTCATGATGAAGCAATGTCCACTCATCTAAGGAGGAATCCAGGGGGTCGCCCCGGACCCCTCCACCCCCCATCCCCCCACTGGGTGGTGGTATTGGCCCTGCCAAATTGCCTCCTGAGTATCTCTCGGTTCCATCTGCTCCTCTCCTTTGTACGGTTCCAGCGGCCTCCCTACCGGCCCGTCTTTTCCACAACAGCCTTTCATCAGACTCCCTTCACCCAGCCAGGGAGACAAGCGTGCCTCCAGTGCCCGCTCCATAGGGCTGAGATGTGGCTCTGCAGAGTCACTGAGGGCCTCCAGTAGTTCTCTCTGACTGCACCTCATCGCCCCATCTCAGCACTACAGCCTTGAACCCTAAGAGCTGTCAGCGGCTCTGCCCACAGAAGGCCCTCAGCCTACAATCCCTTCCCGGCCATTCTTCCCCATCGGCGAGGGGCTTCTCCTAGGGAACATCTCATCTGAGCTCGCATCCTGGTCTGCACCGCTCCCCGCTGCCTCTAAGCACAGCATTTATCATATGATATTGATGGCATCTGTTCATGTGCTGGTCTCTCCATGCTCCCTAATGCTAACAAAGGACAAGGGCTACAGATTCATCTGTGCGTCCCTAGTGCCCTTGGCCCAGTCCTGGGACGTGGTACTTTATTTGTTGGTGTGAACACTGTGTATGGTGCTGTTACCAGCATGGTGCACTGCACAGAGCCAGGCACTCAGCACCTGGTTAACTGGACCTACTCCCCACACTTACCGCGGAGGAGAGCTCAGCGTCTCAGCATCTCCCTGCAGGATCCCTAACCGCTGCCTGGGGAAGAATCTTGAATCCTGACACGAGGGATTTAGGACTCTTGGGTGACAGGGGATAGGGTACAAGTGCAGAAAGACAATCACCTCTGTGAAGATGGCGTGGCGCTCCAGGTCTGCCGTGTGCAGGTGTGCCTGAAGGAAATCTGCAAAGGAGTTGTGCCTCTGTCTGTGAAAGTACTCCTGCGACAGCCACTCCGCTGCGAACCCGCCCAGCGAGTAGGCGCTCAGCCGGACCACGGCATCGGGCGTAGCGCAGTTCAGCAGGATCGATTTGGCCTCCTCAGACACCTTCTGGTGAAGTTCCTCCGTCAAGGCCCGGGGACCCTGCCTCTCTATGACCTGCAGCACCACAGACGCGCAGGCGTCCGAGTGGTAGCCGATGAAGACGTCAGAGGGGCTGTATTTGTGCCTCTTCTGGAAATGATGTGCTTTGACATTGATGAACTTCTCCACCCACGCACAGAGCTCCTCCACGATGCTCTTCTGCCATTTCTCCAGCACCGTGTTGATATCCAGATAGTGCTTCTCCAGCCGGTTAATGAGGGGGATGGGAAAGTGTTTGTACACGACGTCTTTCTCTTCAATGACAATCAGGCGGAAGTTGGGGTGAACCCGACATTTGACGCGGTGGGTCCCCAGACCGAGGTCCACGTACTTCTGGCCGCCGAGGTGGACGTAGTACTGGTTGAGTGCGTCGTAGAGGCTCTCGTAGAGGTTCTGCAGGTTGAGAAGCAACACCATCTTGCCTGTTTCCATGCAGATCTTCACACGATTGATGTTTCTGCAGAGCTGGGTGTACTCTTGGTCCTTGGGGAAACCAGAACCAAAAATAATCTCCGGCTGCTGGTCCCCCTCGAAGAATGTCTGCTGCAGGATCTGCAGTGCCACGTAGTTTTTGGTCAGCACGAGTAAGTAGCGGGACTCAGCATCTTCCTGCTCTCCACCCGGCACCTTCTGAGAAGGCCCAAAGATGTTCTGTTTGATCAGCTGCATGGGGCTGACTTCCTCTGAGCACTTGGCCTCGGGCAAATTGGCCAGAAAGATGTCCAAAGCTTGGATGTCATCCTTGCCACTGAAGTTCCTAAGGACAGCCTGTGCAATGTCTTGCGGGGAAGGCTTTCTATTTGAAGCCTTTGCTGCAGCAAAGACCATTTTGATGAGGCTGTAGTAGTCACGAAGCCCGAAGAATTCCTTGTCCTGGCGCTTACACACCGTTTCGTAGGCTTTGGCAAAGGACGCAAAGTACCCTTGGACTCGGTCCTGGACGAGGATGTCTGAGGAGCAGATGCCCTTGGCGCTCTCTATGAGCTCTGTCTCGTTGGGGCTGCCACGTGACACAAAAATGCCCCGGTTCATCTTGGCAGGGTCAAGGGCCCAGTTGGAGATGCCCACGAAGCCGACCTTTTTGTGGGGGGCGGGATCGTCTTCAATGCATCCGTCTTCCAGCAGCGGGTGCAGAGTCTTCAGGGGCATTTTGGGTGAGTCTTCCGCCAGCCCCACCTCATCTAACACCACCACAGAGACGTACTGCTGCAGGTCCTTCCCCTGCTGAAAGCGGGCGCACTGCCGGAAGGTGCTGATGATGCCCTGTGGGGTGGAGTGCGGGCTGCACTGGAAGGACACCAGGTGGACCTGCTTCAGGCTGCGGAAGAGATCTGAGTAGGCAGCCGGGCCCTGCATGGCGTCTGCCACGATGGTCTTGGCGAGAGACTTGGAGCTGCCGGGCTTCCCCACCAGGAAGAGGGGAATCTTCAGCTCGATGCAGACGACCATCATGAAGACGTTCTCCTTCAAGGCCAAGTTCTTGGCGATGGTTTTCCTCAGAGGTACGCCGTCCAGAAAAAGATCCTGTGCCCGTGTTATTTCATCCAGAAGCAGCCTGCTGTCGTCATACGGTTTCGGAAAGAACCTGGCGATGGCTTTCCGATATGAGTCTTTCTTTTCTAAAGAGGCATGGTAACACACCCCGATGGCCAGCATCAACGACCAGAGGACGGGATCTCTCTCGGTGTGATTTTTGCTGACGCTGGACTTGGAGAGAAAGGCATTCAGCTGCGCTAAGAGCATCGCGCTGTGCTCGTGGAACCACCTGAAAACTTTCACACAGCGCTCCACGTCCCTGAGGCTGACAAAGCTGCACTCATCTTCTGTTTTCCTCATGAAACCCTGAGAGGCGCAGAGGACTTCTGTGATCACGCGAGTCCCGTTTTCATCTAGGCTGATGGACTCAACCAGTCTCTGGACAATCTGCTGGATGTAGAGCTTTTCAGCAACGTCACTCAGTTGTCCAAAGTCCCACACCAGAGGAATCAGGCTCGGGGGCAGAGCATGGACCCGGTATACCAGCTGCCTCAGAGGAATGGAGCCCAGCCTGTCGGCCGTCTCCTCCATACTAACCCTGTAGCCCAAACCAGCTGACTCCAAACGGCAGATCATCTCCTCAGAGTGCTTCCGGTATGGATTGCAGGCAGCTATAATATGCAGGCCAGAGTCCTCAGCCAGAGGCTGGCCATCCACCATATGATCACACAGGACTTCTTTGATACAGCTTATAGCTTCCGTTGTGTTGGCTTCATCAAAAAACAAGATGGTGTCCAACTGATGTTGGTCCTTATTGGCGAAGGCCACATTTTCAGCCTCCCTGACTCTGGAGTAGATCATGTCTGCAGTTGTTCCTCCGTGCACCTTGACCAGCTTTATGGTGTCAGCATTGGTACCACCACGCCGCAGGTCGCTAAGGAATTTAATAAGCCTGGTTTTCCCACAGCCAGTTTCTCCCATGATGATAACCGGGATCCCACACCGGAACCGCATCTCGATGGCAAGGATTTTAAGCATATTGTCGGTTGTGAGCTCATACGTTTTGTCGGGGTCGGTGGCCTGGGGGATCCCTAAGGTCAGGCAGAGCCTCTCAAGTTTCTTGTGTCTGGGCAGTTTATCAAAGTCGACATTGAAGGGCACCCTCTGGAGCAGCAGGCCCTGGTACAGGTCCCTGGTCATGACGTCTCTCTTGATGACCTTCCCAGTCAAGTGACTGATGGCATCGACACTGCCGTTGATGTTGGGCTGCAGATGGAAGCCGATGAATGTCATGGTTGTGTGGTCGTCATTGAAGAAAACGTATGGGTGAGGCTCCGACTCCCACCTCTTCCGGAGGGAGAAGGGCGCTAGATCTTCTTCCCTAACCCCATCCATGGTGACCATGTGCTTCCCCGGGCTTTGGTCAGAGGTGTGGAGTGATGGTGTGGCAAAATCTCTTGCCATAAAGATCATGAAGGTCACCACGAACTTCTTGAAGCCCCTCAGTGTGTCGCCAATAAAACTCGGATTGCAGAAGAGAGAGGCCTCACAATCTCTGAGCTGATAATTCAGGAACCGAGCAAAGTTCCGAAGCTCTGACCAGGATGGGTTTATTACCCCGCAGTGAAACAGGAAATGCTGGAGGCATTCCTCCGGGGTGCCTTCGACAGAGCCTTCTTGATACTGAAACGTGTCTAGGTCTTGGTTTTGATTGAATCGTCTTAAATACTGGTAAGGTCTTTGGAAAGTTTCGCTGCAGAACTCCCACAGATCCATCCCAGGCTCTGTGTCACTCCTCAGGGCACTCAGCTCCATGTCTATCACCTCTTTGGGAGGCCTGCAGGTGACTTTTGGGAAGATGTCAAGAAAACTGAACTGGGGTACACGTGTACGCTGGAAAGGAGAGACATTAATGAAATGGTTACAAGAAGACTTTCTAAGAAATGCTTTTGTGTCTTAACCCTCCACGTTATCTATATTGGATGGACCTTTATGAAAAACGCACTGAAAATATGTAGCTTTCTGTATAGTCTTTTTTTCCACAGCATATCTTTTGCACATTAAGTAAGGCATTGCTGTGGGAGCTGCGTTCTGAGCCAGGAAATCACTTTCTAACCCAACTTCCTGAAACTAAGTTTCTCCACTAAGCTATACATGTATTATGTATGTGAGTGAACATAAAACTCTCTTTTGCTAAGAAATTTTTGACAAACATCTCCTTCTCATCTTAGCTGGCATTAGGAAAGGTGAGGTCTTTCAACAGATGAATTTCCTAGATTCAGAGCACAGCTGGGATTCAGACTGGGCATACAGCATGAAGCCTGAATTGAACAGAAATATTGAAGACACTGCTAATTAACAGAAGAGTACTTTTATCCCAGACATGATTAAAAAGTGAGTTTAAAGATGGGCTTTTCTTTACTAACACTGCATTCAGCTGCTGCACTAAGTAAGGCAAAGATGTGGAGTCTCCTAAACGCGCCATTCCACTTCAGTAAGACCAGAAAGAACCCAAGAGCCCCCCACGCCAGGCGAAAACGCCCCACAGTACAGACCAGCGCTGAAGAGCTCCTCGACGGCACTGACGTCCTCCTTTCCAGGATTTCAACGATATACAAATGGCAGGGGTTCCGAAGCCACATTTTCCCATTTATATCCATTAAGTATTGTAAAATGAGGAGCTTGAAAAGAAACACCCAAATTCCAGTCTGCACCTAAGAACAGAATCGCACGAGGTGTAAACACACGACACGATGGCGAGTTCTCCCAACTCTAAGTAACCCCTCCTTATTTTGCTCTTTGTCACGATGATCCTGATGATCAACATCAACATTTCAGCCAACAACGGCCCATGTCTCCAAGGGCAGCCCCATAAAATCCTAATACTATATTTCCCTGTACCATTTTTATGTTTAGACACATAAATACACCGTTTTACAATTGGCTCCAGGATTCAGAACAGCCATATGCAGCACAGGTTTGCGGCCTAGGAGCGACAGTGTGTACCATAAAGCCTGTGTGTGCAGTGGGCTCTACGTCTAGGTTAGTGTAAGCGCACACCATGACGTTCACACAAGGAGGAAACTGCCTGACAACACACTTCTCAGAGCACATTCCCACTGTTAAGCTTCACAGGACTGTGCGTGTGGAAACAAGGAATTCTATACACGGGGAGGAGTCACGCAGAGACATGGGGACCACGTCTTTACTGATGTGGCCATCGGCTGACGCTGGAGGGCACTTACTGAGGAGGTCACGTCCAGGTGAAAGAGCACGGGGACCTTCTGATACTGCGCATCCAGGAAGGGCAGCAGGGCGCCCAGGACTCGGCTCTCATCCACCTGAGGGTCGATCAGTCGAATTGTTTTCAGAGGCACATTTTTCACGTTTAACTGCATCTTCATTTTGTCGTGCAACCTCTTCACGTACAGAGACTTTCCTATAACATTAATACAGAAATTAGGGCTGGGAGTGGTGGCTCACACCTGTAATCCTAGCACTTTGGGAGGCCGAGGCGGGGGGATCACTTGAGGTCAGGAGTTCAAAGCCAGCCTGGTCAACGTGGTGAAATCCCGTCCCTACTAAAAATACAAAAAAATTAGCCAGGCGTGGTGGCAGGCACCTGTAATCCCAGCTACTCAGGAGGCTGAGGCAGGAGAATCGCTTGAACCCGGGAGGCGGAGGTTGTAGTGAGCTGAGATTGCACCACTACACTCCAGCCTGGGCATCCCTTAAGACATCCCTTAGGGTGCAGTTGTCATCGTTAGGGTGACAGAGCGAAACTCTGTCTCAAAAAATATATATATATAATATATATATACATACAATATATATATAATATATATATACATACTATATATGTATATATAGAATATATATAGTATATATGGAAGTATATAGAATATATATTATATATGTAAAAATATATAGAATATATATAGAAATCTATATAGAATATGTATCGAATATATATAGTGTATGTATATACAGCATGTGTGTGTATATATATAAAAATAGAGAGAGAGAGAGAGAGAAAAATTAAGTCCCAGGGCTAGGACAAAGAGTAAGAGAATCTATAAAGATCCACTAGAAGTTACTTCTCTTTGTATAAAATTCAAAACTGATGCAACATAACATCAGATTCAAGAATACGCTCTTGAACCTTCACATTTCCCAGCCGTTACCTACTCACTCTCCTGGTCACCTCCTGCCTCCGCAGGACAGCAGGCAAAGCAGAGTCCCGCGCCACTTAGCACTAGGGACACGTTCTGAAAAATGCATTGTGAAATGATTCTGTCACTGTGAACATCAGAGTGTGCCTGCAGAAACCCAGATGGTAGAGCCGACCACACACCCGAGCTAGGTGGAATAGCCCATTGCCCCTGGGCTGCAAGCCGTGACAGCATGGGGGCATCCTACATACAGTGGGGAGCTGTGACACGGGGCAAATATCTGAATATCTAAACATATTCAGGCCAGGCACGGTGGCTCAGGCCTGTAATCCCAGCACTTTGGGAGGCTGAGGCGGGTGATCACTCAAGGTCAGGAGTTTGAGACCAGCCTGGCCAACATGGTGAAACCCCATCTCTACTAAAAACTAGTCAGGTGTGGTGGCGTGTGCCTGTAGTCCCAGCTACTCAGGAGGCTGAGGCAGGAGAATCGCTTGAACCCAGGAGGCAGAGGCTGCAGTGAGCCGAGATCGTGCCATTGCACTCCAGCCTGGGCAACAGAGTGAGACTCCATCTCAAAAATAAAAATAAAAATGTAGAAAAGGTACAGTAAAAAATATGGTATTATAATCTTTTGTTCTTTCTTTCTTTCTCTTTTTTTAAAAGACCAAGGCCTTGCCCCGTTGCCTAGGCTGGAGTGCAGTGTCGTATTTGCAGCTCACCACAGCCTCGACCTCTTGGGCTGGAGCGATCCTCCCAAGTCAGCCTTCCTAGTAGCTGGGATCACAGGCATGCACCACCATGCCTGGCTAATTTTTAAAGTACAGTTTTCTAATCTTATGGGACCGTGGTCATATACGTGGTCTGCTGTTGACTGAAATGTCATTATGTGTTGAGTGACTAGCTAATAAAAGTCACAGCAAAAGGAGAGGCTTCAGCAGGGAGGGGAAGAGTAATGTTTATCCCAACAGGACGAGGTACTGTTGATAGGATAAAGTCAACAGAACAGAAGCTACTATTTCTTTTTAAGGGAAACAAGATGGCAAACGAAGGGTGGGTCAAGAGGCATGGCTTTCTCTTCAATTCTACCTCCCCTTGCTCACACGACCAACATCAACCCCAAAGAGGCCAGTGGCATTTAAGGGCAGAAGAAGTAAACTTCAGGCCGGGCGTGGTGGCTCACACCTGTAATCCCAGCACTTTGGGAGGCTGAGGTGGGCGGATCACCTGAGGTCAGGAGTTTGAGACCAGACTGGCCAACATGGTGAAACCCTGTCTCTGCTAAAAATACAAAAATTAGGCCGGGCACGGTGGCTCATGCCTGTGATCCCAGTACTTTGGGAGGCCGAGGAGGGCAGATCATGAGGTCAGGAGATCGAGACCATCCTGGCTAACACGGTGAAGCCACATCTCTACTAAAAATAAAAAAATTAGCTGGGTGTACTGGTGCATGCCTGTAGTCCTAGCTACTTGGGAGGCTGAGGCAGGAAAATCGCTTGAATCCGGGAGGCGAAGGTTGCAGTGAGCCGAGATCACGCCACTGTACTCCAATCTGGGCAACAGAGTGAGACTCTGTCTCAAAAAAACAAAAAACAAAAAACAAAAAAAAATAAATTAGCCAGGGATGGCGGTGGGTACCTGTAATCCCAGCTACTCAGGAGGCTGAGGCAGGATAATTGCTTGAACCCAGAAAACGGAGGTTGCAGTGAGCTAAGATCACGCCACTGTACTCCAGCCTGGGTGACAGAGCAAGACTCTGTCTCAAAAAAAAAAAAAAAAAAAAAAAAAAAAACCACAAAGTACACTGCAGAGATGTTTGCTGAGAGGAGGAAGGGAATGGGGCTCCCAGGGAATACCCATTGTGGGAGACCAGGTGACCAGGGTGCCTGGTTCTGGCACAGACCCTGATTGACACCCACAGATGAATCACACCCTCCCTGAGCCTCGGTTTCTCCACCTGCAGACAGGCTTCATCTGCTGGAGGGGGGAAGGGCCCCGGGCAGTCCCTGGGAGACGGGGCCTGCCCACCCTGCCGCTCTCCTTACCAACACCTGCTCGCTCCGAGGCCACGATCCCAACACACAGCCGGTCATTGAACACGGCTGCCGCCGACAGGGTCTGCTTCGGGACCCGGTAGTGACCTGCCAGGTAGGCTTGGATGGCCTCGAGGGGTGCCTGGGGGGTGACGAAGACCTTGTGCTGGCTGAAGGCAGAGGGGAGGTAGCAGTGCTCCCAGTCCCCATCACAGACCATGACGAGCTGGTAGTCTTCTCGGTGCTGCTGCGTGCACAGATTGTGGAAAAGCTCCTCCGCTTGGCGTGCCACCTCGTAGCTCAGCTGATCTGCGAACAGCAGGCTGTAGACCTTGTGCCCCAGGGAGCCCAGGGTCAGGCAGCGGCGCAGCAACAGTGCCACCTCCTCAAAGGTGGTTGCCGGGGTGCAGAGCAGCACCTCATCGTAAGTGGGCAGGGGCTGGCTTGGGGTTTGCATGTAGACAGCCAGGGCGGCTGGCAACACCTCGGAGTGGCCACAGACGACGAGGTTGGGCTGGCCGACCTGCAGACCTCTCGGGAGACAACGCTCCACGGGAGACCCACCCATCCCTGCCAGGTGAGCCAGACAGTGGCCAAGGGTCTCTAGGTCGAGGCAGTCGGGCAGGAAGGCAGGAAGGCACCTCATGGACTGCTCCATGATGATCCTCAGCTTGTCCACCAGGCTGAACTCTGATAAGAGCATCAGCGGGAGCTCTTCCATGACTCTCCTCATGCGGTACCTGGCGGCCTCACTCCCACACCCCACAGAGGCCCTTAAGACATCCCTCAGGGTGCAGTTGCTTTTGATGAAGGATAGCATCGTTAGGGCGGCATCACTCGGGGGCTGCTTCCTGAGCTCAGTGCTCAGGTAAACCAGCTGCTCTGCCGTGTAGAAGTTCAGGTAAAAGTGCTCCATTCGCTTCTGGGTCACAAATCTCTTCCAGCTGTCAAGGAAGTGCTCCATCTGCCTGCAGAGGGCTGCCAGCAGCTCAGTGACATCTCCACCTTCTTTAAGCTCCGTCACCAGGTCCAAGCCAAAGTCCATTTGGAGGGACACACCCTGCTTGGGGGAGCAGTAGGCCATGGCGATCCACGTCCTGAACAGCATATTCCCAGCAGAGTGCAGGTCGATGAAGGCCTGGCTGAGCCTCTGCACACTGCAGAAGACCTGGAGAGGCAGAACCATGAGGTTGGCTCACAGAGCCATGCGAGAGGGTAACACGCTACTCTGCAACAGCACACAGGCCTACCGCCAAAAGACGGCCCTGTCCACAGGCCCACTGCATGATCTGCGCTCACAAGGCCTCCCTCCTCATCTACACAACCCACCTGAGAAGATGGCACTCTCATCAGGGAAAGAGTCATTGTAGAGATAAATGGTATCATTTGTTTTAATTTTTTTTTTTTTTTAATTTTTTTTTGAGATGGAGTCTTGCATTGTTGCCCAGGCTGGAGTGCAGTGGTGTGATCTCGGCTCACTGCAACCTCTGCCTCCTGGGTTCAAGCAATTCTCCTGCCTCAGTCTCCGGAGCAGCTGGGATTACAGGCACGTGCCACCATGCCCGGCTAATTTTTGTAATTTTAGTAGAGATGGGGTTTCACCATATCGCCAGGCTGGTCTCAAACACCTGACCTCAAGTGATAGGCCCGCCTCGGCCTCCCAAAGTGTGAACCATGATGCCTGGACTGTTTTAATTTTTTTAAATTATCTTTTTTTTTTAATTGGGAAAAAAAAAAACCTTATACTTTTTGAGACAGGGTCTCGCTATGTTGCCCAGGCTGGTCATGAACTCCTGGGCTAAAATGAGCCTTCCACCTTGGGCTCCCAAAGTGCTGGCTTTACAGGTGTGAGCCACTGCACCCAGCAGAGATAAAGGATACCATTTGTAAAGTACAAATCAACTTTAGAGAAAGAACCTATAATAAAATTGAGAGACTATTACTTAGACCGGTACACCATTCTCAATATGATTACTTCTGTTTTGTCCATCTAAATCTTAGTTATTTGGATTCTTGCTGATTTACAGAGTGAGAGAGGCAATTCAAGTGTCTTTCTAAGGGCTATTTGCTGGGTGACCAACCTCCTTCTCAGTGCGGTGGACAGGCTGCCAGCTTCAGCGTTCATCCTACGGATCGTAAGGAGGGACTGCTAACCCAGGGGCCTGCCTGCCTTAAGACCTCTCTGGGGCCGCGGACTAGAGTTCCATGCACCCTACAAATGTGCCAACTCTACTCTCCATGGGCCTAAGAGCAGAGCCCTTCTTATCAGTCAAATCCCAAGTCAAATCCTTTCCGTTTTCTTGGGAGTACACAGCCCTCACGGACGAGATGACACCACCAGCTTAGCGCCACTGCAAAGATGCGCCCTCACCTCTGAAAACCTCTCCACTTCCGTGTTGTTACGATCCTTCTTGCCAGACATCAGCATCAACTTGTTCAAAAGCTCCTTCACCTCCTCTAAAGAGTACTCTCGTGACTCCTCGTGGCTGCCAGGGCTCTCAGGAAGGATCAAGTGCAGAACCGTGTCTGGGGAAATCTGTGAAGAGCATAGGTTAGAAGTCACTTTCTTGGGGCCAGAAGACCTGGACTGGCAGCAGCCTGCAGAAGGGCCGCAGCTGCGCCGAGGGCTGGGGACCGCTCACCTTTTGGCCACCTTTGGGCGCCTGGATCACATAGATGCCTCTTTGGTTGATGGCCGTGGCCAGGGTCAGGGATGAGCGTTCCACAGACCCATGACTCTCATTCACAGTCTTCAGCCATTCCAAGTTCCTGGCGGAGTCACACTATGGGGACAAAAGGAGAGAACACGGGCCACGGTTGGAGCGAGGATCTTGCCCTTCTCCCTCCTGTGGTCGGCCTCCCGCCTCTGCCTCGCTGCAGAGCCTTCTCCCCACGCTTCCCCAGGGCTCAGGACGCAGTCGCCCACCCAGCGCCCCAGCTGGACCAGGTGCCACCCTGACAACATGATCTGTCACTCAGTGCTGCTTTGTACTCGCTGTTCCACGTTTCCTCCAGTGCCTGGTGCCCCGGCTGGCACATGGGGGCACTTGACTTACATCTGTGGAGGAGTGGAGGGGAATGAGCAGCCGCCCGCCTGCCTCTCTACCAGACGCCATCATTCTGCCAGGTCCCCAATGCAGAGAACCCTCTGGGGGTGACGCTGGAAGCAATGGCTGTGGAGTCCCAAGTCCTCAGTGTCCTTCTGTGGTCCCCAAGTACAATAAGAGAAGTTTAGGAAAAATCACAACAGAGGGTTTTGTTTGGAAACTCTGCTGACTTTCTAGCAGAAAAATGAAGATAGCTTTACCTGCCCTTCCATATGTCACTTCTTCCTCCACCCACATGCAGAGCAGCCGTCCGGAGGCTGGCCCAGGTATCTAGTTAAGCTGCGTACGTCAATTCAGACCCTGCTACAGGTAGTTTACTTAAACTTAAATGTTTACTTTTTTCTTTTCTTTTCTTTTTTTTGAGACAGAGTCTCACTTTGTCACTCAGGCTGGAGTACAGTGGTGTGATCTCAGTTCACTGCTATCTCTGCCTCCCGGGTTCAAGCAATTCTGTCTCAGCCTCCAGAGTAGCTGGGATTACAGGCGCACACCACCATGCCTGGCTAATTTTAAATGTTTACTTTTTTCTGATAAAAAATTCTATCAATTATAGAAAATAACAAAAAGTAACAGAATAAAATGACAATTACAACCATTCAGAGAAAACTCCTGGCAACGTTTCAGCATATTTCCCTTCTGTCTTTTTTCCACGTGTGTTTTGCACCTTAGAGATTACTATGTGTCATGTAATTTTGTATCCTGCTTTCTAGGTAACAAGATGGTGAATTTCCATTTATGAAGAAAAGCTTTTTAAATATCATTGAAAACGGCTGTGTACAAACCTACCACACAGGTGTGCCACCATTTCCACAGTCACTGCCCTAACGTTGCTAAGCAATGCTCTATTCAACAAAATCTGCATTAGAGACAGAATAAGACTCACCAGTTTCCTGGGCAGGTACTGGTCCTTATCCAGAGCCTTCCACAGCTTTTTCAGATGCTTCATGAATGCACTGAAGTCCACGCTGGGGTCCAGCTTAAATAGCAGGGATGCGTAGCCCTGCACAGCGTCATGGAAGCAGGCCACCCGGTCCACATCAATGTCATTCTCCCCCGCTGAGATGGAGGCCAGGTCCACAAACACCTTCAGCTCATTGATGCCTGGGGAAGAGAAGAGGGGAGTTCAGCGTGGGACTATTCCACGATAGCACAAGACTCGGTCTTGGGCAGTAATCCTTACTGAAGCTGAAATGGATATTTCATGAATTTTTAAGGTTCTGTCCACTTTCTGCTTTCAGTAAGAGTCCGGAACACCTAATCTTTTGTAGTTTTTTTTTTTTTTTTTGAGACAGAGTCTCACTCTGTCACCCAAGCTGGAGTGAAGTGACATGATCTCGGCTCACTGCAACCTCCACCTTCCAGGTTTAAGTGATTCTCTTGCCTCAGCCTCCCGTGTAGCTGGGATTACTGGCGCCCACCACCACGCCTGGCTAATTTTTTGTATTTTTAGTAGAGACCAGGTTTCACCATGTTGGTCAGGCTGGTCTCCAACTCCTGACCTCAGGTGATCCACACGACTTGGCCTCCCAAAGTGCTGAGATTACAGGTGTGAGCCACCACGCCCAGCCTGTACTGTCTGTTAATAGCACTAAACGATATCTTGCCGTTCCTGAGCAATTTCAATGTCCCAGGCACTGTACTGCACTTCTGTGTATGCTCTTTCCTTCAATCCACACAACATTACCATTTAAACAAAAAGAAACCAAGGCTCAGCTGTAAATAACATGTTCACAATTAACTATGAAACACTCAGATCATTCCCCTCAGATAAATTACTCACTGAAGGATGTGCATCAGTGTGGACCAGAGAGTCCACCACTGAAAGCAGCGGCTCTCCCAAGAGAGCCAGAGCCTGAGATCCAGCAGGTGGTGGCCCCCAGACCCCCGAGCACACCTGCACTGCCACCTGTGCCCCTCCTGCCTCCTCTGCCTCTTCCTCTCTCCTCTGCCAACGACATCTAAGCCACAGAACTGAAGAGGCTGCCAAGAAACGCACAGCATCAATGGAGAAGTGAGAAAAATCTCTCTGTGGGGCCAGGCGCGGTGGCTCACGCCTGTACTTGCTCACGCCTGCACTTTGGGAGGCTGAGATGGGTGGATCACCTGAGGTCAGGAGTTCAAGACCAGCCTGGCCAACACGGTGAAACCCCATCTCTACTAAAAATACAAAAAAGTAGCTGGGTGTGGTGGCGGGCGCCTGTAATCCCAGCTACTCAGGAGACTGAGACAGGAAAATCGCTTGAATCCAGGAGGTGGAGGTTGCAGTGAGCCGAGATTGCACCACTGCACTCCAGCCTGGGCAACAAGAGCGAAACTCCGTCTCAAAAAAAAAAAAAGGCCAGGTGCAGTGGCTCATGCCTGTAATCCCAGCACTTTGGGAGGCCAAGACGGGCTGATCACGAGGTCAGGAGATCGAGACCATCCTGGCTAACACAGTGAAACCCCGTCTCTACTAAAAACACAAAAAATTAGCCGGGCGTGGTGGCGGTCGCCTGTAGTCCCAGCTACTCGGGAGGCTGAGGCAAGAGAATGGCGTGAACCCGGGAGGCAGAGCTTGCAGTGAGCCAAGATCACGCCACTGCACTCCAGCCTGGGCGACAGAGCGAGACTCTGTCTCAAAAAAACAAACAAACAAAAAAAAAAAACCTCTCTGTGGGCAGGAACTCTCCTTGTCCTCCAGTAAAAATCTACTGGAAGAAAAAGCTGAAGGGGGCAAGATTTTAAGGAAAAGGAACCTGAGCCATTTACAGCTTCCGAAGTGGCGGGGTGTGGCAAGGTGAGTGGCTTTTACAGCAGCACATGGGAAATACTGTACCGGTGTGAACTCTATGATCAGTGCCCATCTCCCTAAAGCATGCAGGCAACGTCTTTCTGCCCTTTACGTAGTCCTTGGCCAAGGGGAGGTATTGCCAAAGAGTTTAGGAACGCCACACAGTGCGCCATCTGAAAACTTTCTCCACACTTCCACGCAACCCCAAAGGCTGATTTTACCTCCAAGAGCCTCCCGGACCCAGCAGATGAACTCCTTTCTCAGGGACAGAGCCTGCAGCCCCTTGCACCGGGCCTCGCTGATGTCCTGGAGCAGCTTTTTGGCCTGGATGAGCTCCTGGTTGATCTGGTCCAGTGTTTCACGGCGAAAGTCGTCGAAGTTATCAGTCTGCAAGAAAAAGCTCTACTGTGGACTGGAACTCATTAACCAGAACCCCAGAATCTGTGAGCTGCAAGCACTGACCGTCCCAGCAGCCCCACCCTCCCTCAATGCCTAGATTTGCCACTGCTGTGACAACAGGCACACCAAGCTCTTACCCCTGAATTGGATGATCAAACCCCCATGGCTGTTTCTCCCTGATCAAGATGAACTGTGATTCCTGGGAACCTGATATTCTGCTAAGCATTTTAATAAAGTGGATTTTAAAATCAATTCCTCACATAACCCTGCCAAGTAACTACTGTTGCTTTTTCTGCTTTGTCAATAAAGGCCCAGAGCAGTTGCTTCCTCGAGGACGTGCACTAGGGTTCAAGTGTAAATGGATGGGATTCCAGGTTTTTTTTTTGGTTTTTTTTTTTGAGATAAGAGTCTCACTCTGTCGCCCAGGCTGGAGTGCAGTGGCACGATCTCGGTTCACTGCAACCTCCGCCTCCGTGGTTCAAGCGATCCTCCTGCCTCAGCCTCTCTAGTAGCTGAGATTACAGGCACCTGACACCACACCCGGCTAATTTTTGTATTTTTAGTAGAGATGGGGTTTCTCCATGTTGGTCAGGCTGGTCTCGAACTCCTCACCTCAGGTGATCTGCCCACCTCAGCCTCCCAAAGTGCTGGGATTACAGGCATGAGCCACTGTGCCCAGCTAAATTCTAATCATTATCTCGGTCTACCTAAAAACATAAGAAGCAGAAGACTCAGCCGGGCACGGTGGCTCACGCCTGTAATCCCAGCACTTTGGGAGGCCACGGTGGGTGGATCACGAGGTCAGGAGATCGAGACCATCCTGGCTAACACGGTGAAACCCTGTCTCTGCTAAAAAAAAAAAAAAATACCAAAAAAATTAGCCGGGCGTGGTTGCGGGCACCTGTGGTCCCAGCTACTTGGGAGGCTGAGACAGGAGAATGGCGTGAACCTGGGAGGCGAAGCTTGCAGTGAGCCAAGATCGCGCCACTGCACTCCAGCCTGGACGACAGAGCGAGACTCCATCTCAAAAAAAAAAAAGCAAAAGAGTCACCTCTTAACTCTAACAGAAACAACTGATTTACCGCTTTTGGGTGGAACTGGGAGATGCAGTTGGGCAGCCGACAAAGTGTTTTGCTTTTTGGCTTCTGTAACCTAGAGAGAGCCTATGACCCTTTACAAATGCCCGTTATGAAAAGAGGATTGTTGCCCTTTCCTGAGTTCTTGATCTTCACGCAGACCCAAGGAAACTCCCTCTGGCTAAGGAGCAGTGGTACTATTTATAACAAAGGTAAAAACAAAGCCCTTGGGATATTCAGGCCTCAAGTACCACACACACAGGAGCCCCTGACGGAAGCTCTAAGTCATCCGCCCCCCTTTTCAAAGCCACAAAGCCCATGGCTCCTGAAGAGGCTGAGGCAGGACGCCCCTCCAAACCCCCACAGTCCCCAGCAAATAACTTACAAAATTTAGTAAAGTGTTGAGAACACTGAAGTCACCGTTCAGTCCCAGGCTCTCTTTGACCTGCAAGATGACCTTGGCTGCGTGGACAGCCTGGTGCAGGTGATGGTATTCCTTGATCTGTTCGACTCGGTCCTTGATCCAATCTCTTTGGTCCTGGTGGTCCACGGTGCACATGATCTTAAGTTCTGAATCCAGGTCCGTGTATTTATTCACAAAGTCCTTGAAGATGACATCAATCTCTGCAAGGGTGACCTCTCCTGACTTTAGATCCTGGTGCAACTTAATGAACTTTCTGTAAGAAGGCTGATACAAATAGTCATACACCTCTTCAAGCTCAAGGATGTGCCTTTCTGATTCTTCTTCGGGCTCACTCAGCAACTCTGCGGCTTCCTGGTCCTCCTTAGGCTCACTCAGCGGCTCTGCGGCTTCCCGCCAGAAGAGCTGGAAGATGTGGCTGTCTCTGAGCAAGTCTATCTTCCCAGCCATTTCTTGGACCTGGGAGCTCAGGTGGTAATGCGTTGCCCTCTGCGAGTTCGAGGAGGTGGACAGTCTCACTGTCACGGTGTCATTTAATCTTTTACTGCTGAGGTCTTGTGAGTGTCTTACTGCAAGCACTCCAAAGTCCACTTTAGAAGCGAAAAGAAAGTGTCAGAAGTCAAAGCTCTAATCATGATTCCATTTTATTTCACTTTCCTAAGACTTTCTCTCCTCACTTCTCTGAGCGAACTCAAGAGCACACAGCTGCTAGGATTTCTTTCTCAGGAAGAGTTCACAGGTCTTTCCCTCCCCGCTTGGCCTTGTTAACCAATATTCATGATAAAGAAAGCATCATAAACTTCTGGGTAAAGATGGCAGTGGGAAAACACGCACCTATTTACTCTCTTTGCCAAACCCCACTCCAATGACAGAACATAAATTGCATTTAAAAAGTCATAAACTAGTTGGGCGCAGTGGCTCATGCCTGTAATCCCACCCAGCACGTTGGGACGCTGAGATGGGCGGATCACCTGAGGTCAGGAGTTCATGAGCAGCCTGGCCAACATGACAAAACCCTGTCTCTACTAAAAATACAAAAATTAGCCAGGCGTGGTGGAGCGCACCTGTAATCCCAGCTACTCAGGAGGCTGAGGCAGGAGAATCACTTGAACCTGGGAGGTGGAGGTTGCAGTGAGCTGAGACTGTGTCACTGCACTCCAGCCTGGGTGACAGAGTGAGACTCCATATCAAAAAAAAAAAAAAAAGTCATAAACTGACAAGGACAGGAGGAGGAATGGCGAACAGGATAACAGGAACAAAATTTTAGAAGTTGAAAACGAGCTGAACCAGTGGTAAATGACACATGAGGCCTGGTAACATGGAGTCCTAGGGTCCCAGTGGGCAACACTGAGAGCTGAGTAGTTTTATGTCACAGGATTCCCAAAAAGCAGACACACATTGTGCAGGTCACTGCAGACTGGGAGGTGGTGATGAAATAAGGAAGACTGGGTTCAAAGTCTGTTTAAGACACGGTCCAGGCTGGGCACAGTGGCTCACGCCCGTAATCCCAGCACTTTGGGAGGCTGAGGCGGATGGATCACTTGAGGTCAGGAGTTCAAGACCAGCCTGGCCAACATGATGAAATCCCATCTCCACTAAAAATACAAAAAACTAGCTGGACGTGGTGGTGGACACCTGTAATCTCAGCTACTAGGGAGGCTGAGACACAAGATTCACTTGAACCCAGGAAGCAGAGGTTGCAGTGAGCCGAGACTGAGCCACTGCACTCCAGCCTGGACAACAGGGCAAGACTCTGTCCCAAAAAAAAGACATGGTCCATCCAGCACACCAACTGTCACCCCAATGCCCTGACACAGCAGGTGGACCCCCTTCTTCACCCCAGCAGCCAAGAGATGGTTCATTTTCTAGAAAGGATAACGCAGGGGGGCGTGTGGATTGGAGGCCACAGATACATGGCAGAACAAAGGGCCTTTCTAGACACATCCCCTTTCTCAGGAAGCTAACAGAAGACATGAATTATCCAATCTCAGGGGGAAGGAGGATGGGGTGTGAAACACAGGAGACAGAGGGAGGTGGCGGAGAACCACACTGAGAACACGGGCCATGGGAGGACCACGCACGGGATGCCAAGGCCCGCCAGCCCGCTTCTCCCTCTTGGCTCCCAGAAACCTGGCAGCCAGGCCCACACCCTCCAGGCAGGAGACAGAAGACTTCAGGAGACAGGCCAACTTCCAGGTCGAGCCACAGCACCCCACGGCAGCACCCCGCAGAGGGCCAACCCACTTGTGAGGGCTTTCTCTTAATAAACACAGACAAACAAGAATGTCCAGACATAGGAGGAAAATCAAAACAAATCAACAAGTGAAAGGAACCTGGAGGAAGCAGCACATGATGCCAGGAAAAGCAAAACCTCCAAAACAAAACGGTGAATAACCCAGAAGGGAAGATGCTGCAACGTGAACAAGAACAGGACAGAATTTAAAAAGGAACATTCCGAGAAAAAGAATTCCTCTACATTAAATATATATACGAAAGCTGACATGAAAACCTAAGCAGAAAGTTTGGTTCTGAATAAATCTCTCAAGAGCAGAGCAAAAAACAGAGATAGAAAATCCGAGAGAAAAATGATGACAGTTAGATGATCATCCAGGAGGTCCCATATCCAATTAACAGGAATTCCAGCAAGAGAAGAAAAAATTAAATCATTCAAGAGAATTTCCCAGAACTCAAGGATTTTGATGTCTAGAGTTGAAAGACCTACCTATTAATACCCAATAGAGGGGACTGAAAATATTTTATTTTTTGAGACAGGGTCCCACTCTGTCACCCAAGCTGGAGTGTTGTGGCGTGATTTCGGCTCACTGCAGCCTCGACTTCCCAGGCTCAAGTGATCCTCCTGCCTCAGCCTCCCAAGTAGTTGGGAATACAGGCATGCACCACCGTGTCTTGCTAATTTTTTTGTATTTTTTTTAGAGATGGGGTCTTGCTATGTTGCCCAGGCTGGTCTCAAACTCCTAGACTCAAGCAGTCCTCCTGCCTTGGCCTCCTGAAGTGCTGGGATTACAGGTGGGAGCCAACATGCCCAGCCTCGATGGAACATAGATCCAGGCCAAGACACGTTATTATTTCAGAATATGAGTAACAGAAAGAGCTCAAGAGCTTCAAGAAAGAGAAAACAGGTCACACACATGAAGGATGTGTAACTGGCACTGCATCGGACTTCTCCATACATAGCCACACTGTGGAGGCAATGATGGCGCAGCACATTGAAACTTCAGAAGGAAAATGACTTCCGGTCTGTAATTCTAGACCTAGCCGAGCGACTGACCTAGTAAGAGGACAGACATCTTTAGACACACAAGGATTCGAGGGTTTAACCTCTTACACGCCCTTTTCTCAGGAAGCCAGTGAGGGTGTGCTCTGCCAACAGAGGAAGCAGGAGTGAGTAGCGGGGGAGGGGGGCGTGGGAACCACGTCTAACCCAGGTGCCAGGCAAAGGCTCCTAGGAGGTGGAGGGAGACTCCACCCTACGTCTGCAGCCCAGGGTTGGCAGGTTCCTTTTCAAAGGTCAAACCAATGATCTTCAAGGAAATTCAGACACTCGGCAGAGATTGCGATGGAATTAGAAATTAATACAATGAAAACAGCGTATCATTAACGCAGTGAAAACAGCATCTGACAGGAAATGTAATTCTGTGGAAAACAGAGAGTTTGTGCAAAAATTGTAAAATGATGACGGTTTCTTTCGTGGTTCACTTGTGATCCGTGTGGGTCCTGATGATTTAACCCTAAACAATGATGCAACTCCGTTATGAGAAAACAGGAAGCAACAGGAGGTGGAAAGGTGATGTGTGCAGGGCACAGACCAGAAATGTGTGGCTCTAAGCCCTCATCTTCTGCAGCGGGCGTCAGCAGCTCATGCTGACTCCGGAAAAATCCAGGAGACACTTAAGCATGTTATTTGGAAATGTGGACATAAATACCAAAAAGAAGAATCTAAAAGAGGTGAAAGCGATCCCCCCAGCAAATGCAAATTAAAAAAAAAATTTTAAAGCCTTCTCTCCAAAATAAAGATCTGCTACTGTGATCCATTCTTACTGTGTTCTCCTCTAACCCTTTGAGAGCCCTCAACTTTGTTCACTTCTCAGGAATACCACCTTGTATCAGATGTTTCACGTTCCCACACATCTTCAGGAGACTATCAACACATCTTTTCTCTTTCTTTAGAAGTAACAGTTCCTCCCTTCTCCAATCCAGTGCTTCCTCCACAGCACATTGTTCATCCTGGGGTGAAAGACTTTTTTCCCCTGGAAAATAAGAACACCAATAAAGTAACCCAATACAGCAACAAATGCCATTTTCCATGGCAATGCTTTGAAAGCGCCGCACCTTCCCCGCCACCAGGAGAAGGACTAGGATGGTTTTGCGCATACCCACTTTTTCGAGATGGCCATTATTTTATCACTTTCCCGTGATGTTCTTGAGAATTATAAACCACCCCTATCAACTTATGAGCAAGAAGAGATACTCATTATCAAGGCTAAGATGATTATCTCCTTTACAAAAATGCACACGCAAACACAAACGTGTCTTCCAGCTACTTAATGCCTCAGGAGCCTGAAGTGCGTATCGACTCGATGCTTACTCAGTTGCCAGATGTCAAGAAACTGATTCTTGTGCTTTATAATCAGCTCCAGTTGTCCAACTAAAATCGTGCCACTTAGGAGGTCACCAACAACTTTCGTCAACACAGAGTCGGCAACAGCTATCAGCCTCTTGGCATCCTCTGTGACATTTGCTAGTATTTTCTCGTCGGTTCCTGAATAGATGAAGAACACAGTTAACACAGTGGGCTCCCCACCTCCTGCCTCTTTGCCGTTACCGTGGGAATTCCAGATAACCTCTTGTTCTGCCCCCACTTCCTCAAACACAGGCAATGGCTGGCCAGTGTCTCCAGATGCGCCAATCATTCCACTCCCTTCTGCTTTCCCCCACGAGGGTTAGGTCTTGCCCAGATTCATCCCCTGAACAACTTCCTTGTCCAAGAAGATGACTTCCCGCAATGGCCAAAATCAGCTGGGAGACACATTTCTCAGGTTAAAACCCACGTCCCCTTCAGTATACGGATGGACTGACTTCCTTTTTTTTTTTTTTTTGACAGGGTCTCTCTCTGTCACCCAGGCTGGAGTGCAGTGGCACAACCATAGCCCACTGTAACCTCATTTTCCTGCCTCAGCCTCCCGAGTAGCTAGGAACACAGGTGCACAGCACCATGCCTGGCAAACTTTCAAAATTTTTTGTAGAGAACAGGGTCTCACTTTGTTGCCCAGGCTGGTCTCAAACTCCTGGGCTCAAGAGATCCTCCCGCCTTGGCCTCCCAAAACATTAGGATTATACGCATGAACCACCTCACATGGCCTGAGTATATTTTTTAAATAGAATACACAGAATCTTCTTTAAAAAGCCCCTGCCCTAGGAATACCTACAACAGAAGAAACTGCACCAGAGGATGCAGACATACCTAGCAATGTCTATCAGGATGGTCTTAGGGAGACACTTTCATAGCATATGCAAAGAGAGAAACAGCCATGTGATAACTTTATACTCTGTACAACTTCATTATCTTGCAAAATCTTGGAACTGATTTTATGATAAATTTAGAGGGCAGAATTTTTATACATGTTTTGTTTAACCACTTAGGATTTCTCTCCCAGTAATATTAGAGCCATACAATATTAGGAGAAGATGAAGCTTATCTGCACCATAAGAAACAAACATAGTAGCTTTACTAATCATTGCAAAAACTTGGAAGCAACCAAGATGTCTTTCATGAGGTGAACGGGTAAGCGAATGGTAGCACATCCATACAATAGAATATTATTCAGTGGTAAAACGAAGTTAGCTCTCAAGCCATGAAAAGACATGGAGGAAACATAAATACGTATTACTAAGTGAAGGAAGCCAGTCTAAAGGCGACATCCTATAAGATTCCAACCATAGGACATTCTGGAAAAGACTAAAGGAAATGGGAGGGGTGGAGCATGGGATTTTGTAGGGGCAGCGCAACTATTCTGCACGATACTGGAATGGTGGACACAGGCCATGGTTTATCCAAACCTCAGAGAATGGACAACACCAGGAACGAACTATGGACTTTAGTTAATAACAGTGTTATCAATATTGGCTTCTCAGCTGTAACAAAAGCACCACACTAATGCTGCATGTTACTAACAGGGTACTGCCCGTGTGATGGTGGCAGAGATAGATGACAACTCTCTGTACTTTCTGCTCAATTTTTCTGTACACATCAAAGTGCTCTAAAAAATTCTATCCAACTTATAAACAGGCTGGGTATGGTGGTGCACGCCTGGAGTGCCAGCCACTTGGGAGGCTGAGGCAGGAGGATCACGTGAGCCCGGGAGGTCAGCGCTTACGGTGAGCGATGATGGCATCACTCTACTACATGCTAACTTGCGCAACAGAGAAGACCTTGTTTTAAAATTAAATAAACTGCTGGGCACAGTGGCTCACATCTGTAATCCCAGCTACTTGGGAGGCTGAGGCAGGAGAATCGCTTGAACCCGGGAGGCAGAGGTTGCAGTGAGCTGAGATCACAGCACTGCACTCCAGCCTGGGTGAGAGAGCGAGACTCCATCTCCAAAATAAATAAATAAATAAATAAATAAATAAATAAATACAAATAACACAAAAATGATCTTTTCAAGAGAGTAGCTTTTACTTGTGCACTCCCATATTAATTCAGTTATTTGATCCCCACAGCTTCCCTGATGTGTAGGAAGCTCAGCATTGATTTTGGCTGTTCCACATCCAGCGCCTTCTCACTGAAAGATATGAATCTAAGGTCTCACACGCCAACTGGACTCTAACGTTTTTAGGATGGAATGTCTCTCTCTCTCCCTCCTTGACCACAAAACACCTGGGGCGCGGGGGGCTGGGGGGAAATCAGACAGCACAGTACTTCACTTTCTGTTGAGGTCATCAATGTTGGCTTGGACATTCTATATTGATCTCCAAATAAGACATACCTGGGTCTGGATTTTAGTTTTTACTACTTATAATCTTTGAGACCTTAGGTAAGTCGCATTGCCTTCTCCATTTGTTTCCTGATCTGAAAACTGGGGGCCTTAAAGGGGACTTTCAGAAGGGTTGTTTCAAGGGCACTTCCCTTGCGACCCAGCACAGTCGCTAGGGTACAGCAAGCATTCAATGAATAGTGGCTGTTAGCATTAGTTATTATTTACAACGCAAGACACTCTGAGCCTTCCAGGGTCTCTCTGTCCAAACTGCAGCCTTTGTCAAACATCAGCCCATCCCAATTCAGTATCATCATGTCAAATCTTCTGCCTCCCACCTTTCCCAATCAGGAAGACACCACCTTGCCTGAGCTGATGTTCCCAGCACTCCCGCAAACATACCACACAATCTGAAGACGTGCTTGACATCTGCCAACGTGAGCAGATGCTTTAAAATGTCATCGAAGTTGTCCGCGGTCCTAGGCCAGGACTTAGTGATCACAGCAGACAAGACGATGCCAAATTTCCGCAAATCAGAGTAAGAGAACCCCTGAAGGATACTGGTCTGAGACTACAAGAAAATTAATAAAAGAGGGACATTTAGAAGTTTTTCATTAGTTTGTTTTGAAATAACAAAAGCAAATTACCTACTCGATAGCATTTCTGAAATCTACTGTAACTTGTTTTATAAGGCCACAAAAAGAGCAAAATAGTAAAACACTTTACATTTCTTCGAAAATTTTCATTTCCTTGTATACTGCCTCCTTAAGTGTCCAGCACCAGAGATGTGAAGACACACACACAAACACACACCAACATAACCAGTCACCCTCCTTCCTTCTGGCTGCCAGTTTCTACATTTTTTTTTGGACTTTCATATCATGAAAAATACCAAAAATGAATAAACCCTTAATATAGCATATATTTTATGTTCCTAAACCATAATTCTTTTAAAAAGCTGCCTACAAACAACATATACATTTTAATTCTCTTTTTAATTCTCCTCCGAGAAACAATATTTTTCTTCCTTTAGGTTCAAAGTTTCTGTAAAACATTTCAGTAATTAGTAAAAACCACAAGGTTAATTTATAATAGATACTTTCTGACATTTAAAAGGATAAAAGAAAACCTTATCCAGCCCCATGTTAAAGGAACTATACACCACGATCAAGTGTAATTTATCTCAGGGATGAAAGGTTGATTTAACATCAAATATCAGTTAATAACATTAGGAAAATATCGCATGATCATTTCAGTAGATACGGGAAAAGCATTTGACAAAATCCAACTCTCTTCTATGATTAAAGAAAAAAAAGCATTCAACAAATGAGGAACAAAAAGGAACTTCCACAAACTGATAAAGGGCATCTATGAAAAGCTCACGTTGACATCACACCTGGTGGCAAAAGACTGAAACCTTCTCTTAAGATCAGAACAAGACAAAGATGTCCACTTTCAATACTTTCATTCAACATTGTACTGGAGGTTCTAGCCAGGGCAGTTATGCAAGAGAAAGAAATAAAAGGCATCCAGATTGGAAGAAGTGAAACTCTATTCACAGATGATATGATCTTATGTATAGAAAATTTAATTCTCTCTCTCATGCACACACACACACACACGCACACACAATTTGAGCTACCAAATGAGCTCAGCAATGTTGCAGGATACAAGACGCATGGAGCACTGTGTGTCTAGACACCAGCAAGGAACAATCTGGAAACAGAATTCAGAAAACAATTCCAATTACAATAGCACCCCCCCCCAAAAAAAAGTACTTAGAAATTTAACAAAAGAAGTGCAAAATTTAAACTATGAAAAATACAAAACATTGTTAAAAGAAATTGGCCAGGAATGGTGGCTCATGCCTGTAATCCCAGGACTCTGGGAGGTCAAGGCGGGTTGATCATCTGAGGTCAGGAGTTCGAGACCACCCTGACCAATATGGTGAAACTACTAAAAATACAAAAATTAGCCAGGCATGGTGGTGGACACCTGTAGTCCCAGCTACTTGGGCACTCCAGCTTGGGCAACAGGGCGAGACTCTGTCTAACAGGGGAAAAAAAAAAATCTAATTGAATGAAAGAAATCCAACTTAACCTTGTTAAGATGGCAATGCTCTCCAAACTGATCTATACATTGAATACCAGCCCTACCAGAATCCCAGCTGACTTCCTTGTCAGTGGAAACTGACATACTGATTCTAAAATTCTTATGAAATTGCAAGGGACCCAAAATAGCCAAAACAATCTTGAAAAATAAGAACAAAGTAGGAGGACTCACACATCCCAATTTCAAAACTTACTAGAAAGCAATGGTAGTCCAAACAGTGTGGTACTGACACAAGGATAGGCAAGTAGATCACCACATAGAATTGAAAATCTAGAAATAAATCCATACATGTATCGTCAACAGATTTTTGACAAGAGTGCCAACATCACTCAACAGGGAATGTAGAGTCCTTTCAACAAATGCTGGGACAACTGGATGTCCACATGCAAGAGAATGAAACAGAACCCTTACCTCACACCATATACACCATATATAAAAAGGAACTCAAAATGGATCAAAGGCCTACATGTAAGAGCTAAAACTATAAAACATTTAGAGATAAATAAACATAGGAGTAAATCTTCATCACCTAGGATTTGGCAAAGGATTCTTTGACACCAAAAGTACAAGCAACAAAAGAAAAAACAGATATGCTAACTTCTTCAAAATTAAAGACTTCTGTGCTTCAAAAGAAACCAATAAGAATGTGAAAAAACAACACATAGAATGGGAGAAAATACTTGCAATCATATATCTGACAAGTGACTTGTATATAGAATAAAGACTCCCAACTCTATAATAAAAAGACAACCCAATTTAAAAATGAGCAAAAGAGGCCAGGTGCGGTGGCTCATGCCTTCAATCCCAACACTTTGGAAGGCCAAGGAGGGAGGTTCATGTGAGTCCAGGAGTTCAAGACCAGCCTGGGCAACATCTCAAGACCCTGTCTCTACGAAAAAAAATTTTTTTTTTTGAGACAGAGTCTCGCTCTGTCGCCCAGGCCGGAGTGCAGTGGCACAATCTCAGCTCACTGCAACCTCCACCTCATGGCTTCAAGTGATTCTCTGGCCTCAGCCTCCCAAGCAGCTGGGACTACAGGCACATGCCACCATGCCCAGCTAATTGTTTGTATTTTTAGTAGAGACAGGGTGTCACCGTGTTAGCCAGGATGGTCTACAGGCATGAGCCACCATGCCCGGCCCACAGAAATTTTTTTTTTAATTAGCTGAACATGGTGGCACATGCCTGTAGTCCCTGCTACTCGGGAGGCTAAAGTGGGAGGACCACTTCAGCCCAGGAGGTTGAGGCTGTAGTGAGCTGTGATCGTGCCATTGTATTCCAGCCTGGGTGACAAAGCGAGACCTTTTCTCAAAAAAAAAAAAAAAAAAGGGGGGGTGGGGGGGATGAGGGGCAAAATATCTCAATAAACATTTCTCCAAAGAAGATACAGACAAATCCAATAAGCATATGAAAAGATGCTTGATATCATTAGTTATCAGAGAAATGCAGTTAAAAACCACAATGAGGCCGGGCACAGTGGCTCACGCCTGTAATCCCAGCACTTTGGGAGGCCAAGGCATGTGGATCATGAGGTCAAGAGATCGAGACCATCATGACCCACACGGCAAAACCCCGTCTCTACCAAAAATACAAAAATTAGCTGGGCATGGTGGCACATGCCTGTAGTCCCAGCTACTCGAGAGACTGAGGCAGGAGAATTGCTTGAACCCAGGAGGTGGAGGTGTCGCAGTGAGCCAAGATCACGCCACTGCACTCCAGCCTGGGTGACAGGGCAAGACTCCATCTCAAAAAACAAACAAAAACCACAAGGAGATACCACTTCATACCCACCAGGATGGCTAGAATCAAAAAGTTAGACAACACATGTTAGTGAGGATGTGGAGAACCTGGAAGCCTCCTATGCTGCTGGAGGGATTGAAAATGGTTCAGCTGCTGTGGGACTCGGCCGGACAGTTCTTTAAACAATTAAACATGGAGTTACCATATGATTCAGCAATTCTACATCGAGGTATACACCCAGGAGAAATGAAGACATACACCCACACATAAATATGTACACTAATGTTTGTATCAGCAGATTTATAATAGCCGAAGAAGCAACATAGATGGCCGTCAATGGACACATGGATAAACGGGGAATATTTGGCCATGGAAAAAAATGAAATATAGGTTGAGCATTCCTAATCCCCAAATCCAAAATACTACAAAATCCAAACTTTTTGAGTATAATGATGCCACAAGTGAAAAATTCAACATACAAATACTTAATACAAACTTTGTCTCATGCACAAAATTGTTAAAAATATTGTATAAAATTACCTTCAGGCTATGTGTATAAGATGTATATGAAACAAGTGAATTTTGTGGTTAGACTCTGGGTCCCATCTGGAAGACATCTCATTATGTAAATGCAAATATTCCAAAATTTGAAAACATCTGAAATCCAAAACACTTCTGGTCTCAAGCATTTTGGGTAAGGAATACTTAACGTAAACGGACACAAGCTACAATATGGATGGACTTTTGTTGTTATTGCTTTTTGAGACAGGGTCTTGCTCTGTCCCCCAGGTTGAAGTGCAGTGGTGTGATCATGGCTCACTGCTGCCTTGACCTTCTGGGCCCAAGGGAGCCTCCCACCTCAGCCTCCCAAGTAGCTGGGACCACAGGTGTGCCCGGCCATGCCTGGCTAATTTTTTTTGTTTATTTTTTAGTTTTTATAGAGACAGGGTCTTACTCTGTTACCCAGGCTTGTCTTGAACTCCTGGGCTCCCAAAGTGCCGTGATTACAGGCGTGAGCAACCGTGTCCAGCCTGAGCGGTCTTTCAAAACATTATGCTCGGCCGGGCGCGGTGGCTCACACCTGTAATCTCGGCACTTCGGGAGGCCAAGGTGGGTGGATCACCTGAGGTCGGGAGTTCGAGACCAGCCTGACCAACATGGAGAAACCCTGTCTCTTCTAAAAATACAAAAGGAACCGAGTGTGGCGGCACATTGTTCTTTAAACAATTAAAAGACTCTTTAAACAAAAAGTAGCTGTAATTCCAGCACTTGGGAGGCTGAGGCAGGAGAATCACTTGAACCCGGGAGGCAGCGGTTGCGGTGAGCCAGGATCGCACCATTGCACTCCAGCCTGGGCAAAAAGAGTGAAACTCTGTCTCAAAAACAACAAACAACCACCACCACCAACAACAAAAAAACATTATGCTCAGTGAAATAAGCCATACCCAAAAGGCCACATATGATATGATTCCATTCATATGACAGTCAGAACAGAGAAAGCCACAGAAGCAGTTGTTTATGTTCAGCAATTGTTTATGCCTGCAGAGGGGAGTGGGTGACTAGAGGGGAGGAGGATGATGGCTAAAGGGGCCGGGTTTCTCTTTGAAGTGATGAAAATGCTCTGTCATTAACTGTGGTGATGACTGTACATATCTGTGACTACCCCAAAACCTGCTGAACTGGAACTTTTGACAGATGTACCGTATGGCATACGAACAATATCTCAACAAAGAGTTAACGAAAAAGGGAAAGGAAAACCTTATCAAAGGTATCAGTCACTTAAAAAATTAGAACCCCTTGGTCCCCGGAATTCAATGACCTCAATGTTTCTGGACTTCCCCTGTGGCCGCAAGGCTGTGCTTGTACAGGGGTTAAGTGTCCAATTAGGAAATGTGAGCAGGGCAGCCGTGGCCAGCAGGGAGCTTCCTCATGTGGCATTGCCTGCGAGACTGTTCCTGGGAGACAGGGGGGCACAATCTCTTCCCCTTTGCCGAAAAGAGCTAAATAAATTGATACAATTTTCCATTTCACATATTTTGCTTCCATAAATGTTCTGTCAACCTTTGGAGTCTCTTCCCGCACACCTACTGAGCAAGTGTTAACAATCAATCAAACCAGCAGCCACAGTGATGACAGGGCCATCTGAGGAACGGCCTGCAAGCCCGTGTGACTTGTGCCACACGCGCACGGCCGTGATTCCATATGGAACACATGCAGGATGGTGCGAGCAGCAGGGACTGTGCAGCACACTGAGGAATCCGGAGAGAACTAGATTTCAGCGCCATTGCCCTTGGCGAGGGAGGAGGGTGCCCACTTCCCAATCTCTGAGTTAGCGGAGGAGCTGAGACCCAGCGGGTGCTTCATAGCCCTTAGCTGGGTCATGGCAGAACACAGCTGTGAGCCCGAATCCGTTTCCCAGGAGGAGAGATTGTTCACCTGGCAGGCTGAGCTCACGGCTTCAATGATGCATTTCTCGAAGGTCTTGGCCACACTGTCCTCTAAGCCTTTGGTGTCCCAGCAACTATTGCAGTAGGCAGTGATCTGGGAGAGGGGTTCCTCCTGCAAAAATCAAAGGGGGGTGGTTTCAGAGCTTTCGGATGCAGCGCTCCAGTGCTCTATGGGATGAAAATTCTTTCATCATTTTTACTTTCCTGCTGTTTTACTGTTTCCCCCAATTTTAAGCTTCTCCTGGCCCACGCAAAGCATGTCCTCCCTGCCCCCCACCAGTAGACCAAAGGCTAAAATTTAAAAGAGTCTCTTTTCCCACTCTGCAGAAAAAGCACCTGGCTTGCAAAAACAGGTAAGTTATGAGACATAGGTCATTTTTCCTTGTTTCTGACTTTTCCCTTTAAAGATCCATTTAACAGTTACATATAGGCCGGGCGCGGTGGCTCACGCCTGTCATCCCAGCACTTTGGGAGGCTGAGGCGGGTGGATCACGAGGTCAGGAGATCGAGACCATCCTGGCTAACACGGTGAAACCCCGTCTCTACAAAAAATACAAAAATATAGCTGGGCGCGGTGGCGGGCGCCTGTAGTCCCAGCTACTCGGGAGGCTGAGGCAGGAGAATGGCGTGAACCCGGGAGGCGGAGTTTGCAGTGAGCCGAGATCCCGCCACTGCACTCCAGCCTGGGCGATAGAGCGAGACCCCGTCTCAAAAAAAAAAAAAGTTACATATAAAACTCTCATATCACATAAAAACTAATTTTCCTTGAGCCTCAGGCCTTAATTCAGCATGAGGGGCATGTCTGTGTGTTCTCCACTTGTGTGTCATGAGGTTCCTGTCACCAACAGGCCACTTAGACTTCCTGCCTATGGGCAGGCCTGGCCCCTCCTGTGCCTGGGGCCCCATTGATGGAGGCAGGAGGCAGAGAAATCCTACGCAGACAGGGGCGGGTCCCTGGCAAAACCCCACCTTCGAGCCGAAAAGCCTGAAACCCATGGCCCAAAGTGAGAACCTCTATCCCCGTGTGCCTACTCTCTCCCCACTGGTTCTTTCGGAGTAATGTCTTTTTACCAATAGAATGTTGCTTTTTCCAAAACTACCTAGGGCCCACCCTGCCCCCTATCTTGTGCCTATAAAGACCCCAGACTTGGTAGTGAGAGAGAAGTAGCTTCACTGGAAACAGGTGACTTGACTTCAGAGGGATGGCTGGACTTCCAAGGAGAGACGGTTTAACTTCGGAAAGACGTCCTGACTTCAGGGAAGAGCCAGCCAGACACCTGGACCAGAGGAAGATTCCCCACCTGACCCATCCCCTCTCCAGCTCCCCTCTCCATGGAGAGCCATTTCCATTGCTTAATAAAATTCTCCACCTTCACCATCCTTCAAGTGTCCGGGTGACCCCATTCTTCTTGGATGCTGGACAAGAGCTTGGGACCCACCGAGTGTGGGTACCTAAAAGAGGCTGTCACATTGGCCCTGGCAGAGGGCAGCCACCCTAGGCAACAAGGCAAGGGACCCACTGAGCTGATAACACACTACTGTCCATAGACGGCGGAGCTAAGAGAGCACTGTAACATGCCCTCTGGAGCTTCGGGGGTTGCAGGCACCTCAATCTGGGCACTGCTGCAGGGCCTGCACGGAGCTTGCTCCTGCCAGCTCCCAAAGCAGCTGGCCAGATGCCACACTCACTCACGTGCTCCCTCCCACAAGGGGTTGAGCACGGCGGGCCAAGTAAACACAGCATCCCTGTCGCAAGTCCAACGAAGGGGTCAGGAAAAATCCCGCACCCCCATGATGGTGAGATCCTGGGCCCTTGTTCTTCTCTGTCCTCTCAGTAAGACTCCGAAGCGCTCTTCTAGGGACAGACTATAAGGGCTGGATCAGAAACAGAAACACGGAGCTGTGATTCACCCCATCCCTGCCCACAGAGAGGCACTGCTGAGATCTCTTGGCTGTCGCTAATGGTCTGGGGTTCTCCAGCTTGCCTTCACGCCCTGAAAAGACTGCCCCCAAACTTTTGGTACCTTTGTGAGCCTCCATTCCATGTCTCCCAGCAACGACTCCTTCCAGCCATGCTCCGCGGGGAATTGGATTTCCACCAGCCGCCTCCAGACCTGCAAAACCCGCACACAGGTCACACCCACTCTCACGACTAAATGCCACGGCACACTCCCATGAAAGGAGAAAGACAGAGCATTACGGCAATACAGAGAGCGCGGGACTCCGCGAACACCAGGGCTCTCCCCAACCTTCATCAACAGTCAGCCATGCTAGTGGCCGGTCACAGCAGCCCAGGTTGGCTTTCTAGAATCAGAGACCCAACCAGGGGCCACTACTGGTCCTCCTACTGCACAACCGGCTTTTTATTCTGAAAGGACTTATCTCTCATGTTATACTTTGAAAATTTTTGAACTTTCAAAAAGGTCGCAAGAATAGCACACCACCACCCACATTCATTCAACTCCAGTCCTGTGCGATTCACGCTTCACACAGCTGCTTTCACTCTTCCTCTCTCCTCTGTGCTCCCTCTTCGGACTCTGCACAAATGAGCATTTTCTCTCCCAAACCGTTGGAAAGTAAGTTGCAGGCATCATGGCACCTTGCCACTACATACCTGGGCAGGGTCTCCTAAGACCCTAGCCCTTCCCTGTGCAACTCCAGTGCAGGTTTCCCACTCAGGACGTGCAACGTGGAGAGGAGGACACTCTGCCCCCAGGAAGTGGTCTCCACCCCCGTTCCTCTCGTGCTCCAGCTCCTGTCCTGACTGGATCCTAGATCCTCCTGGGACACACGCTGTACTTACTTATCACGTCTCTTTTCTGCATTTACTTATCACATCTCTTTTCTAGAAGAGTTCCCTGGTCATTTTTTTCTTTTTTCTTTTAACATGTTGACAGTTTTGAAAAGTTCAGGCCAACTGTTTTGTAAACTGTCTTTTGACCTGATTTGTCTCATAATTTCCCCATGATTTGATTCAGATTAAAATATTTTTGGCAGGGACACTAGGAGGTTGAAACACATGAAAATGCACTGTAAAAAAAATATTTTAAGAGACAGGGTCTCGCTCCGTCACCTGGGTTGGAGTGCAGTGGCACAGTCATAGCTCACTGCAGCCCTGACCTCCTGGGTTCAAGCCACCCTTCCACCTAGGCTTCCTAAAGAGTTGGGGTTACAGGCATCAGCCATAGTGCCCAGCCAAAAATGAAAATGAACTTTTCTTAGGTCAGGCATGTTCAAATATCTATCACCTCCACCACCACCATTATCTCCATAACCTCCACCACCTCCATCACCTTCACCACTATCACCTCCACCACCACCATGACCTCCAGTACCTCCACCACCTCCACCACCAGCATCACCACTGTCACCTCCACCACCACCACCTCCATCACCACCATCACCTTCACCACCACCATCACCTCCATTACCTCCACCATCACCTCCACCACCACCACCACCACCATCACCATCACCACCACCACCACCACCACCACCTCCACCACCACCACCACCACCACCACCACCACCAGCATCACCACTGTCACCTCCACCACCACCACCATCACCTCCAGTACCTCCACCATCACTTCCATTACCTCTACCATCACCTTCACCACCACCATCACCTCCAGTACCACCACCATCACCTCCATTACCACCACCACCATCACCTCCACGGACCACCATCACCTCCAGTACCACCACCACCACCACCATCACCTCCATTACCTCCACCATCACCTCCACGACCACCATCACCTCCAGTACCTCCACCATCACCTCCAGTACCTCCACCACCACCACCACCACCACCTCCATTACCTCCACCATCACCTCCAGTACCACCACCACCACCACCATCACCTCCATTACCTCCACCATCACCTCCAGTACCACCACCACCACCACCATCACCTCCATTACCTCCACCATCACCTCCACGACCGCCATCACCTCTAGTACCTCCACCATCACCACCACCACCATCACCTCCATTACCTCCACCACCACCACCACCATCACCTCCATTACCTCCACCATCACGTCCACCACCATCACCTCCAGTACCTCCACCACCACCACCACCATCACCTCCATTACCTCCACCATCACGTCCACCACCATCACCTCCATTACCTCCACCATCACCTTTACCACCATCACCTCCAGTACCTCCACCATCACCTTTACCACCATCACCTCCATTACCTCCACCATCACCTTCACCACCACCATCACCTCCATTACCTCCACCATCACCTTCACCACCACCATCACCTCCAGTACCTCCACCATCACCTTCACCACCACCATCACCTCCACCATCACCTACACGACCACCATCACCTCCAGTACCTCCACCAACACCTTCACCACCACCATCACCTCCAGTACCTCCACCATCACCTCCACCACCACCATCACCTCCATTACCTCCACCACCACCACCACCACCACCATCACCTCCATTACCTCCACCATCACCTTCACCACCACCATCACCTCCATTACCTCCACCACCACCACCATCACCTCCAGTACCTCCACCATCACCATCACCACCATCACCTCCATTACCTCCACCATCACCTCCAGTACCTCCACCACCACCACCACCACCACCTCCATTACCTCCACCATCACCTCCACGACCGCCATCACCTCCAGTACCTCCACCACCACCACCACCACCACCATCACCTCCATTACCTCCACCACCACCACCACCACCACCATCACCTCCATTACCTCCACCATCACCTTCACCACCACCATCACCTCCATTACCTCCACCACCACCACCATCACCTCCAGTACCTCCACCATCACCATCACCACCATCACCTCCATTACCTCCACCATCACCTCCAGTACCTCCACCACCACCACCACCACCACCTCCATTACCTCCACCATCACCTCCACGACCGCCATCACCTCCAGTACCTCCACCACCACCACCACCACCATCACCTCCATTACCTCCACCATCACGTCCACCACCATCACCTCCAGTACCTCCACCATCACCTTTACCACCATCACCTCCAGTACCTCCACCATCACCTTCACCACCACCATCACCTCCATTACCTCCACCATCACCTTCACCACCACCATCACCTCCACCATCACCTACACCACCACCATCACCTCCAGTACCTCCACCATCACCTTCACCACCACCATCACCTCCAGTACCTCCACCATCACCTCCACCACCACCATCACCTCCATTACCTCCACCACCTCCACCATCACCACCACCACCACCATCACCTCCATTACCTCCACCATCACCTTCACCACCACCATCACCTCCAGTACCTCCACCATCACCTCCACCACCACCATCACCTCCATTACCTCCACCACCTCCACCATCACCACCACCACCACCATCACCTCCAGTACCTCCACCATCACCTTCACCACCACCATCACCTCCAGTACCTCCACCATCACCTCCACCACCACCATCACCTCCATTACCTCCACCATCACCTTCACCACCACCATCACCTCCAGTACCTCCACCACCTCCACCACCAGCATCACCATTGTCACCTCCACCACCACCACCTCCATCACCACCATCCCCTTCACCACCACCATCACCTCCATTACCTCCACCATCACCTCCACAACCATCACCATCACCACCATCACCTCCACCACAATCACCATCACCTCCACCACCACCATCACCTCCACCACCTCCATGACCACCATCACCACCATCACCTCCATTACGTCCACCATCACCATCACCTTCACCACCATCACCTCTACCACCACCACCACCAACCATCACCATCACCTCCACCACCATCACCTCTACCACCACCACCACCAACCATCACCATCACCTCCACACCTCCATCACCACAGGGACTGTGCCCGGCCAGGGGACACGAGGCAGTGCAGCAGCACTTTGCACCCGGCATCTGTCTGCCTCAGAGCCACCCTGCCAGGTAGACAGGAGCAACTCCATTTTGTAGATGAAGAACTGAGGCTCAGGTGAAGGCCAACAACTGCCCCTGGCCAGCAGCCTGTACCCCATGATTTGAGGCCATGAGGAATCACGATCAGTCACATCCCTACCCAGAAGCCTTCGGCCAAATGCCTACCTCAATTTCCTTGACGTATGTGAATGAGGCACCTGAAGATGTGAGCATGTTCTTTGTAAAAACTTCTCGGAGCCACCTTTTCGTAGCAGCAAGGGTCCCTTGGAAGACTGTTTGGACTGAATTATTTCCAGTTTCATCTCTCTGTCCTGCAGAATCCTGTTGTCACACAAGAGGGAGGGTCAGTCATCCTCGGCTGTGGACTCAGGTTCCCGGCGAGATGCTGCACCCCCTCCTCTCCTCCCTGCTGGCACAGGCTGCTCAAGGAGTGGCTACGATGGAGGGACCACAGGCCTTGGCAGAAGCCCACATTCCCAAAGCACTTCCATTCCCCAGGGTTTTCTGGGTTCACCCTGAACGTGGGAGATACGGGAGAAAAGAGGGAGGGAGGGAACGGCATCTGTGTGCTCCCCCGAAAGCCCAGGCAGCCTCTGTCCTGCCAATGAGCAGGTCCCCAGGCTGTGCCCAGGAGACTGAGGGGGAAAAGCACGCCCCAGAGAGGGGCCCTGCAGACTCCCGGGCCTGTTCCTTAGACACAGGAGACAGCCAGGCTCCTGACCCGGAGGTAAACCTGGGTCCCCTTCCCACTGTGCTCCCATCATGCCCTCCCCCTGCCTCCATGCCAGACCACAGCCAGGCTCCTGACCCGGAGGTAAACCTGGGTCCCCTTCCCACTGTGCTCCCATCATGCCCTCCCCCTGCCTCCATGCCAGACCACAGCCAGGCTCCTGACCCGGAGGTAAACCTGGGTCCCCTTCCCACTGTGCTCCCATCATGCTCTCCCCCCGCCTCCGTGCCGGACCCACCAGACCAGAGGGAAAACCCCTCTTCCCCTGGGCTCAAAGCCTCCTGTAATGCCTCCCTTCTCTCCCCTGCCTTCCTCTTCCTCCCTCTCCTTCCTCCTCCCTCTGTCCTCCCCAGAAGCACATTTCCCAGGAAGCATACAGGTCAGGGGTCAGGGCCACCTCCTCCTGGGAGGAGCCCCACAGTCCTGGATTAATGTGTGGTCTTTTTCTTTTCTTTTTCTTTTTTTTCTTTTTTTTGAGACAGAGTCTCACTCTGTAACCCAGGCTGGAGTACAGTGGCGCGATCTTGGCTCACTGCAACCTCCACCTCCTGGGTTCAAGTGATCCTCCTGCTTCAGCCTCCCAAGTAGCTGGGATTACAAGTGCATGCCACCATACCTGGCTAATTTTTGTATTTTTTAGTAGAGACAGGGTTTCACCATGTTGGCCAGGCTGGTCTCGAACTCCTAACCTCTGGTTATCTGCCTGCTTTGGCCTTCCAAAGTGCTGGGATTACAGGTGTGAGCTACTACACCCAGCCAAGTGTGTGATCTTTTTTTTTAAGCACAGCCCCGCACATCGTGCAAGTGTCAGGAGCCACAGAACCTGGATACGCTCAGGTGCTCACTGGAAGCACCGAGAGGCCCACGCCTCGAGGCAGCTGGGCAAGAGGACAAGGCTGCTGCTGGGCGGGGCTGCCCGAGAGTGGGAGAGAGGAAAAGCCCACAGCAGGCAGGGGAACACAGCGTCACTATACCTGGGAAGGGCCAGGGCGGGAAGATACAGGCAGGAGCTTTCAAAGCATGTAAGAGGGACCAGGATGCAGGTGCTGCTGTGAAAGAGAGCCCGCAGAGGGGGCTGGGCACAGGAGTGACTAGAGCACAGCACGCAGGGGGCGGGGGCCGACAGAAAACGAAACAGGCACTGCTGAAGGTCCCCCCAATGGCACAGCTCCTTCTAGAACAATCCAGCAGCACAGGGCTGGACAGCGATGGCCAATAACAACAAACTGAATGACCGCTCAGAGGCTGCACAGACCTCCGGAGCCTGACACGGGCACCTTGTTCTCCAAGTGTCCGTCAACCCTGGAGCCTTCACAGCAGCAGACACCTAAAAGTTTCTTCAACATGCGTCACGTATTTTTGCTTTGTTTAATTTTAGTATTGCAAAGGTTTTTTGTTTGTTTGTTTGCTTTTATGGCACAGGTAGAGAGTATTTTGTCCATAATATGGATTAAACTTATCTGAGATCCCAGCCAACATTTAAGATAGTTATTTCTGTAGAAAATAAATCCTAAGTAACTGACAAATTCCTTAAACACAGTTTATGTGGAAGTTGGCAGCTGCCTGTGGCGGTTTAAATAGCAGCCACTCCAGAGAACGTGATCATCTCACCAATGACATTTATTCTTAAACTGTGTCTGTGGTACTTTAACACAAGAAAACTGAAAGGAAGAAAGTTAAAACATACACTTAATTGTTTTCTATCACTAACGTCACAGTTCTAACTTGAAGTAAGATTAAAAAAAATGATCAGCCGGGTGCAGTAGCTCATGCCTGTAATCCTAGCACTTTGGGAGGCTGAGGCAGGCGAATCACCTGAGGTCAGGAGTTCAAGGCCAGCCTGACCAACATGTAGAAATCCTGTCTCGACTAAAAATACAGAATTAGCTGGGTTTAGTGGCACATGCCTGTAATCCCAGCTACTCGGGAGGCTGAGGCAGGAGAATCACTTGAACCCAGGAGGCGGAGGTTGTGGTGAGCCGAGATCACGCCATTGCACTACAGCCTGGGCAACAAGAGTGAAACTCTGTCTCAAAAAAAAAAAAAATTGTGCTGGGTGCAGTGGCTCACATCGGCAATCCCAGCACTCTGGGAGGCCAAGGCAGGTGGATCACGTGAGGTCAGGCGTTTGAGACCAGCTTGGCCAACATGGTGAAACCCTGTCTCTACTAAAAATACAAAAATTAGCTGGGTGTGGTGGTGCACACCTGTAGTCCCAGCCACTTGGGAGGCTGAGGCAGGAGAATCACTTGAACCTAGGAGGCGGAGATTGCAGTGAGCTGAGATGGCGCCACTACACTCCAGCCTGGGCAACAAGAGCAAAACTCCATCTCAAAAAAACAAACAAATGATCAGTCTAAACATTAAACCTTACATCACTTTCAAACTGAAACTCATGAACTCAAGTGGGTGAAAACTGCACAGAGACGGGAAAGAAGGAATTGCCGATCTCTGCACCACACAGACAGAGCTCAGAGACATGGGGGTGAGTGGGGAAAGTCGGAGGCAGAAAGGTCAAAGCTGGAAGACAGGTAAAACTGATCCATGGGAGGCTGGGCGTGGTGGTTTAAGCCTGTAATCCCAGCACTTTGGAGGCCAAGGCAGGCGGATCATGAGGTCATGAGATCGAGACCATCCTGGCTAACACGGTGAAACCCCATCTCTACTAAAAATACAAAAATTAGCCAGGCGTGGTGGCAGGCGTCTGTAGTCCCAGCTACTTGGGAGGTTGAGACAGGAGAATGGCGTGAACCCAGGAGGCGGAGCTTGCAGTAAGCCGAGATCACGCCACTGCACTCCAGCCTGGGTGACAGAGTGAGACCCCGTCTTAAAAAACAAAAAACAAAAAACAAAAAAAAAACTGATCCATGGGAGAAGTCACAACAGTGGCTTTCTTTGGGACGGAGGAGCCGGGTCATCCTGCCATCAGACCTGGGACACGACATGCAGCGGGGGGCAGATGTGTGGCGCTATGGCCTTTGTTACTGTATTCAAGCTACAATGTCAAGAAGGTGGGAAAGACCATGTTTGGACATGTATTTTTTGGGAGGAAAATGGTCCCCGTAGTTCTCTGCAAACAACAGAATCAAGAAAAAAGAAAAGTCGTCTTCTCCGCGTGGCGTTGCCTGACCCCCAGCCCCTGCGCCAGCTCTCTGGTTTCCCCATGACCAGCTGATGGCCACACATTAACTCCCTGCCTCCCTCCCAGGAAAGCCCAAGGTGGCAGAAGGGCAGACCCTGGCCCACTGACACCCCCCACACCCAGAACAGAACCCAGCATCAAGCAGGTGCACAAGAAATGTCCACTGCTGAAACCACCGCTCCATCTCATCCCAGCACCCGGGAATCAGTCTGTTTCCTTTCCAAATTGAGGCTGCTTGAAATTCCGCACCTATCCCGGGTGTGATACCTTGTGTGTTGACTCCACTTACCACCAGAGATAGAAGTCTAATCATTCTGCAGACAATCTCGGCAGATAAGGCTGGCAGCTCGTAAAACTTAAGTAGCTTTGTGCTGCTGCAGATGGCTTCATGCAGTTTCAGACACACAGTCAGGTAGGATGGTGACAAGGCCTCCTCGGGAATCCTGCCCCGCAAAGAGTTAAGAGAAATCCCGGCAAGGATTTAGGAGAAGCCAGAAAATGGTTACCATTGATGACTAGCTCCTTCCTTCAAAATAACTACCAACAGGGCATTTGTTTGACCTTATCTAGGTTAACGTCTGGAAAATCTCAGTCAGTCCTGAACTTGTGACTAAGATAAAAAGGAAGCAAAGTCCTCTTGTTTTGTCTCTGTAGTCTCAACTGTTCTAACCAAAGCAAGTCCAAACACTCCTCAGTGCGTTCCAAGATGTGAAAAAAGGCAAGGGATGTTTATTACTAGACATTAAAATATGACATAAATTTGAAAAAATATTCAGAAAGAAACAGAAAGGAGGGAGGAAGAGAAAGAAATAGTAGAAGAGCGTGCAGCCCGTGTGGAATTGGCTCCAGCTCTGCCGGGCCTGGGTTTTGTGTTTTCTGAGGGACACATGGACAGAGCAGGGACTTAGGAGGAGCCTTAGGAGGGACTCGGTAGGGACTCGGGAGGAGCCTTAGGAGGGACTCAGGAGGGGACTTAGGAGGAGGCTTAGGAGGGACTCAGAAGGAGGCTTAGGAGGGACTCAGGAGGAGCCTTGGGAGGGACTCAGGAGGGGACTCAGGAGAGACTTAAGAGGACACTTAGGAGGAGCTTAAGAGGAGAGTTGATGGAGGGGACTGGGAAGGCGGTGTAAGAAAGGACTCCCTGGGCTGAGAATGTGACACACAGTGGTGGGGAGATAGGGAGCTTGTGGGGGGGATCCTCAAGTCACAGGTGCTGGATCAACATCGGCAGAGACGTGAACAAAGGAGGTGAACGAAGACTGGAAGTGCCCGAGCCGCTCAGAGAACAGCTCAGACAACACCCATCCCATCGCTCACTGGCACATTTCAGTGGTTCTGCATTCTGTCTGCTGACCCCTCAGGGTATCAGAGGTCACAAATTTGCAGGAGCAAATGATTTTGGATAATTATATAAAGCTACCTTTGATTTTTATCTTAAACTGACTAAGTATTAAAAAAATGCAGAACGCCCACCAGGCATATGCAGTATCATGACTATTTACAAGTAAGGGAAAAATGTATAGGAAAAAAGATCAGGGGGAGATAAACCCAAATCTTAGCAGCTGATATCTATTATTTCCCTTTAAAAAAAAAAAAAAAAAAAAAACAGACGGCCAGGCATGGTGGCTCACGCCTGTAATCCCAGCACTTTGGGAGGCCCAGACAGGCGGATCACCTGAGGTCAGAAGTTCAAGACCAGCCTGGCCAACATGGTGAAACCCCATCTCTACTAAAAATACAAAAATTAGCCAGGCGTGGTGGCATGCGCCTGTAATCCCAGCTACTCAGGAGGCTGAGGAAGGAGAATCACTTGAACCTGGGAAGCAGAGGTTGCAGTGAGCCAAGATGGTGCCATTGCACTCCAGCTTGGGCAACAAGAGTGAGACTCCATCTCAAAAAAACAAACAAACAAACAAACCAACACACAAAAATTAGCTGGGCGTGGTGGGGTGCGCCTGTAATCCCAGCTACTCGGGAGGCTGAGACAGGAGAATCACTTGAACCAGGAGATAGAAGTTGTAGTGAGCTAAGATTGCGTCACTGCACTCCAGCCTGGGCAACAGAGTAAGACTCTGACTCAAAAAAAAAAAAAAAAAAACAGACGACAATATTAATAACCTGAGAAGAGAAGTGGGCCACATATTAATTTATGACCTTGCTGTTACAACAGCACATGTGGGTCACGGCCAATTATAGGGGTCAGAGGAAGCCCCCGGGGGCCGCATGTGAGGGAGAGACTGCATCGTGCTTTCCACTTACTTGTCCCGGTAAGTGTCCAGGAGTCGCAACAGCATTTCTAAAATGTTCTGAACGTTCTGAACATCCTGAACATCCTAAGGCAGAGAAAAAAAGAAAAACAGGACAAAAGATTGAATCACAATGCCACTGTCATTGCTAAAACAGAGCTGAAAAAAATCCAACATCAATATGGTATACATTGTTTTCTTCCTACAAACAAATTTTAAGGTGCTCACATACTAATCTTACCTCTTTTACAGATAAAACTCAGGATTTAAACTTATACCATTTTCTCCACCAAAAAATGTGAAAGGAAGAATGGCAGCTACGAAGTGCATCACATGAGACGCCTTCTTTTTTTTTTTTTTTTTGAGATGGAGTCTCGCTCTGTCACCCAGGCTGGAGTGCAGCGGCGTGATCTCGGCTCACTGCAAGCTCCGCCTCCCGGGTTCACACCATTCTCCTGCCTCAGCCTCCTGAGTAGCTGGGACTACAGGTACCCACCACCACGCCCAGCTAATTTTTTTGTATTTTTAGTAGAGACGGGGTTTCACTGTGTTAGCCAGGATGGTCTCGATCTCCTGACCTCGTGATCTGCCCGCCTCGGCCTCCCAAAGTGCTGGGATTCAGGCGTGAGCCACCGCACCCAGCCCACTGTCTGTTTTTTAGGAATAAGAATCCTGAGCTTTCCATGTTTAGTTATCTAGTCTGCTTTTGCTAAGCCAGGACTCCAGAGCCGACTTCAGACACAAACCTGCGTATTCAAGACTTGCTCAAGTCCCGGAAGCCGGTAGTAAATCCCTGAAAGACAGTCCAGGATATGAGCAGGAAAACGACCCAGGTGCTCAATGAAGTTTTCCATATACATAACCAGGTGACTCAGAGGTAGCAGACTAAACCAGGACCGGAAGAGAGGCTCGTCTATGCTCAGCAAATGCTGCTTCTCTCTCATAAACTGAAGTAGGGAACTCCTGCATAAGAGAAATAGGGACGGAGAAAAGAGACGCAGTGAGATCAGTGAGGGAAAATGGAGGAAACCAATGCTGGAGGGACAGAAACAGTCCCGAATTCAAAAATGATTTAAATACTACTTGAGGGCAGGCGTGGTGGCTCACACCTGAATCCCAATACTTGGGAGGCTGACTCGGGAGGATCACTTGAGCCCAGGAGCTTGAAACCAGCCTGGGGAACCTAGTGAGGCCCTGTCTCTACTTTAAAAAATAAAATAAAGGCTATGTGGAAAACAAAAATATGCAGTGAATCAAATGAAAAGTACAGAACAACCTACTGAGAATTAACTTAATGGCCGGGCGTGGTGGCTCACGCCTGAATCCCAGCACTTTGGGAGGCTGAGGCAGGTGGATCAGTTGAGGTTAGAAGTTTGCAACCAGCCTGGCCAACACGGTGAAACTGCGTCTCTACTAAAAATACAAAAATCAGCCAGGCATGGTGGCACATGCCTGTAATCCTGTAATCCCAGCTACTCAGGAGGCTGAGGCAGAAGAATCACTTGAGCCCCGGCGGCAGAGATTGCAGTGAGCCGAGATCACGCCACTGCACTCCAGCCTGGGCAACAGAGTGAGACTCTGTCTCAAAAAAAAAAAAGGAAAGAAAAAAGGAGAATTAACTTAATATAGAATTCAGAATACGGAATAAGAATTCACTGCTGGCCATTCTGGGCATGCTCCTATGGGGTAGCCCTGTTCTACAAGGAGCAGTAATATTAAAAAATAGTAATAAAATCAGGCCGGGCGCAGTGGCTCACGTCTGTAATCCCAGCACTTTGGGAGGCCGAGGCAGGCAGATCACCTGAGGTTGGGAGTTCAAGACCAGCCTGACCAACATGGAGAAATCCCGTCTCTACTAAAAATCCTAAATTAGCCAGGCGTGGTGGCGCACACCTGTAATCCCAGCTACTTGGGAGGCTGAGGCAGGAGAATCACTTGAACCCAGGAGGCAGAGGTTGCGGTGAGCCAAGATCGTGCCATTGTACTCCAGCATAGGCAATGAGACCAAAACTGTCTCAAAAAAAAAAAAAGTTCACTGCTGGGTGCAGTGGCTCATGTCTGTAATCCCCACAACTTGGGAGGCCAAAGCAGGAGGATGGATAGCTTGAGGCCAGCAGTTTGAGACCAACCTGGGCAACATAGCAAGATTCCATCTCTACAAATAAATAAATAAATACACAAAAAGAATTCATTGAGATGGATGAATCTTGACATTATGCTCAGTGAAATAAATCAGACACAAAAGGACAAATCCTGTGTGATTCCACTCACGTGAGGTCCCCAGAGAAGTCAAAATCCTAGAGACAGAGAGGAGAACAGTGGTTACCAGGAGGAGGGGGAGTGTGGAGGTCGTGTTTCATGGGGATGGAGTTTCAGCTGGGGAAGCTGAGTTCGGGAGGTGGATGGTGCTGACGGCTACACAGCAGTGTGAATGTGCTTGGTGCCAGGGAACTGTGCCTTGAAAAGGAGTTAACATGGTAAACTGGAGATTATGTATATTTTACAATAAAAGGGATATACCCCAATAATTAAGCCTCTTAATTATTATTATTATTATTTATTTATTTATTTATTTGTGTTGGAGTCTCACTCTGTTGCCTTGGCTGGAGTGCAGTGGTGTGATCTCGGCTCACTGCAAGCTCTGCCTACCAGGCTCACGCCATTCTCCTGCCTCAGCCTCCCCAGTAGCTGTGACTACAGGCGCCTGCCACCACGCCCGGCTCATTTTTTGTATTTTTAGTAGAGATGGGGTTTCACTGTGTTAGCCAGGCTTGTCTCGATCTCCTGACCTTGTGATCCACCTGCCTTGGCCTCCCAAAGTGCTGGGATTACAGGTGTGAGCCACTGCACCCAGCCAAGCCTCTTAATTATTATTAACGAGTGTCCAGGATCAAACAGCCCAAGTGGGCTCAGCGAAGGCCCTTAAATAATGCTGATTCTGGAACACAGTACTGGAGACCCAAAATGTTGACAATGGAAAAGAAATAAAGCAAGGCTCCCTAGAAGTAACAGAAGTTATGAAAAACATATCAATAAAGGTTCACTGCATACTAAAGGCCACTTTTACCTGAACGATTGGATCTTTAGGAACAATGCTACTGCAGACTTTTCAAGATATTTAAAGATAAGTACATAAAAATAGCAATAATAATAAAAGGTACTCTATATTTCTACTATATCTAGCCTTTCTAGGTAAATATGGACCATCCATGGGTCTGACTATATTGACTGTTTTCTCTCTTGATCATCTAGTGGCCTCTTCTGTTATCAGGGGCTGAGTTAATAGTTTAGATGAACTACAGCTTTGTTGTAGCTTTAATTAGAATTGGTTCCCAACGGCTGGCCAGGCACAGTGGGTGGCTCACGCCTGTAATCCCAGCACTTTGGAAGGCTGAGGCGGGCAGATCACTTGAGGCCAGGAGTTCAAGACCAGCCTGGCCAACATGGCAAAACCCATCTCCACTAAAAATACAAAAATTAGCCACATGTGATGTGTGATGACATGCACCTGTAGTCCCAGCTACTTGGGAGGCTGAGGCACAAGAATCACTTGAACCTGGGAGGCGAAGGTTGCAGTGACCAGAGATCGCGCCACTGTACTCCAGCCTGGGCGACAGAGCAGGACTGTCTCAAAAAAAAAAAAAAAAGAAAAGAAAAGAAAAAAGAAAAGGAATAGAATTGGTTTCCAAAGGCTTTTACGCCTTCTAAAGGCAAGACCGTAACACTGCCTTTAGCAGAAGTTGGGATCCAGGGGCACAGAGCAACTGCCTCATTTTTTCTGCTGTCCCCAGTCTTTGGCATTTGGCAGGCTCTGAGCATCATGCTTTATGAGGGGGCGTCTCTTTCAGTTCTCCAGCCCCTTTCCCAATTGGATGGTCACTGTCTTGTTCTCACTGCAAGGCCCAGAGTGCTGCAGTCATTACCTCTGTTCTCCTACCCTACCTTCAGACCTTAGCAGATTCTGTGGCCTGAGCCTCCAGGCTAGGGGAAGGAGGAATTTCCAGAGCTCTCTCATCAATAGGACTTACTGATGTATTAACTGCCTGCCTCTCCAGCTAGAATGCAAGCTCCACAAGGCCAGGAGCAGCTGTCTGTTTTGAGCAGTGCTGTACACGCTGTGCCTTGAGTAGTACTTCCTGGCACAAGGAAGGTGCTCTTCAAGTATTCATCCAGTGAATGAATGAATACATTCTAGCACATTAATAAGAGAAAGACCATTTCAAGGCCAAAATAAATTAATCTATTTTGCTTAGAAGGGTTAATCTGTGGTCATTATGACTGTTCTATTAAATAACCCAGTATTCAGTATTTCAGAGAGATTATACTTAAAGAGAAAGTTTGTGGTTACCTGTCAAGAATCTGAAAATAAAGATGCTTTTATTTCAACTTCTAGGGAATCTGGACTTCTACCACTGCAGCCTTGACCTCCCTGGCTCAAGCGATCCTCTCATGTAAGCCTCCCAAGTAGCTGGGACTGCAGGTACACCCCACCATGCCTAACTATTTTTTTTGTTTGTTTTTTTGTAGAAACTGGGTTTTACTATGTGCCCAGACTGGTCTTGAACTCCTGGCCTCAAACAATCCTCCTGCCTGGGCCTCCCAAAGTACTGGGATTATAGGCATGAGCCACCAAGCCCAGCTGCTTTTATTATTTTTAAACTGACACATAATAATTGTACATATTTATGGGGAACAGTGTTATATTTCTATATATGTATACAATACATAATGTATACAAATGCATACAGAGAATACATTTTATGCACTGTATATACATATAAATATGTCTACAATGTATACTATGTACAAAGTATACAGTCTGTAATCTGTACAAATATATGGATACAATATATATGCATACAGTGTATAATGTGTACAAATCAGGGTAATTAGCATATCTATCTCAAACATTTATTTCTTTGTGTTGGAAACATTCAAACTCCACTCTTCCAGCTATTTGAAAAACGTAATAAATTGTAAATTACAGTCGTTCCATACTGCTCTAGGACCCTAGAACTTACTCGTCCTATCTAGCCATACTTTTGTATCCACTAGCCAACCTTTGGCTAGCCCTCTCCCCATCCTTCCTCGCCTCTCGTAACTACTATTCTACTCTCTCCTTCTAGAAGATCAACTCTTTTCACATCCACGTATGAGTGGGAATATGCAGTATTTCTCTTTCTGCGCCTGGCTTATTTCACTTAACGTAATCTCCTCCAAGCTTGTCCATGTTGCTGCGAAAGACAGAATTTCATTCTTTTTGGTGGCCAAATAGTATTCTACTGTGTATATAGACAACACTTTCTTCATCCACTCATCTGCGGGTGGACACTCAGGATGATTCCATATTATGGCTATTGAGTGTTACGATAAATATAGGAGTGCAGCTATCTCTTCAACATACTGATTTCCTTTACTTTGGATATATCCCCAGCAGTACGATTGCTGGATCATACAGTAGTTCTATTTTTAGTTTCTTCAGGAACCTTTATACTGTCCTCCATAGTGGCAGTACTAATTTACATTCCTACACTGTATGAGAGTTTCTCTTTCCCACATCCTCACTGGCATTTATTTTTTGTCTTTTTGATCACAGCTATTCTAACTTGGGTAAGACCATATCTCATTGTGGTTTTGATTTGCATTTCCCTAATTAATGATGCTGATCATTTTTTCATATGCCTGTTGGTTATTTGTGTGTCTTCTTTTTAGATGACTACTCAACTCATTTGTCCATTTTTAGATCTGAGTTTTTCTGTTCACTTGTTTGAGTTCCTTAAATCCCCCTATCCAACGTGTAGATGACAAATATTTTCTCCCATTCCGTGGACTGTCTCTTCACTCTGTTGATAGTTTCCTTTGCTGCACAGAAGCTTTTTGATTTGATGTAATCCCATTTATCTCACTTTACTTTTGTCGCCTGTGCTTTTAAGGACTTCTCCATAATTTTTCTCCAATCTTTGCCCAGACCTAGGCAATACCATTCTAGACATAGGAATGGGCAAAGATTTCACGACAAAAATACCAAAAGCAATCACAAGAAAAGCAAAAATTGACAAATAAGAACTAATTAAACTGAGGAGCTTTTGCACAGCAAAAGAAACTATCAACAGAGTAAACAGATGACCCACAGAATGGGAGAAAATTTTTGCAAAATATGCATCTGACAAAGGTGTAATATCCAGCATCTATAAGGAACATACACAAATTTACAAGAAAAAAAAACAAGCAACCTCATTAAAAAGTGGGCAAAGGACATGAACAGACACTTTTCACAAGAAGACATACATGTGGCTAACAGGCATATGAAAAAAAGCTCAACATCACTCATCATTAGAGAAATGCAAATCAAAATCACAATGAGGCCGGGCATGGTGGCTCACACATGCAATCCCAGCACTTTGGGAGGCCAAGGTGGGCGGATCACTTGAGGTCTGGGGTTTGAGACCAGCCTGGCCAACATGGTGAAACCCCATCTCTACTAAAAATACAAAAATTAGCCAGGCATGGTGGGGTGCCTGTGGTCCCAGCTACCCAGAAGACTGAGGCAGGACAATCACTTGAACCTGGGAGGCAGAGGTTACAGTGAGCTGAGATTGTGCCACTGCAATCCAGCCTGGGTGATAAAGCGAAACTCCATCTCAAACAAAACAAAACAAAAACCACAATGAGGCCAGGCGTGGTGGCTCATGCCTGCAATCCTAGAACTTTGGGAGGCCGAGGCAGGTGGATCACTTGAGGTCAGGAGTTGAAGAACAGCCTGGCCAACATGGTGCAACCCTGTCTCTACTAAAAAGACAAAAATTAGCCACATGTGGTGGCGCACACTACCAATCCCAGCAGAATCGCTTGTGCCGAGGAGGCAGAGGCTGCAGTGAGCTGAGATCACACCACTGCACTCCAGCCTGGGTGACAGAGCCAGACTCTGTCTCTTAAAAAAAAAAAACAGTGAGATACCATCTTAACACCAGTCAGAATGGCTGCTATTAAAAGGTAAAAAAATAACAGATGCTGGTGAGGTTGCGGAGAAAAAGGAATGCTTATGCACTGTTGGTGGGAGTGTAAATTAGTTCAACCATTACGGAAGACAGTGTGGCAATTCCACAAATACCATTCACCGCAGCAATCCCATTACTGGGTATATACCAAAAACAATATAAATCGTTCTATTATAAAGAAACATGCCCATGTATGTTCATTGAAGCACAATTCACAATAGCAAAGACATGGAATCAAACTCAATGCCCATCAACAGTAGACTGGATAAAGAAAATGTGGTACATACACACCATGGAATACTATGCAGCCATAAAAAAGAATGAAATCATGTCCTTTGCAGGAACATAGATGGAGCTGGAGGCCATTATCCTTAGCAAATTAACTCAGGAACGAGAACCAAATACCGCAGGTTCTCACTTGTAAGTGGGAGCTAAATGATGAGAACACAGGGACACATAGAGGGGAACAACACACACTGGGGCTTATCAGAGGGTGGAGGATGGGAAGAGGGAGAGGATCAGGAAAAATAGCTAATGGGTACTAGGCTTAATATTTGGATGATGAAATAATCTGTACAAAAAAACTCCATAACACAAGTTTATCTATATAACAAACCTGCACATGTACTCCTGAACTTAGAAGTTAAAAATAAATAAATAAATAAATAAATAAATAAATAAACTTTCTCTGGTAATATTTTCTTGTGATAAAGGAGAGGTCATTATATTTGAATCAGAGATCAGGATTATATATATTGCCAATATTCCTCTCCTTTAAGCCAGCATTATGCAAAGGTATAAATGGTTTAGAGTTCACAATGCCTTTGACCTAGCAGTTCCACTTGTAGGAATCTATCTCAATGAAGTTATGGGACAGAGAAAGCTAAGGATGCTTATGAAAGCACGCTGAAAAAACGAAACTGCACAACCAACCAAATGTCCTGTAACAGAGAACTGGCTCAATACAAGGCTGGCACTCTCTCTGGCTGGAACGCTAAGACATAGACAAGAATTTGCTGATGGAAAAAATGGTTCACAAAATACTGTTAAGAGGAAAAATCAGGTTGTAAACCAGAATAAATAACACATCATTTGTTGTTGTTCTTTTAAGTACATAAAACACCCACGAATCCATATTTGGACAAAACCACAAATAGGTATGCCACCGTGCTAACAACGGCTGCCTCTGAGGTTACAAGTTGTTTCTGTATTCTTGATAGTTTTTTGTTTGTTTGTTTTAGACAGAGTCTCGCTCTGTCGCCCAAGCTACAGTGCAGTAGCATGATCCCAGCTCACTGCAACCTCCACCTCCCGGGTTCTAGTGATTCTCCTACCTCAGCCTCCAGAGTAGCTGGGATTACAAGCACATGCCACCACACCTGGCTAATTTTTTTTTTTTTTTTTTGGTATTTTTCGTACAGACGGGTTTTCACCATGTTGGCCAGGCTGGTCTCGAACTCCTGACCTCAGGTGATCCACCCGTCTCAGCCTCCCAAAGTGCTGGGATTACAGGCGTGAGCCACTGTGCACAGCCTATTCTTGACAGTTTTGATGTCTTAAAATGTTAAAAGAGCGTGTGTTAGTTCTGTCATTAGAATCAGGAATGGAGTCACTGCAGAGCCCACCGGGACTCCGGGTGCACAATGTAGGAGTCAGTCTTCCCAGATTCATGTAGATAAGCACAACTCTACGACTTACGTATCTAGCATTTGTTCCCGGAACGGTGAGAAGGAGAGTCCCTCCAGAGCGGCCCAGGTGTCCTCAGGCTGTCTCCAGGCATCCTTGTGCCGCGGGGCCAGCTCCATACAGCAGTGCAGGACAGGCAGGGCGCCCAGCCAGGTGTACGTCCTTGTGTCCATGCATCTTTGGCACAGGTTCACCAGGTACAGCCGCCAGCTGGAAGGGAATAAAGATCCCGCAGTGAGCTGAGCTGGCCAGGGAGTCATCTCCCTGGGAGTCTGGAGTCCCAACAGGAAGCAAGCACCGTGCACACAGAGCAAGAGGAGCACCGCGCGTGGCTGAGCAGAGTTTAACTCACGCAGGAGACAGGGCTTCCCTCAGCCCCCAGCCTAGGGCGTCAGCTCCTTTGCAGGCCCTCACCGAATCCCCACAACAAACTCCCAGGACAGGGGAGGGATCTCAGAAGCAGGGGTCCTGGCTAAGTAGTCAACGCAGGGTCCTGACTGACAGAGCTGGGGTTTGAACCCAGGCCATCTGGCAACAGTAAATCTAAATATAAAGCAACTTGTAAAATTTATTTTCATTGTTTAGAGACAGAGTCTCACTCTGTCATCAAGGCAGCGCGGTGGTGCGATCATTATAACCTCGAACTCTTGGGCTCAAGGGATCCTCCTGCCTCAGCCTCTCCAGTGCTGGAATTACAGGTGCACCACCACACCCAGCTAGCTACATTTTTTTTTTTTTTTTTTTGAGACGGAGTCTCACTCTGTTGCCCAGGCTGGAGCGCAGTGGCACGATCTTGGCTCACTGCAAGCTCTGCCTCTCGGGTTCACGCCATTCTCCTGCCTCAGCCTCCCGAGTAGCTGGGACTACAGGTGCCCGCCACCATGCCTGGCTAGTTTTTTGTATTTTTTGTAGAGACAGGGTTTCACTGTGTTGGCCGGCTCTATTTTTTATTTTAATTTTTGTTTCCCAGACTGATCCTGAACTCCTGGCTCAAGCAATCCCTCCTGCCTCAGCCTCCCAAAGCACTGGGATTACAGGTGTGAGCCATAATGCCCGGCCAAAACAACTTTTTTTTTTTTTTGAGATGAAGTCTCACTGTGTCGCCCAGGCTGGAGTGCAGTGGCACAATCTCGGCTCACTGCAACCTCCGCCTCCTGGGTTCACGTGATTCTCCTGCCTCAGCCTCCTGAGTAGCTGGGATTACAGGCATGCACCACCACGCCCGGCTAAATTTTGTATTTTTAGTAGAGACAGTGTTTCACCATGTTGGTCAGGCTGGTCTCGAACTCCTGACCTTGTGATCCGCCTGCCTCGACCTCCCAAAGTGCTGGGATTACAGGCGTGAGCCACCGTGCCCGGCCCCAAAACAACTTTTTAAACGTAAGGGTTGAGCCTATAAACAATACATGGTGAATCTCCTACAGTCAAAAGATATTAATGATTCCTCATACTTTAAGCCCCGGCACTAACTCTGTACATTGCCTTTGCCTCCACTCCTCCTCTTTGTCAAAATGTGCGGCGTTTATTTGGTTGTTTTTTATTTGTAAAACCAGGCCAGGCACAGTGGCTCATGTCTATAATCCCAGCACTTTGGGAGGTCGAGGCAGGCGGATCACAAGGTCAGGAGCTCAAGACCACCGTGGCAACATGGTGAAACCCCGTCTCTACAATAAATACAAAAATTAGCTGGAAGTGGTGGTGTGTATCTGCAGTCCCAGCTACTCAGGAGGCTGAGGTGGGAGAACCACCTGAGTCTGTGAGGCTGAAGCTGCAGTGAGCTGATTGCTCCACTGCACTCCAGACTGGGGGAACAGAGTAAGACACTGTCTCAAAACAACAAATAAATAAATGTGTAAAACTGAGAGGCAGATGTCGTGATAAGACATGCTGGTCAGGAAAGGCTACCTAATGTCATTCTCACGTTCAAATCAACACACGCAGAGAGAGTGCAGAGCTCAGTGGGGTCTGAGCAGGTACCAAGTCAAAGGCCATCGCCTTCTCACCACTGAACATTTCAGGCCCAGGACAGTCACACTGTGTTTCCTGAACTAGACACGGCACAGGCAGGGGCATGGGGAGAACATTCACGCTGCTTCTGCAGATGTCCTTGAGGGGATGAGTTCAGGCTGGCGTCACGCCACAACCTCCTAAACACGCGCACACAGAGGCTGCTCATGATACCACACGAAGCTTCAAAAAGCAGGGTATTCAGACCCAGCACGGTGGCTCACGCCTACAATCCTAGCACTTTGGGAGGCCGAGGTGGGTGGATCACTTGAGGTCAGGAGTTCGAAACCAGCCTGGCCAAAATGGTGAAAACCCTTCTCTACTAAAAATACAAAAATTAGCCATGTGTGGTAGTGTGCACCTGTAGTCCCTGCTACTAAGGAGGCTGAAGCAGGAGAATTGCCTAAACCTGGGAGGTGGAGGCTGCAGTGAGCCAAGATTGCGCCACTGTACTCCAGCCTGGGCCACAGAGTGAGACGCCGTCTGGGGGGAAAACAAAAGGCAGGGAATTCAACAGAGGACAGAATATAATAAAAATAAGACAGATGCTAGGAAAAACTACTGACATGACCACAGTGAGTGGTAAAATCACGGGTGGTTTTATTTCTTGCCTGTGTGCTTTCAGTCACTCTAGTCAAGCACTTATTTTTGCAATCAGAGAAAATCATTATAATAGCTATAAAAAACATTTTGACAAAAAATAATAATACCTCTGAGGTATCCCAAGGATGTGGCTTAGGTCACGGTGAAACTCATCTGGTGAGCTGGCATCTGAGGTTAGGAGGTGACACAACCAGTCCAGGCTGCCTTCTAATAAAAGCTCAATTTTTTCCACTACAAAAAGGACAATCAGGCCTGTTTTCAGTTTACTCCTCACTGGGCAGTCCACAGGCAAAAAGTCCGTGCTTTTTCCGTCCGGCAATGGTACCACGTGTTTTTTCAGATGTTGCCACAGGTATCTCTTCACCTGATGGTGGGAGAAGAGGAAGATGCATGAACCATGGACTTGAATTCACCGGCAGTGTCCAGAGCTGCCCCAGCACCACAGCTAGGGCAGCAGACCCCATCCGTGCCCCACCACCACACCTGTGAGAGCCACAGGAGGAGCTGCAGTGCAGCCAAGACCCTGGCATGAGGGCTCAGGCAGGGCCCCTGAGGCTCATCAGGGCTCAGCTTCAGCTCAGAAACAGCTCCAGGCCGGCCTGAAACCCACCCAGGCTGCACCGCAGTGTGGGTAAAGGTGCAGTGACAGAGGGTGCCCCGTTCCTTCCACTCTCCCTCCAAGGCCAGGGGAGGACTCAGGACTGGTGCTGGGGTGGGGCTGAGATTACAACCAGTAAAAGGAGGAAAATGGGGGAGGGCAGAGAAATCCCAAGAGACAGTGGTAGGAGAAAAGGCTGGAAAGTTCTACACATTCCCATTTGCAACCTGGCCCACAGAGTCAAGGGGTCATCCGGCCACTAGCAGGTCAGGTGTGGCTCCTGCCCAGCAGGTAGAGCAGCTGGTGGCAAGCCTGATACCTCTTTCTCCCTGTACTGCAAATCGGTCCACAGCTGTGCCTGTCCTTCATAAATCATAGGCTGTTGCAGGACAAAGCAAAACTGCTCGAACTGGGTGAAGAAGCTGTTCAGGTTGATGGTGTCCCAGGTCTGCAGGATGCTGAAGGTGCTGTCCAGCATGAGCGCAGCGGCAATCTGCTTCCCCTTCACCAGGTCCTTCCTCGGCCCGTCTGTGATGTGGTTCATGACTTTCTGGAGTCTCCCATGAGGCTTCATATAAACTATGTCATAGTACTGATGCCAGTCTAAGAGGGACAGAAGGAACAAGAGCCTACCTAAGACCATCAAAACCCTGGAGACCTAGACACTAGCCTAGAAGGCTGATCACGACTGGTACAGATATGGAGTAAATGGGGCAGAGGAAGGGAGGAAGGGAAAAGCAAAAACCCACACACTGACGACAGCCAGACTCCTCCAACTGACTTCTCATCTGAGGCCAGCCCCGTGCAAACAGACATCCTAGACGTCCCACAGTAATGAGTGGAAAGCCCAGGGTCATGGGATGCAGCGGGCCTGAGACTTGCAACGGATCTCTAACTATGTAGCTCAGCAAACTTGATCAACAACTTCCTTAAACATCATCACAAGGAGGTGGAATGTGTCATACAGAAACCGCATCCCCCCACTAGCAAGTGAGCACTGTCCTGGTCAATCACTGAGTTGGTTTCCTCTGTACTAGGAACGGGACACAGCCCCTGGAGGAAGGTGCAGGCTGCCCAGCTGGCACAGATGGCCCTTGGCATGGTGGCTGACACAGGGCAAGGGCTGAATTCGTGACTGTTCTTAGGCTCCATTGCAAACGATATGAGTGCAGACCTCATTGCAGAAAACCCAGTGAGGTTGACTGTAAAATAATTAGAAAACCCAAGATGTCAATGACAGGGTCAGAGGCCACGTGAAGACCTACAAACAGAAGTAAAAATCAGGCAGAAATGGGAAGCGCCCGGACAGGCCTCCTCAGCCCCCTGCCATGCTTTCGACCCACAGTTGTCTAGACTGGCAGGCCCGCCCACCCCAGCTCTGCACCCTGGGCCCAGCAGGGCCTGCAACTGTTTAGTTCTCAACTCGGTCATCACCTCCTTGTGGAAGCTTCTGCCGACCTCCAGGTCAAATCCCCTATCACATGTTTTTTTTTTTTTAGACTGAGTCTCCCTCTGTCGCCCAGGCTGGAGTGCAGTGGCACGATCTTGGCTCACTGCAAGCTCCGCCTCCCGGGTTCACGCCATTCTCCTGCCTCAGCCTCCCGAGTAGCTGGGACTACAGGCGCCCGCTGCCAAGACGCCCGGCCAATTTTTTTGTATTTTTAGTAGAGACGGGGTTTCACCGTGTTAGCCAGGATGGTCTTGATCTCCTGACCTCGTGATCCGCCCGCCTCGGCCTCCCAAAATGCTGGGATTACAGGCGTGAGCCACCACGCCCAGCCACCACGTGCCCTTTTAACCGAGCCATCAATGCCATGGCATTTATCAGAGCAGGAATTCCATATTTATATATATAGAATTCCATATTTAAATGTATTTATATATGGAATTACCGGACTAATGCCTATTCTTTCAAAGCTTATGTTCTCAGAGTACACTCTCTAGCTAGTAAAAATCATGTTTGGCTGGGCACAGTGGCTCACGTCTTAATCCCAGCACTTTGGGAGGCCAAGATGGGCGGATTGCTTGAGCCCAGGAGTTCGAGACCAGACTGGGCAACACAGCAAGACCAGTCTCTCCAAAAAAAATATATGAAAAATTTGCCAGACATGGTGACACACGCCTGTAGGCCCAGCTACTTGGGGGGGCTGAGGGGGAGGATCAGCTGAGCCCTGGTGGTTGAGGCTGTAGTGAGCCGAGATCGTGCCACTGCACTCCAGCTTGGGTGACAGAGCGAGATCCTGTCTCAGAAAAAAAATATATATATATGTTTACAAAAACGAAAAAATATATACTCTATAAAGTTCTTAGGACTTCTGTCTTTGTCCAAGGTGGAGTGACAGGGACTAAATTTACATTCTTCTGTATCTGCCTAAAACAACACATGAACAACATAAACAGTAAAACAACTGTTTCCAAGACACCGGACACCAGGGGGCAGGGAGGCCCTGGTTGCCAAGGGAAAGCAACAACCAGTTGACCCCAGCTCACTTCCTTGAGTTTCAGGGTCACTGTGCAGGGAGGGGGAGCGAGGGGAAGCCCAGGACCCCCCAGGTGAGGAGGCGGCACTGGGAGTCCAGGTGATCAACACAGTCAAGTCTTGATCTCTGTCTGTCAAGTTTGCAGACAGAGAACCCAGGTGGGGGACCCCCGAGAGAGGCATGAAGGGGCGCAGAGGGCTCTGCGAGAAGGGAAGCGCCCGCGTCTATTGACAGATGGGCAGAGGGGCTGATGTGCTGAGGATGACAGCCAGCAGGAGCCTGCAGACGGGGCTCTGGATGTCATCTCCAGTCAACCATCTGAAAATCTCTAGAGAAGGGACAAGTCCCAGTGGCCTCCTGGTCACTGCACTTGTCCCTGACCCAGCTCCCAGGCCTTTGCTGCCCCTCTGTTCCCAGCCGCAGCCCTTCTTCTGGCTTCGTTTTCTCTCCTTTCCCTTAATTAAAAATCCTTTCTGGCTGGGCATAGTGGCTTACACCTGTAATCCCAACACTTCGGGAGGTCGAGGAGGGCAGATCACCTGAGGTCAAGGTCCAACATGGTGAAACCCTGTCTCTCTAAAAATACAAAAGTTAGCTGGGGGTGGTGACAGGCTCCTGTAATCCCAGCTACTCGGGAGGCTGAGACAGGAGAACTGCTTGACCCTGGGAGGCGGAGGTTGCAGTGAGCCGAGATCGCACCACTGTACTCCAGCCTGAGCGACAGACTCTGTCTCAGAAAACAAACAAACAAAAAGTCCTTTGCATGTTTCCTCCTGCAAGTGAGTAGGTAAGTCACACTGAGCTCAAAGGAGAAGCCAACACATCTTTAACCAACCAGAGACACAACCCAGAGTCAGTGTCACTGAACCTGGAGGCTGGGGCGGGGTCAATGCAGAGCAAAGAGGACCTCACTGCCCAGGCAAAGTCTGTGCTCTCCAGAGAGACGCGTCCAGTACCGCGGGATTGGCACCTGCACTCCGGAGGGGTGAGCAGACAGCCTGCTGCCACGACTTACCTCCTGAGCCCAGAAGTGAAGATTTTATGAACAGACAGCGGTTGACGTACTCGCCCTTCTTCTGCTGGTGCTTGTAAATGAACTCATACTCAAAAGATTCCCCATTATAAATGACGTACTTGTAAGGAATGTATTTATCTAGGTGCTTCTTGGAAATGCAGACAATGCCTTCAACAAGAACGCGGTCATGACCCAAGTCTCTGTGAATGAACAGGATACGGTTGGCTATCCAAAATTCCTACCCCGGAAATTTTAGTTATTCTCAAACGTAGCATGGAGTGCAAAGCTATAAGTTGATGTGGCAAGGCTGGGTTCAGTGGCCCATGCCTGAAATCCCAACACCATGGGAGGCTGAGGCGGGAGGACTTCTTGAGTCCAGGAGGTCAAGGCTGCATTGACCTGTGATCCCACCACTGCACTCCAGCCTGGGTGACAGAGCAAGACTCTGTCTCAGATAAACAAAGCTGGGCATGATGGCCCAGGAGATTGAGGCTGCAGTGAGTCATGATTGCACTCCAGCCTAGGCAACAGAGCAAGATCCCCTCTCTAAAAAAAAAAAAAAAAATTATAAGAAAGAAAGAAAGAATACTTTTAAAAAGAAAAAGGTCCATGATGGAATATGACACCAAAATGCATGGCCAGGAAGAGCTGTCTGAAATATTCATCTTCCAGAACCCGAAGAATGTCATCAACTCACTGGATAAAAATTATTTAAAGGCTGGGCGCAGTGGCTCATGCCTGTAATCCCAGCACTTTGGGAGGCCTAGGCGGGCGGATCACCTGAGGTCAGGAGTTTGAGACTAGCCTAGCCAGCATTTAGTAGAAACTCCGTCTCTACTAAAAATACAAAAATTAGCCAGGCGTGGTGGTACACACCTGTAGTCCCAGCTACTTGGGAGCTGAGGCATGAGAATCGCTTGAACCCAGGAGGCGGAGGCTGCAGTGAGCTGAGATGGTGCCACCACACTCCAGCCTGGGTGACACAGCAAGACTCCGTCTCAGAAAAAAAAAAAACAAAATTTTTTTAAACTACGTGTCACAGGCTGGGCATCCTATGCCTTCCCTGAGGGATTCCTCCCAAGCCTACAGACACGCTCACCTGGTGTAGTGCAGCTCACAGATATTGCTGTCCCATTTTGACTCCCCAAATTCTTCTCCTCCTCTGATGAAGACTTTATGGAGGTCAGGATTGAATGGGAAATGAAGAGAGATGATGGCGTGGAAGAACACGGTGACTCCTCCACCCGGGCTCAGCGTGCTGGTGGAAAACCAAAACAGAAATCTGATTCCCGTGAGATCTGTCCACCTGCCATGTGCATGCACACACGCGCACACACACACGTGCGCACACACACGTGCACACACACATGCACTCGCACACACACATGCACACACGCGCACACTCGCACACACGCACACACACAAGCACACGTACACGCACACACGTGCACGCACTCACACACGCACACATACATGCACACGCACACACGTGCGCACACACACGTGAACGCACACGCACACACCCACATGCACACACACAGGCACATGGTCCTTGTGTTCGTAATGCACATTATCACACCCTAGCAAACATGCAAGCACGTCCACGTGTGACACACCACCCCCCATGGAGGTCTCTCTTCACTGCCTCCAAAATGGAGGAAGAAGAGGTGGCCACTCCCTGCCCACCTCTGAAGTGCTGGGGACAGTGGCGGGAGGCACCAGCAGGTGTCTGGGCCAGAACAGCCCCTCTCCTGAGTTCCCAAAGGCCCACGCTGGCTCCAGGACCCCAGGGGCTATTAGGAAACAAGAAACTGGCACAGGTGCCCACCCCCCTCCACCTCCTAAGTGGTCCCCTTTTCCCCCAAAGTTAAACTTGCCAAAACAGCTGACTAGAAGGGCAGCCTGGATATCCCCTGAGAGTTGTGCAGGGAGAGGGTGTGCCGGGCTCTCAGGCAGGGTCTCCTTTGCTCCCCTGCGGGGGCATCCCTACCTTGCCTTCACTTCCTGGACATCTGCTTCCTGGTTTTTTTGCTCCTTCTCGTTTTTCACAGCAGCTGCACTTCTGTTCTTCCCCTCTGGCTTCTTGAGGTCTTCAGGCTCCCCTTGTTCATTCTTACCGACTTTTTCTTCAGCAGCAGCCATCTCGTCCTTGGTCTTGGTCTCAGCTTCCTGGAACAAGGAACCAAACCCTGACCTTGAAGGCCGGCCTCCACATTTTCTTTTTTTTTTTTTTTTCTGAGACAGAGTCTCGCTCTTATTACCAAGGCTGGAGTGCAGTACTGCGATCTCAGCTCACTGCAACCTCCGCCTCCCAGGCTCAAGCAATTCTCCTGCGACAGCCTCCCGAGTAGCTGGGATTACAGGCACATGCCACCACGGCTGGCTAATTTTTGTATTTTTAGTAGAGACGGGGTTTCACCATGTTGGCCAGGCTGGTCTTGAACTCCTGAACTCAGGTGATGCACCCGCCTGGGCTTCCCAAAGTGCTGGGATTATAGGTGTGAGCTACCGCGCCTGGCCCAGCCTCCACATTGACCCCTACAGGGGATGCTTCTTACAGCGGCCAGAATGTTCACGACCCTTCCCCGCTCGGGACCTTCCAGTGCCGCTGGGGCCACTAATCACAGCCTCCAGAGGCGCCTCTCTCCAGCCTCATTGGTGGCCTCTCCTCCCCCAACTCCTCCTGGGGGCACTGGCGTCCCTGCCGCTCTGGGAACAGGCCCACCCCACACTGCCCCAGGGCCTCTGCACATGACCTTCCCAGACACCTCCGGGGACCATCCCTCACCACCTCCTAAGAGAGGCCTCGCCCGGCCACTCGGGCTGTGGGTGCCATGGTACCTCGGGGCCCACCTGGGTGCCCTCTCTCCCTCCCTCCACGCTCTTCTCACCGCTGAAGTCGGTTTCCTGACTCTCTCTCCGCTGGAATGTGAGCACCCCGAAGGCCAGAGCTTTGTCTGAATCATGGCTATATCCCCAGCACTTAAATATTTGCTGAATAATTAAATGAAAGAGGCGCAGCCGTGGGCAGGAGAGGGCCTCCTGGAGCCGGCAGGCAGGAAGGAGACGCACCTGGCAGTGTGTTTTGAAAGGAGGAGTGGTTGCTGGTGGCTGTTTCATTCTCTGGGTCTTCTCTTTCATTTCCTTCCCGGCCCCTTTAACTGCATTGGCTGGCTCAGCTACAGCATCAACTGCCTGAAAGACCCCAAACACCAGAGCCAAGGTGACAAAATGGGCCAGGGTGACTCCGACTCAATGGTTTAAGGGGCAGCATCTGCCACAAGCCGAGGGACAGGGTGGGCTGGCATCCCCAGTGGAGGGGCAGCCCTCCGACTCCCACCCAGGGAGCAGGGCCCAGAGGACGCCCCTCCCCCCGGCAGGGAAGCAACGCCAGCACCTTGCAGCAGAGCCCAGGTGCCGAGGGCTCAGTGCCACTCCCAGGCCATCTCTCCCGGATGACTCACCATAGAGGCTGAGGCCCCTGCCTGTTGCTCGGTGGTCTGCAGTTCTGTCCCGGGCTCAGAGCTGCCTCCTTTTGACTCAGGCAACAGGAGCTCCTGGGCAGCATCTTCAGTCCTAGAATGGCCTTCACCAGCAGAGGTGGGGGGACCGGTCCCCTCCTGGGACAGGCCTCTGCCCCCAGAGGGGATGGAAGCGTCCTGGTCCTCCCCTTCCGTGTGGTCCTGGAATTGCGGGCTGCTCTGAGCCTCACTTCCTGTGGCCACTCCTGCCTCTCCCAAAGCCTGGGCCTGCAGGGGGCTGTCGCCAACCTCGGTGGGCGCGGAGAGGCCGTCACCCTCCAGTGGCGTGGTGGCTGTGCCTGGGGGCTGGCTCGGCTGGCCAGTGGGGCCACTCTGCTGGGCTTGGCTGTGGGGCAGGGCTGTGTCCTGAGGCCACGGGTTTGAAAGCAAAGTCAGGTGACAGGGGCTGGCAGGAGAAAGGGGCAAGGAAGCCAGCTCTGAGGAAGCGGACTTGTTCCCCTTCTTTTTCTTCTTCCTTTTCTTCTTTTTGCTCTAAACAGAAAGAGAGACACTCACTTTATTTCTTAGATTTACTCTACTCTAGCCCGTGTTTCCCTCCAACTTTCTCTTCCGTTCCTCAACTACATCAAGCTTGGCTCGACCAAAGTACCTAACATCTGTTAAATCTGCAATTTCCTGGAAAGAATGAAATTAAGAAACAAAAGTGGGGGGTGGGCAGGGTCGGGGCAAGTGGCCTTGAAGCGCTCGCCACACTCGGCACGGTCACGGCCGGGCTGAGACCCTCACACGGGCTCACTGCTTATTGGACATCCACTGAGATGGATTTGTATTTATTTATTTATTTGAGACAAGGTCTCCCTCTGTCGCCCAGGATGGAGTGCAGGGTGCAAACCCAGCTCACTGTAGCCTTGACCTCCTGGGCTCAAGTGATCCTCCCCCATCAACCTCTTGAGTAGCTGAGACTATAGGTGAGCATCACTACGCCCAGCTAATTTTTTGTTGGTTTGTTTTTTGTAGAAACGGGGTTTCACCATGTTGCCCAAGCTGGTTTTGAAATCTCAGGCTCAGGCAATCTGCCCATCTCGGCCTCCCAAGGTCCTGGGATTACAGGCGCGAACCACCATTCCCAGCTGGTTTTAAAAAATGCTCTGTAGAGGCAGAGTCTCCCATGTTGCTCAGGCTGGTCTCCAACACCTAGGCTCAGGCAATCCTCCCATCTTGGCCTCCCAAAGTGTGGGATTACACGCGTGAGCCACCGTGCCTGGCCTGGTTTTGAACATTAGAAAGCACACACAGGCTTTCCACGTTTTATGCACCTCTATAAAAATATTTCGTACATAAAATTTGAAATGAGAAGGATGAGACTAAAAAATGAGTAGCAGCTCCCACCGCACCCTCAGCAGGCACAGCCAGGCTCAAAGGCACATCCAGGTTCAGGTGTACGGTCCCCATTTTGGAACCAGGACTGCGGCTGGTGGGAGGAGGCTGCCAGGACCCTGGGACCCCACAGGCATCTCCCAGGGGGCAGTACTCAGGGGTGCGTGTGGATCAGGTCAGTACAGGAAAGTGACTTGTAGATCCCCTGAAACCTGGTGGTGTGTGATGAGGGCCCCAAACTGCCAGGCAGCAGGTGTGAACCTGTGCCCACTCCACGCCCCCCACCTCCTGCACCCACATACCTGGGAAGACCTGCACACACTGAGGTGCAGCCCAGGGGCTAATCCACCCTCTCCTCAGCAACTGGTAACAAGGGGATGAGGAAGCGCCACAGGATCCCATCACTGCCACTTCAGGAGCCCCTCGGCTGACGGTCGGCCCCTGTGTGGCCCAAGGAGGAGGCTGCGTTCCCACCCACCCAGGGCATGACGAGGCCGCAGCTGGACAGGGCTGCATCCCAGGGCTTCCAGGAGGCCAGGCCGACACTGCAACCCCTTCTCTATCACACATGGCCACACTTCCTGCCAGAACCAGGGCCAGAAATTCCGATTTTCTCCTCCTTTTTAAATTCAGAGGAAACCCATGCTCAGTGTACACAAAGCACAGGAGGCGCCCCCACCCCCCGACCCTCCGACCCATAACATCTCCCCAGGCCACAGCTTGGCTCCAGCCTCCCGCTCGGCCTGCGTCCAACACCGGCCTGCGTCCGACACCAACCCCAGGCCACCAACCCACCACACCGCTGAGAGCACCTGGTCCCATTCCAGGGAGCAAGCACCACTGCTGAAATGGCACACTTGGTGCGTTTGGGTGTGGACAGAGGAGACTCACTCCCAGCGCAGGCTGACTCTAAAACAGGGCCTCACTGAGATCTGGCCACTGCACTCCAGCCTGGGCGACAGAGTGAGACTCCATCTCAAAAATAAAACAATAGGTCAGGTGCGGTGGCTCAGGCCTGTAATCCTAGCACTTTGGGAGGCCGAGGCAGGCGGATCACTGGAGGTCAGGAGTTCGCCACCAGCCTGGCCAACATGGTGAGATCCTCCCCATCTCTACTAAAAACACAAAAAATTAGCTGGGCGTGGTGGCAGGCACCTGCAATCCCAGCTACTTGGGAGGCTGAAGCAGGAGAATTGCTTGAACCCGGGAGGCAGAGGCTGCGGTCAGCCGATATTACGCAACTGCACTCCAGCCTGAGCAATAGAGCAAGACTCCATCTCACAAAAAAAAAAAAGCAACTGCAGAAGCAGCTGCAGAAGAAGAGTCTGGGGCTGGGGCCCAGCACTGTAGAGTGGCGTCATCAGCAGGTATCAGCCTCTGAATGACAGGCTGGTCAGCTGCCGGGGGACCTGCTGAGAGGGGGAAGCAAGAGGCCGTCAAGAAACAGGCAGGTGCTGCACAACCCTTCACTGCAGGCACCCATCGTCCTCAGTGTGCTGAGGAGACCTGGCAGGTGGGGTCCCAGCCCTGAAGACAGCCTCCCCTCGGAGAGGCGATGACGCCGTCCCTGCCCGGCCAGCTGCCTGGTACCTCCGGGGCTGCCATGCAGTGGCGTCTGGGCTGGGTTTAGAGGGCCTGCCTGAGTTCCCATCCAGCTCACCCCATGCTACAATGGCTGGGCAACCCCAGGTGGGTCACTGAGCCACCGTGGGCCTCAGTTTCCCCATCTTTAAAGTGGAGACAGCAGATGTGTCCACATCAGAGCATCACTGAGGGTGACCAAATGGGACAAAGCACACGGAGAGTTGTAGGACACTGCCTGGTACACGCAAGGCCCCCATCAGTGATGCTGTGGTCATGGTCACTGTCCACACACAGCAGGTGTTTGTGGCCACCTGGTGACAGCGCTGGATGGCCCATCCTGGGGAATGGTCCCTTGGCTCTCCCTGTTATCGGCTGCATGGTTTGAGTAACATCAGCCTTACTCTAGCCCCAAGGGCAGCTCTTGTGCGTGGGCTGGTGTCAACCACTGATGTCTATCATCCTGGCCATAGGGACCCACTGGGGGATTGGCCTGTGAGCCAATCAGAGCCAATGAGATTTGAGGAAGCGCTTCCTCTCTCCAGAGGAATCAATCACCAGAGGAGGCGCTGTCTTGTCCCCTGAAGGACAGAGTAGCAGGTGGATCACAGGGGAAGCCACTGTGTGGCACGAGGGAGTAACGGGAAACAGCTGATGAGAGGCTCAGTGGGGGAGCCGTCCGGAAGGCAGAGTAGACAGGGCCGGAGACGCCTGCACCAAGCCTCACCTACAGGCTCGGGGCTCATCAGGTGTGTCCATAATAAACTTCCTCAATGGGATTAGAAAGGTGGAGCTGGGCTTTCCATTATTTGCAATTCAAAGGCTTTTTTTTTTTTCTTTTTTTGAGATGGAGTCTCACTCTGTCACCCAGGCTGGAGTGCAGTGGCACAATCTCAGCTCACTGCAACCTCTGTTTCCCGGGTTCATGCCATTCTCCTGCCTCAGCCTCCTGAGTAGCTGGGATTACAGGCACATGCCACCACGCCCAGCTATTTTTGTTTTGTTTTTGTTTTTGTTTTTTTTGAGACGAAGTTTCACTCTTGTTGCCCAGGCTGGAGTGCAATGGCATGATCTGAGCCCATTGCAACCTCCGCCTCCCCAGCTCAGGTGATTATCCTGCCTCAGCCTCCCAAGTAGCTGGGATTACAGGCACCTGCCATCATGCCCGGCTAATTTTTTTTTTTTTGTATTTTTGTACAGATGGGGTTTCACCATGTTGGCCAGGCTGGTCTTGAACTGACCTCAGGTGATCCACCCGCCTCGGCCTCCCAAAGTGCTGGGATTCCAGGCGTGAGCTACTGTGCCCGGCCGTAATTTTCATATTTTTAGTACAGATGGGGTTTCACCATGTTGGCCAGCTAGTCTTGAACTCCTGACCTCAGGTGATCCACCCACCTCGGCCTCCCAAAGTGCTGTGATTACAGGTGTGAGCCACTGTGCCTGGCCATTACCCAAAGATTTCTAATGGTTAAAATAATCAAACCTCAAATTAAGTTTTTCCCTAATTATGAAAGTTGAAAATAAGCCAAGGTCATGGATGCTCTAGCAGCTTCGATGACATAATCAGGCTCTGGCAGAAATAGACGGAGAATCCTGAGGCTCTGGACCGCCGAGTCACAGCCCGGAACAGGAGGAGCCCACTGAGGCAGGCCCCTGACCACCCCCCACCTCCCACCAGCATGGAAGATGCAGGCCCCCTACCGCTTCTTTCCTTGATGTAGCAAAGGGCTCAGACCTTAGGAACAGCTGCCAGCACCCCTCCCCAGGGCCTGCCTTGCAGGAGGGGAGTGGCCAGCCAGGAAGAAACAGCAGCAGCAGCACACGGAGGTTGGGCAGAGCCCGGGGAGGCTGGAGGCAGGAGCCAGGCCTGGCCTCACTCCCTCTGCCCACAACACGGGGCTGTGGAAAGACTGCAGTAAGCGCAGACGCAACTGCAGGAGAGACCCTTGGAGGGACCGTGATCCAGTTCCTGGAAGACCACTGCCCTCAAGCCGCCATCCCAGAACCTCTTTTCAATAGAAACAAAACCAACCATCTGACATCATCACACCTGCAGGGCTGACACCTCGGAGCAGCAGCCCCAGGCTCACCCCCTCAGCTCTTCCCGTGTGAACTGCCACCTGGCCCTGAGTTAGGGACCACTTACTTCTCGGTGAGGACTGGCCGAGTGCCCTGGTAGGCGCCCTGTGCTGCCAGTGCCTCCTGCTGTCTGCTTTTCCATTGAACAGTTTCATAGTCTTCTTTGACCCAGAATCTCGAACTACATAACCATAGCGGTATTTATAATTTTACGGGGGGTGAGGCTTAGAAGTATTTACATAATTTTATAAATATCCCCCTACATTTTCTAGAGCTTTTAGGATGCTGTTTTACATTAAAATATTGAATCAGGCCAGGCGTGGTGGCTCACACCTGTAATCCCAGCACTTTGAGAGAACGAGGCGGGCGGATCACCTGAGGTCAGGAGTTCGAGACCAGCCTGGCCAACATGGGGAAACCCCATCTCTACTAAAAATACAAAAATTAGCCAGGCGTGGTGGCACACACCTGTAATCCCAGCTACTCTAGAGGCTGAGGCAGGAGAAATCACTTGAACCTAGGAGGCAGAGGTTGCAGTGAGCCAAGATTGCACCACTGCACTCCAGCCTGGGAGACAGAGCAACACTCTGCCTTGAAAAATAGTAATAATAGGCCGGGTGCAGTGGCTCACGCCTGTAATCCCAGCACTTTGGGAGACCGAGGCGGGTGGATCACAAGGTCAGGAGATCCAGACCATCCTGGCTAACACGGTGAAACCCCATCTCTACAAAAATACAAAAAAATTGGCTGGGCGTGGTGGTGGGCGCCTGTAGTCCCAGCTACTCGGGAGGCTGAGGCAGGAGAATGGCGTGAACCTGGGAGGCGGAGCTTGCAGTGAGCCGAGATTGTGCCACTGCACTCCGGCCTGGGCGACAGAGTGAGACTCCATCTCAAAAAATAATAACAATAATAAATAAAAAATAAAAATAAAATATTGAATCAAGCTGGTATACAGTCGGCCCTCTGCAGCCACAGATTCAGCCAACCACAGACAGAAAATACTGGGGAAGAAAACAGAAAATAACGAGACAACAATAACAAAGAACACAAAGAGCAACACCGCACCGTGTAGCAACTGTTCATACAGCATCTATGTCATACAGATGCCTGTGGTAAGGAATCTAGAGATGAATTAAAGTGCATGGTGTCGGGGGCCGGCCTCAGTGGCTCAGGCCTGTTATCCCAATACTTTGGGAGGTCAAGGCAGGCGGATTCCTTGAGGTCAGGAGCTTGAAACCAGCCTAGCCAACATGGCAAAACCCCATCTCTACTAAAAATACAAAAATTAGCCAGGTGTGGTGGCAGGCGCCTATAGTCCCAGCTGCTCGGGAGGCTGAGGCAGGGGACTCGCTTGAACCCAGGAGGCGGAGGTTGCAGGGAGCCGAGATCACGCCATTGCACTCCAGCCTGGGCAAAAGAGAGAGAATCCGTCTCAAAAAATAAAAAAAATAAAAAATTAAGTGTACAGGCGGATGCTGTGGGTTATGTACCAATGCCACGCCGTTTCATATCTGGGACTGGGCATCCTTGGATTTTGGCGTCCTCCGCGGTCCTGGAACCGACCCCCTGTGGGCAACAAGGGACCACTGTGTGTTTCAGTGTGAGTATGAGATGGGTGTGAGTGGGACTTGCGTATGTTGGGGTGTGTGTGAGTGGGGTGAGTGGGGAGTGTGTGTTGGGGGTGTGTGTGAGTGGTGTGAGTTGGCTGTGTGTGTTGGCAGTGTGTGAGTGGTGTGAGTGGGGCGTTTGTCTTGGGGGGTGTGTGAGTGGTATGAGTGGGGCATGTGTGTGTTGGGGTGTGTGTGTGAGTGGGGTGTATGTATGTTGGGGGGTGTGTGAGTGTTGTGAGTGGGGTGTATGTTGCAGGGTGTGTGAGTGGTGTGAATGGGGTGTTTGTCTTGGGGGTGTGTAAGTGGTGTGAGTGGGGTGTGTGTGTGTGTTGAGGTGTGTGTGAGTGGGGTGTGTGTGTGGGGGCGTGTGTGAGTGGTGTGAGTGGGGTATGTGTGTGTGGAGGGTATGTGTGTGGGGGGGAGTGTGAGTGGTGTGAGTGGGGTATGTGTGTTGAGGTGTGTGTGAGTGGGGTGTGTGTGGGGGTGTGTGTGAGTGGTGTGAGTGGGGTATGTGTGTGTGGAGGGTATGTGTGGGGGTGTGTGTGAGTGGTGTGAGTGGGGTGTGGGGGTGTGTGTGAGTGGTGTGAGTGGGGTATGTGTGAGTGGGGTATGTGTGGCGGGGGGTGTGTGTGACTGGGGTGAGTGGAGTGTGTGTGTTTTACCCAAATGCTGAGCCCATGGTCTAGACACCCCACTTTCCACACCCGTGTATACACCCTGACCAACACGCTCCGGTCCGCATATGCAGTGCCCTAACTCCAGCTCACATCTCATGCTCCGTGCGCATCCCCAGGTCGCGCCTCTGTTACTCCGTGGGAATGTTTCCACCCGTGTACGTTGACAGCTTTACTATAAATCTCCCATCCATTTCTCCTCCTCACATCTGTTAAGTATCCTCACCAATTTATAGTTTAAAATCTGTCAACTTCCAAAAATACAAAACGAGGCTAGGGTGGTGGTTTATGCCTGTAATCCCTGCACTTTGGGAGGCTGGGGCGGGAGAATTGCTTGAGCCCAGGAGTTTGAGACCAGCGTGGGTAACACAGCAAGACCCCATCTCTACCAAAAATTTTAAAAATTAATTGGGTGTGGTGGTGCACGCCTGTAGTCCCAGCTACTCGGGAGGCTGAGGCACGAGGATTGCTTGAGCCCAGGAAGTCAAGGCTGCAGTGAGCTATGATTTTGCCACTGCGCTCCAGCCTGGGACCCAGGGCGAGACCCTGCCTCAAAACAAACAAAAACAAAACCCACCAAACCCATTCAGAGCTATACTACTGTTATACATTAATTAGTTGGTTAAGTTCCCGTGTCATTCTGGGTGACAGCAGACATCTCTGCAGTGCTAAACCTTCCATGTTCTCTCTGGGGAAGGGCCCACCTCTCCACGGACTTCACTGTCTGCTGAGCCCGAGCCTTCTTCTCCTCGCATGGCCTATGAATCCATCCTTTATTTTACAAGTTCCTTCTCACATTTTTGTTGCTATTGTGAATGAGCTCTCCACCCACACTGTGCCTTAGGTCTGGCTAAGTCCAGCCCCGTGTGGACGCTGCCTGCATTTCCCAGGAGCTGCAGGAGTGGGCTCACGGCCAAGCCCCAGCCCACAGAGGAAAGAGCATGCCTGCCTTGAAGGCTTCTGCCTACACTTAAGACCTAGGCGTGGTGGATGCTCGGTAAGTCTCCGTTCAATGAACACATGACCATCTCGATGGGCAGGGGCTGGGGGGAGCGCGGTGCGGGGAAGGCAGGGAGGCCGTCGCCCTCTGCAAAAAAGTAATAAACTTCACAAGCATCACTCTTCAAGGTATGAAGCTCCCTTGCTTTTCCCCAAAAGCAAAAGTCCTTTCATTACATGTGTTACCTAATTTCATTTTTGATATTATTAGTGAGTCCTGTAATACTCCTAAATGCTATAGAAAAAGTCAGGATTTGGGGCAGGCACAGTGGCTCACGTCTGTAATCCCAGCATTTTGGAAGGCCAAGATGGGTGGATCATTTGAGGCCAGGAGTTCGAGACCAGCCTGGCCAACATGGTGAAACCCCGTCTCTACTAAAAATACACAAAAAAAGTAGCCGGGCGTGGTGGCAGGTGCCTGTAATCCCAGCTACTCAGGAGGGTGAGGCAGGAGAATCGCTTGAACCCTGCACGCGGAGGTTGCAGTGAACTGAGATCGTGCCACTGCACTCCAGCTTGGGCGACAGAGCGAGACTCTGTCTCAAAAAAAAAAGAAAGAAAGAAAGAAAAGAAAAAGAGAAAAAGTCAGGATTTCAACTTCCAAAAACCAGAGACTAAACTGAGCAGGGCTTCCACTACACCCCCACGTGGCGAGCGCCATCCAAGACCTTGTGTTCAGGCAGAGGCTGGGTCGGGCCCCCACCTGCCTGGGCCTGGCCCTCTAAGCCCCCTTGGGCTCCCCTGCTGCTCTCTGTGGTGAAGCCTGTGTTGCTGGTGGAGCTTTAGCCAGGTGAGTGCAGCCAGGTTAAGTTTCTCCAGGTGTCCAAGGGGACAGCTGCACGGAGTAAAAAGGCAAGTGGAAGGATGTGGGCCAGAAGGGCAAGCACAATAAAGCTGAAATTCACCACTAGCAAAACATCCTCAGAGTCACAAGAGCCAAGCCTGAATCAGCGTTGCTCTTTCACAGCCCAAGGGTGACCCGAAAACGCCCATCCTGGGCAGCCTTCCTCGACTGGCAGGGACTCAAGGGCCGGAAGTGCGAGGTGGCCGTGCCAGGCTGTGCCAGCATGCACCAGGGCAGGGAGCATTCTGCCCAAACTATTGACTCGGACTACCTGCTCACAGTCTGCAGAAGGCACGCTGGCGGCCTCAAGCGGGGCTGCATCCTGCTTCCTTCTCTTGCTGGGTATGGCATTAGCAGCTTCCCATTCATCGGATATGAGGTCTACAGCAGCATCTACCAAAACCTCTGATGTAGCTCCCTGTTGAAACACGACCCCCTTCAGACAGGGCAGGGCTGTGCACCCCACGCACAGCTCCAGTAGACTCGCAAAGACCCCACCTCAGGGGCCACCTCCTCTTGGGAAGGCCCAGGCAGGGACACCCACATGTGGGCACTGACCAGCTTCCCAGCACCGTCTGCCTCCAGGGCCCATGGGCAGGAGGGTGTGGGAAGACGAAGAAGCAGCTCCTGCAGACGTGCAGGACAAGTCCACGTAAGAGGAGAACTGCCCACACCAGAGGCGGCACCCTGCCAGGCTCACGGCACCCTGCCAAGCTCCCAGCACCCTACCAGGCTCCCGGCGCCCCGGGCCTCCACACGAATGCCTTGGCTTGTGCTCAGAGCACAGATGCACTGCAGAGACCGACCCAGAAGGTATAGGCAGGCCCGGGCACCCCAGGGCCAGCCAGGCCAGGCCTCCCAAGCCCCTAGAGGCGGAGGCGGGCAGTCTGGCCCTGTAGCGGGCATGCTCATCCGACACCTCCCTTCCACACCACACCGGGCATCGCCGGGAGACCTCACAGCAAGACGCCCAGCAGGAAGCTGAGGAAAGGAAGCTCCACCAGCAGCCTCCTGGCCTGCCGATGCCTCCAACCCAAATGACCCCTGGCTCCGGCAGTCTCCTCTTCCCTCACCACAGGAAGTACAACCCAGCAGCCAAGCCCAGTAGCCTCTCCAGAGGAAGAATGCACAAAGGACACCCTGTTAGTCAGCAACCAGCGGCCACCAAAGGAGAGGCCAAGTGGAGGATGGCTGTGCCAAGGGACAGGCGCGGGCCCCTCTCTGTGCGCCCTTTCCCTCTCCACCCACCCCATGACTGCAGGTGAGGACTGACCACCTGACTCTGCTGCAGGGTGAGGCTGGCCACGCAGCTCGCTGTCTCAGCTTCTGGGGCCGCCTCCCTTGGCTCCTAGCACCCTCCTCACCATGGTTAGAATGCGGCGTCTGCGCTTAGAGCACCGTTCACGCATACACTGCTCTCAGCTTCAGAATTCAATAGGCTCCCTGTGGGATTGGGAAAATGCGCAAAAGCCCCTGTAAACTCATCACCAGAGACAACCCATCGGCATTCACCTGTGTATTCACTCTGAACTTCTCTCATGTGTGGATATGTGGATATTTAGGCTTTTTTTTTTTTTTTTTTTTTTGAGACAGAGTCTCACTGTCGCCCAGGCTGGAGTGCGGTGTCTCAATCTCGGCTCACTGCAACCTCTGCCTCCTAGGTTCAAGCAATTCTCCTGCCTCAACCTCCTGAGTAGCTGGGATTACAGGCAAGCACCACCACACCCGGCTACTTTTTGTATTTTTAGTAGAGACGGGGTTTCCCCATGTTGGTCAGGTTGGTCTTGAACTCCTGACCTCAAGTGATCCACCCGCCTCAGCCTCCCAATGTGCTGGGATTACAGGTGAGAAGCCACCGGGCCTGGCCCTAGTTCCCATTTTCTTCATCCCAGAAAGAAATCCCACAGCAATGACTCCCTCCTCCCCACTCCTCCCAGCCAACCACTAATCTGTGTTCTGTCTCCATGGGTGAGTCTATCGTGGATATTTCATATCAAAGGAATCATACATGGCCTCTTGTATCTGGCTTCTTTCATTTAGCATGTTTTTGGGGTCCATCCAGGCTACAGCACAGATCCATATCGTATTCTTTTTTTGTTTTTTTTTTGGTTTGTTTGCTTTGTTTTGAGAGTGAGTCTCGCTCTGTTGCCAGGCTGGAGTGCAGTGGTGCGATCTCGGCTCACTGAAACCTCCCCCTCCCGGGTTCAAGTGATTCTCCTGCCTCAGCCGCCCAAGTAGCTGGGATTACAGGCATACGCCACCACGCCCAGCTAATTTTTTTTTTTGTATTTTTAGTAGAGACGGGGTTTCACCATGTTGGCCAGGATGTTCACAATCTCCTGACCTCGTGATCCACCCACCTCAGCCTCCCAAAGTGCTGGGATGACAGGTGTGAGCCACCGCGCCCGGCCTAGGATAATTTTATGCGTAACTTTTGGATCAACTGCCTTGCTGCTTCCTTAACGGCTGCAGCGTTTAACATTTCCACCAACACTGTACAACACTTCCAATTTCTCCACATCCTCATCAACATTTCCTATTGTCTTTCCTTCCTTCCTTCTCTCTCTCTCTCTTTGAGGAAGGATCTCACAGTCACCCAGTGAGCCACCGCGCCTGGCCTCTTTTATTGTTCTCTTGTTCATGTCGGTTTTCTCTTGTTCAAGATTCCCTAGAAAATGTCTTCATTCTTTTCACATCTTCTGTGTCAACTCTACATTTTACAAATTCAAGCAGATTTCCACTAGTAAAAAAATTTAAAACATTAAAAAATAAATAAAAAATAGGGCAGGCGTGGTGGCTCACGCCCGTAATCCCAGCACTTTGGGAGGCTGAGGTGGGCAGAGCACCTGAAGTCAGGAGTTCAAGACCAGCCTGACCAACATGGAGAAACCCCGTCTCTACTAAAAATACAAAATTAGCCAGACATGGTGGTGCATGCCTGTAATCCCAGCTAGCTGGGAGGCTGAGGCAGGAGAATCGCTTGAACCCGGGAGGTGGAGGTTGCTGTGAGCCAAGGTCACGCCATTGCACCCTAGCTTGGCAACAGGAGCGAAACTCCATCTCAAAAATAAATAAATAAATAAATAAAACAAAAAATAAATAAATAAATAAATAAATAAAGTCTATGTTCCTTTGGCTTGTTGCCAATTAGTAGTTTGATAGAGATTTCCTTAAACACCTACAGCCAAAACATGGAAAAGAAAAAAGAAAAAAAAAAACTGGCCAGGCATGGTGGCTCACGCCTGTAATCCCAACATTCTGGGAGGCCGAGGCGGGTGGATCACAAGGTCAGGAGATCGAGACCATCCTGGCCAACATGGTGAAACCCCGTCTCTACCAAAAATACAAAAAATTAGCCAGGCGTGGTGGCGGGTGCCTGTAGTCCCAGCTACTCCGGAGGCTGAAGTAGGACAATCACTTGAACCTGGGAGGCAAAGGTTGCAGTTGAGCTGAGATGGCGCCACTGCACTCCAGCCTGGGCAAAGGAGTGAGACTCCATCTCAAAAAAAAATAAAATAAAATAAAGAAAAAATAATACTCTCTCAGTCTCTGTAGACTGGCCCTGAGTTGGGACACTCCTCCCACACTCAGCCTTCCTTCCAGCCTGCACTGAGGTCTTCTCAGGTCTTTTTCGAGTGCGTCCTGCTCGAGCATTTGTGTGGCTTTCTAGATTCCTCATTATTCATGGAAACTTTTCAAAATTTTATTCCCCCAAGTAACTCAATTCTTAGCTTTTCCTCTGTCTTTGGGCGGGTTTATTGTTTGCCCCAGATGGCAAAGGGTTTATTCATTTGCCTTCAATGTTTTCAAGGAACACCATCCGTACTGCCACTTTCCCACTCTGACAGAGTTCCAAATTAGGCATAAAAAGGGAGTTACCCAAACCTTCCGCATCCCATGTGCTCCAGGCTTGGGGGTGGCCTTGGCTGCTCTGGAAGGGATTATTCTCCAAGGGAATGACACAAGCACACACACACCCCACTCCCACACACCCCAACATACACACACATCCCACTCACCCCACACACACTCCCAACACACACACACCACTCACACACACCCAACACGCACACACCCAACACACACACACCCAACACACCCCACTCACACACCCCCAACTCACACACCAACACACACCCCCAACACACACACACCCCACTCACACACCAACTCACATACCCCAACACATACACACACATCCAACACACACACCCCAACACACACACCCCCCACTCACACACCCAACACACACACCCCACTCACACCCCACTCACACACCCCCAACACACACACATCCCATTCACACCACTCACACACCCCCCAACACACACCCCACTCACCCCCCACTCACCCCCCACAGACACCCCCCTCACCCCCCACTCACCCCACTCATCCCCCACAGACACCCCACTCACACCCCACACTCACCCCACTCACCCCCCACAGACACCCCACTCACCCCCCACACTCACCCCACTCACCCCCCCCAGACACCCCACTCACCCCCCACACTCACCCCACTCACCCCACACACTCACCCCACACCCCCCACAGACACCCCACTCACCCCCCACACTCACCCCACTCACCCCCCACAGACCACAGCACTGCGGCTGCATCACTTCCCACCATAGCCCAACCATGGAGTGCCACCTACAAGGAACGACAGACAGAAAGCCAGCCCCAGTGCAGACACAGAAAGACAGCTTCCCCTTCTCCGTGCCCAGCAAGAAACCCGGGAGCTGACACTGCCCTCTGGGTCTTCCCAGGCCGCGCTAGAGCCCAGGAGCCCTTCTCTTCCAACCATTCTCCTTGAACATGTCCAGGACGCTCCCCTCGAAAGCCTCGCCTAGTGCTCCAACTGGGAATCTTAACAAGGACGCATTCTCTTGGTGTCTAACGCCTAAGAGGCTGTTCAAGGCCAGAGGGAGCCAAAAGGTGGCTCAGCCATACCCTTCCAAGAAGGGTAACCTGCCAGCCAGCACATTTCCAGAGCACCCACCCCACACCCAAAGCTTCAAAGCCCCTCTGGGCACGCACCCTCAATGCAGAGGCCTACAGAAGCGCAAGACACGCACCCAGCGGACGCTCAGGTCCCTGCCCCGAAGCAGCAAGGCACCTCTGAGCTTGCACCCTCAATGCAAAGAGACCCACAGAAGCTTGGGACACAGATACACACGGCAGAAGCTCAGGCCCCACCCCAGCCACAGCTTCTGGGAGACACACGAGTATTGGGTCTGGTAGAAAGAAAAGGAAGGTGGAGGCCGGGCGCGGTGGCTCACACCTGTAATCCCAGCACTTTGGGAGGCCGAGGTGGGTGGATCTCCTGAGGTCAGGAGTTTGAGACCAACCTGACCAACATGGTGAAACCCCGTCTCTACTAAATACAAAAAAATTAGCTGGTCGTGGTGGTGCATGCCTGTAGTCCCAGCTACTTGGGAGGCTGAGGCAGGAGAATTGCTTGAAACCAGGAGGTGGAGGCTGCAGCGAGCCGAGATCGCACCACTGCACTCCAGCCTGGGCAACAAGAGCGAAACTCTGTCTCAAAAAAAAAAAAAAAAAAAAAAAGACGGTGGAGGCCCCAGGGGGTCTGGAACCCACAGACTCCAGCCAGAGATGAATCAGGTGCAGAAGGGGCAGCTCTGCTGCTGCCCTGTGGGCAGGTTCAATGGGCTGGGCCATGGTGGCATTTTCGGGGGCTAGCTGGGCAGCTGTGCAGTGAGATTTTCCTGGGCAGAGTGAGCGGGGGCGGAGGGGAGCCGAGGCAGTGCACTCACTTCTTGGACGGTCCAGGAGGCTTTGGAACAGGGCTCCTCGGGGTTTTCTTGCCAACTGTCTGAGCCCGGGAACAAGCACGGGCCCCCTTCCTCCTTCAGCTCCTGCCCACACTCCATTTCACCCTCCGAGGCCGACGCCATTGTGGAGTTATTGTTCTCAGAATCTGTAACGGCAGATGAAGGAAGGGTCAGATCTCAGAGAGAAGCGAGTGTTAGGAAGGAAAAACAGAAATCCTCCCCACGAGTGCATGGAGAGATTCACCCTGTTCTCCCTCCGAGGTCCTGCATTGGGCCTGCTAACATGAGCAGGGTAGGGGTTCTGCTCCAGGTGGGTAGGAGGGAACCAGGGACCCCAGTTTCAGCACAACAAGGGGTGAATCAGACAGAAAGACTGTGCCGTCCTAGCATCCAGCCTCTTCCTCCCAATGTCCACGAGTGGATTCACCTGACTCTGTACTAGGATGTCAGCGCACCTCGGGCACCTCTAAAACAGAGCCTGTTACGCTTTCCTCCCCTACTGTAGACATTCCTCCTGTCTTCCCCAGGGTGGGCATTCTCCCAGTGGCGGCCCAGGGGTCTCAAACTGCTTCCCTTGTCCTGGCACTAAGGCATCTGCCCGCCCAGCTGCTCTGCCTCCAGATTCTCACCCATGCAGAGCTGCCATGCAGACAGCATGGAGCACCCACTCTGCCAGCCCCACACTCACTCTAGCCTTCATTGTGGTGTGGACGCACTTTGTCCATCCCCACCAAAACTCATGTTGATCCCCAGTATGCCAGTGCTGGGAGGCAGGGCTGCGGGGAGGTCTGTGGGTCGTGAGGGCAAATCCCTCACGAATGGCTTGGTGCCGTTTGCGGTCATGGGTTTACTCTTGAGAGGCTTGTTTACTCCCCTCGGGAATGGATTAGCACCCGCCAGGTGGGTTGTTATGAAGTCAAGATGTCCCATCAGGCTTAGTCTTTCACAGCTGTCAGCATCCCCGTCGGCCTACTCTGCCATGTGGCACAAAAGCCCTCACCAGACATCAGGGCCAGGCCCTGAACTTCTCAGTCTGCAGAACTGTGAGCTAAATAAACCTCTTTTTTCTTTTTCTTTTTTTATTTTATTTTATTATTTTTTTTGAGACAGAGTCTTGCTCTGTCGCCCAGGCTGGAGTGCAGAGGCACAATCTTGGCTCACTGCAACCTCTGCCTCCCAGGTTCAAGCAATTCTCCTGCCTCGGCCTCCCAAGTAGCTGGGATTACAGGTGCATGCCACCACACCCGGCTAATTTTTGTGTTTTTAGTAGAGACAGGGGTTTCAGCATCTTGGCCAGGATGGTCTTGAACTCCTGACCTCATGATCCACCCGTCTTGCCCTCTCAAAGTGCTGGGATTACAGGTGTGAGCCACCCCACCCGGCCTCTTTTCTTTTTTCTTCTTTTTTGAGACGGAGTCTCGCTCTGTCACCCAGGCTGGAGTGCAGTGGTGCAATCTCGGCTCACTGCAACCTCCACCTCCTGGGTTCAAGTGATTCTCCTGCCTCAGCCTCTGGAGTAGCTGGGATTACAGGCATGCGCCACCACACCCAGCTAATTTTTTTTGTATTTTTAGTAGAGACGGGGTTTCACCATGTTGGTCAGGCTGGTCTTGAACTCCTGACCTCGTGATCCGCCCACCTCGGCCTCCCAAAGTGCTGGGATTACAGGCTTGAGCCACCACACCCGGCCTTTTCTTTTTCAATTACCCAGGCTCGGGTACTCTTATGGCAACAGAAAATGGACGAAAACACCCTTCAAGGAGTCCCTGTTTTCAATCCTGGGTCTGGACGACCCCACCTCTCCCTGACACACACTCCAGATGGTGCCAGGCCAAGCCTGCTTTTCTGTACAGAACCTTCCCTCTGCCTGATCCCCACAGACCCTTCTCCAAGGCCCCAAGCCAGTCCCAGCTGCGCCCCTGTCTGGACACTTCATCCCCACGCCCGTTTCCAGCACCTGGTTTCGTCACTGCCCTCTCCTCCTCTGAGATCTGGAGGGCAGGGACCACGCAGACCTTTTTCCCTTTGAGTACTCAGTGTTGGCGTAGCCAAGAGCTCAAGAATTCGTGAAGTTCCTTAGCAGGACTCAAAATTGATAACAAATCCTCTAAACGTCTACATACATAAGACACACATGAAACATCACAGCCAGAAAGTAAGAGCTGGAGAAAGATCTGCAACAGGCGACCCAAGGCCCCATCCTTCGAGAGCTGCTGTTTCACCTACAACCAGGGATTCTGAGCCTGCCCCTCCCACCAACCTACCCTCCCACCAACCTACCCTCCCACCAGGGGCGGGCCCTGACTAGCCTAATCCAATCAGGGCCGATATTTACCCTGGCACTAGTGATTGACTAAGGGAAGGGCCAACCAGCAAGAAGTATGGAAGCATCCATACTTCTGGACCCTTACTGGGGTTTCTGCCACTCAGTGCATCCTGGAAAGACCATGAGGTGGTGCTGGGAAACCACTGTCTGTTCTCCTCCACCTGCAGACAAAGCTGGCAGTGGAGAAGGGCAGAGCTGTCAGGATCAGAGAAATGGAGCAAAGCCCTAGTACACTTGAACCCCTCAAGCCTGGACTTGGGCAACGGTGACCCAGCACGTTTCTCTTGCTGAGCAAGCCTAGGAGAGCTGGGTTTCAGGCTGTTCCCAGTATAAACAGTCCCAACAATCATAAGGACCAACCAAAGCAAAACGAGCTTCCCTAAAGACAGACAGGCCGCTCAAGGAAATACACATACATGTGGTCTCTTAACTTCCAAAGAGATGCCTGCCATGCCTACTGATGAAGGAAATCAGAACGGAGGCCCTGCAGTGCCATTTCCACCCAACGACCGGCACAGATTGACAAGATCCATCATTCTGAACGCTGGAGAGAATCTGAATAGAAATCTAGAAGGCAGGGAGCACAGAGACGCGGCCAGTGAGTGGCCAGAGAAGCTTTGTGCAGGGGATTTGAAGAGATTTGCATTGTAAATGTGCCAGCCTGAAGCCAGCAGGCTAGTGGCTGGGAATCTGTCCTCCAGACGGCCAGCCTGGCTCAGAGGGCAAGGTCTCCGTGCAAGCATGCAGCCTAGCAGCCTATGTCACGGCAAAACAGCAGGACAAGGGAAGTGCCCAGGATAGGCCTGTTGCTGAGTCAGGCCCTGCTGGGTGGCAGAGCCAGGGAGGCTGCTGAGGTCCGTCCTCCACTAGAGGCCTCAGCCACTGTACATGAAAGTAGCAAGGCATGCGCAGGGCACGAGCTGCCACTCACATTAACGTGTGTGTGTGTGCGCACACATTCACGCAGAGGAGATGTCTAGAAGAGGACACACCAGTTTACAGTGTTGCTCTGGGGAATGTGACAGTCCTGGCCCAGGGTGAGGAAACTTCGTGCTATTTTATGTCCTCCTGTAACATGTGGGTCATTTGCCAACCAGCATTTACATTTTTATTGTCATAAAAGTAAGTAGCTGGATTCAGAAATAAGAGACATACTTAACTAGCACTTCCTAAACAATGTACATGTTAACTCATTAAATACTCACAGTATAGAACAGGGTTATCCAGAGAGCAGAACTATAGAATATGTAGGTAGGTAGGTAGACAGGTAGATAGGTAGATACATGGATGGATGGACGGATGGATAGATAAGATGGGATGGATAGATAAGATGGGATAGATGAATGGATAGATACATAAGATAGATACATAGATAGAACAGATGAATGGATGGATGGATAGATTGATGGATGAATAGATAGATAAGCTAGATGAATGGATAGACAGATGATAGATAAACAGATAGGATGGACGGATAGATAGTATAGATGGATGGACAGATAGAATAGATGGATAGATGAATGGATGAATAGAAAGAGGATGGATGGATAGATAGAATAGATGAATGGATGGATGGATAGATAGAATAGATGAATGGATGGATGAATAGATGGATGGATAGATAGAATAGATGAATGGATGGATGGATGGATAGATGATAGGACAGATGGATAGGTGGATAGATAGATAGGGTAGGTGGACAGATAGGGTAGAGGGATGGATAGACGGTGTGATGGTTAATATCAGGTGTCAATTTGATTGGGTTGAAGGATGCCTAGGTAGTTGGTAAAGTATTGTTCTGGTTGTGTCTGTGAGGGTGTTGTCAGAGGAGACTGACATTTGAGTCAATGGCCTGGGAGAGGAAGACCCACCCTCTATGTGGGTGGGCAGCATCCAGTCAGCTGCCAGCGTGGCTAGAACAAAGCAGGCAGAAGGTGGGGTAAGCTGGCTCGCTGAGTCTTCTGGCTTTCATCTTCCTCCTATGCTGGATGCTTCCTCACGTTCCTCTTGCCCTTGGACATCACACTTCAGGTTCTTTGGCCTTTGGAAACTTGGACTTACGCCAGTGGTTTGCCAGGGGGATCTCGGGTCTTCAGCCACAGACTGAAGGCTACACTGTCGGCTTCCCTGCTTTTGAGGCTTTTGGACTCAGACTGAGCAACTACTGGCTTCTTTCTTTCCCAGCTTGCAGACGGCCTACCATGGGACTTCACCTTGTGATTGTGTGAGCCAATTCTCCATAATACACTCCCTTTCTTACAGACATAGATCCTATTAGTTCTGTCCCTTTAGAGAACCCTAATACAGACTTATAGATAGATGGATAGATAGGATAGATAGATAAGATGGATGGATAGGTACATGGATGAATGGATGGATGGATAATTGATAGAAGACAGATGACAGATAGATAGACAGATAAACGGATGGATGGATGGATGGATGGATGGACAAACAGATGGATGAGAGAGGATGTATTAGGAGAATTGGCTCACACGACTATGGAGGCTGAGAAATCACCATTTGATTAAGCTTACGATCATTCATTTTCATTCCCAAGATCCACCCGTCTTCCACAAAGGCCAAATAGGGGAGGTGAATGGGAATCCCCACCCCTGCATCTTTGGAGTGCTTGGTGGTGGCACTAATCCCTGCAGTCCCTCCGGGGATGCAGTACTGCCTTTTTTTTTTTTTTTTTTTTTTTTTCTGAGACAGGGTCTCACTGTCGACCCAGGCTGGAGTGCAGTGGTATGATCACGGCTCACTGCAGCGTTGACCTCCTGGGCTCCAGCAATCCTGCCATGCACACCCATGCTCACTGTAGCACGATTCACAATAGCCAAGATATGGAATCCACCAACTATCCAACAATGGACGTTGAAGAAAATGTGGTACATATACATAATGGAACACTACTCGGCCTTAAAAAAGAATAAAATTGGCCAGGTGCAATGGTTCATGCCTATAGCCCCGGTACTTTGGGAGGCAGAGGCAGGGGGATCACTTGAGGTCAAGGAGTTGGAGACCAGCAATGCTAATATGGAGAAACCCTATCTCTAATAAAAAATACAATATTAGCCGGAAGTGGTGGCACACACCTGTAATCCCAGCTACTTGGGAGGCTGAGGCAGGAGAATTGCTTGAACCTGGGAGGCGGAGGTTGCAGTGAGCTGAGGACCAGCCACTGCACTCCAGCCTGGGAGACAGACCAAGACCCTGTCTCAAAAAAAAAAAAAGAAAAGAAAATCTGCTGTTGAGTAGAGCCACCTCCATCAATAACCTTAGCCAGATCTGGAGAACTTACTGCAGCTTCTCCAGCAGCACTCGCTGCTTCACCTTGCACTTTTATGTTATGGAGATGACTGCTTTCCTAAAACCTCATAAACCAGTCTCTGCTAGCTTCAAGATCTTCTCTGCAGCCTCCTCAACTCTGTCAGCCTGTGTGGAATTGTGGCTACAGGAGAGTTAGGGCTTTACTGTGGATTCGGCTGTGGTTTAAGGGAATGTTGTGACTGGTTTGACCTCTCCAGACATTGCAAACTCTCTCCATATCACAATAAGGCTGTTTCACTCTCTAATCATTTGTGTGTTCATTGGAGTAGCACTTTTTTTCTTTTTTGGGATGGAGTCTCGCTCTGTCGCCAGGCTGGAGTGCAGTGGCGTGATCTCGGCTCACTGCAACCTCCACCTCCTGGGTTCAAGTGATTCTCTCCTGCCTCAGCCTCCCGAGTAGCTGGGACTACAGGTACACGCCACCATGCCTAGCTAATTTTTGTATTTTTAGTAGACATGGGTTTTCACCATATTGGCCAGGATGGTCTCTTTTTTTTCTTTTTTTTTTTTGAGACAGAGTCTCGCTGTTGTCACCCAGGCTGGAGTGCAGTGGCACAATCTCAGCTCACTGCAACCTCCGTCTCCTGGGTTCAAGCAATTCTTGTGCCTCAGCCTCCCAAGAAGCTGGGATTACAGGCATGAGCCACCACACCCAGCTAATTTTTGCATTTTTAGTAGAGACGGGGTTTCACCACGTTGGCCAGGCTGGTCTCAAACTCCTGACCTCAGGTGATCCACCTACCTCAGCCTCCCAAAGTGCTGGGGGCACTTTTAATTTCTTTCAAAAACTTTTCCTTTGCATTTACAACTTGGCTAACCATTTGGTGCAAGAGGCCTAGCTATCAGCCTATCTCAGCTTTCAACATGCCTTCCTCAAGAAGCTTAATCATGTCTAACTCTTGATTTAAAGTGAGAGACATGAGGCCAGGTGCGGTGGGTGGCTCACACCTGTAATCCCAGCACTTTGAGAGGCCAAGGTGGGCGCATCACTTGAGGTCAGGAGTTTGATACCAACCTGGCCAACATGGTGAAACGCCGTCTCTACTAAAAATATAAAAAATAGCTGAGGGTGGTGCCTCACGCCTGTAATCCCCGCTACTTGGGAGGCTGAGGCAGGAACATCACTTGAACCTGGGAGGTAAAGGTTGCAGTGAGCTGAAATGGCACCACTGCACTCCAGCCTGGGTGACAGAGCAAGACTCTGTCTCAAAACAATGAAATAAAATTTTAAAAAATAAAGTGAGAGGCAAGAGACTTTTCATTTGAGCACTGAGAGACCACTGTAAGGCTTTTTTTTTCCTTTTCTTTTCTTCTAAGACAGGGTCTCACTCTGTCACCCAGGCTGGAGTGCAGTGGGACAATCATGGCTTACTGCAGCCTCGACTTCCCAGGCTCAAGTGATCCTCCTGCTCCAGCTAATTCTTGTATTTTTTTTTCTTTTTTTTTTTTGTAGAGATGGGGCTCCACCATGTTGCTTAGGCTGCTCTCGAACTCCTGGGCTCAAGCGATCTACTCACCTCGGCCTCCCAAAGTGCTGGGATTACAGGCGTGAACCACCACGCCTAGTAAGGTGGGCCACCTTTTGATCCATGTTTCAGCCAACCAAACAAAGACTCAGAGGCCTTCCTAACTCTACCAGCTGCAACATGAAATGCATAATCTCTGCTAGTGGGCCCACACTACTAAACTCAACCTGACTCAACTTTATATCATTTGGAACTCAATGTCTCCAGCCTGGCCATGGGCTTCCCATGTCCCCATCCCAACTTGAAGGATCCCTTCCTTTGCCACCCAATGTCCTCACTTTTTTTTTCTTGTAATACAGAGATGGAGTCTTTCTACATTGCCCAGGCTGGTCTCAAACTCCTAGGCTCAAGTGATCCTCCCACCTTGGCCTGCAAACATGCTGGGGTTGTAGGTGTGAACCACGGCATCCGGCTTAAGTGCCCCCACTTTAACAGCAGACGCCCTGCATGCCTGGAAGCTCAGCTTTCATTTTAACTCAGCTAATCGCGTGAGAGCTGGTGCTCGATTTTCTACAATTTCAACCCTGTGGCTACAGGAGAGAAGATTCTGATCCAGGGCACACTAAGAAACTCTCAGATCATTTATGCAGAGCTGCAGCCCAGACATCGAATCCCTGAGTTCATCCTTTTCACCACTTTCTCAGTGACGCTGGGGGCAACCAGCCAGCATCACTGTATTTCTTGGTTTTCGATAAATGTTCAAAAGCATCATGTACAGAGTCACCAAATTCCTGGCCTCTTACAAGTGGTGAATTAGGAGTCTCAAGTGCATTTGCTTTGCATGCCTCTAGAAACAGTTCATGCTGCGCACTACCAGTGCTCTCCGCACTATTATTAATAGAAGTGGAGCCCTTAGGCTGGGCGCGGTGGCTCACGCCTATAATCCCAGCACTTTGTGAGGCCGAGGCGGGTGGATCACCTGAGGTCAGGAGTTCAAAACCAGCCTGGCCAACATGGTGAAACCCCATCTCTACTAAAAATACAGAAATTAGCCGGGAGTGGTGGTGGGTACCAGTAGTCCCAGCTACTTGGGAGGCTGAGGCAGAAGAATCACTTGAACCCGGGAGGCAGAGGTTGCAGTGAGCTGAGATTTCGCCACTGCTCTCTAGCCAGAGCAACAAGAACAAAAAAACTCCCTCTAAAAAAAAAAAAAAAAACAAACAAACATGGAAGGACTGGGGCTCACACCCTTGAAGGACAACATCGGAGAGACCCCATGGCGAGCAGCTGGGCAAAGACTGAAAGAGGGGAAGGAGGGAGCCAGGCCGCCCTCTGGGGAAGGGTGGTGCAAAGGCCCTGCGGTGGAAGCACACCTGGTGTATCCAGGAAGGGCCAGAAGGTGGTGGGCTCTGGGGACAGGAGAGGGAGCCAAGAGGAATGGGGTGGGCAGCCGTCTATGTAGGACCTCGTGGCCACCGTAAGGGCTCCTGCTTGTCCTGAGTTACAGCGGGGGCAGGGGCGGATCTTGTAAGGGGGTCTGTGGTTTGACTGTCTGCTGTGCTGAGCAGGAAGCAGGAAGGCAGCATGCAGCGTGGAGGCGGGGAGACCAGCAGGGCCCTCTGCATGTGGGTCATGGAGGAAGGAGAGGGCCCCGGGGTGATGGGTCCGATAGAAGCAGCTGGAAGAATGAGGTGCCCTCACCAGTGGAGGTGGGGCTGGGCTTTGGACACAGAAAGGCTGAAGGTCTGGGGGCTGCTAGTTTTAGGGTTGGTGTTTAAAACCCGGGAGGAGGGGAACCAGTCTGAGGCCCCAGAAGCCAACAAAATTGAGAATGGACTCAAGATGCTCAGCAGGCAAGGCCCGCCTGACACTGCCCCGCTCCTGTCTCTCCACTGGCCTCCCGAGCCAGGGAGGTGCCTGGACAGGTCCTGGGGCCCCCTCACGGCCCCTCAAAAACTAACCCAGGCAGAGCTCTCAACCCCTGCAGAGCCTCAAACTCTGCTTCCCTGCAGCATTCTCTGAAACTCTCTATGAAGCCCTCAGCTCAGCCCGACACTTCTCATTCCCAAGGGGAAGAAAAACCGTGAGCTCTCTCTAGGAAATGAAACTGAAAATTTTCAAAAGCAGGAACCTCCAGCAAAGACCCCGACAAAACTTCTTGTTTTGTCCTCTCCCTGCCCTGGCCCTGCCCTCTCCTCCCACTCGGGTGGGCTCACTCAGGCCGGGCCTGAACGAGGGACGGAAGCACTGGGTGGTGGTCCCCTGGCTTGACCTGTGTGGGAGACTAATCTATGCCACCCCAAAACAGACTCTGTGGTCACTTTTGAGATGGCTATTCAGAGCCACAGAGCCTCAGTAGCCACAGAGGACCTCGGCCCCACCTGAGCTGCCTGCTGCCCAGGGTTTCCATTTCCTGGAAGGGAGGTGAGACATCTCCAGGGGTCCCCACTGCCCCAGCCTCCACCAGCACCCCTGGGCCTCACCTGCTATGGGGGCTGCAGGAGGCAGCCTCTCTCCGCACTGGCTGCAGAACTTGGGGGTTTCCTCCTTGGAGACATGCTGGCACGAAGGACACTCCATGGGTCCTGCTGGGACTGCCCTGCAGATCCAGAAGCAAGAGCAGGAGTCGCTGGCAGCCTGCTATATACTACATGTCCTGTCACGTGACCACGGCTTCAGTTTCATTTTCTGCGAAAGTGAAATCACAGCAGCCCAGCTGGTCCCCTGGTTAATGGAAACCCAACAGGAGCACAGCCCAAGCCCAGCCCCTCCCCGCTCTGTGCTGCCCCCTTGGCTCTCAAGCTTTTGCAGTCTCTGCCCTGGTCCCTCATTCAGCCAGCCTAGAACCATCCCTGCTGCTGAGAACATGGGTTGGGCTGGGTGGGGATAGGGGATGCTCCAGGCAGGCGTGGGGCAGCCACGTGCTGTTCGGCAGGGTCCCACGGCCTGCCCTGAGCAAGGCGCTCAGCCTGCTGATGCCTCACCCTCCTCATCCTCTTAAGGGGACTAAAGCACCTGCCCCACAGGTGATGGGGCCTGAGCAGGCAGCCCAGGGCTACTGGGCTGGCAGTCAGATTCCTAGTAATGGGGGGAGGCTGCCATCCACAAAGCGCGCCACTCTGCACTGACCACCTGCCCTCAGAACAGCCTCTGCGGTGGATGGCATCAAACCAGACCAAGGCCAGGACTCAGGCCTCCGGGGTCACTTCTTGCATCCAGGGTGAGAGTGGAGATGGCGTTTGGGCGCTTGGCCACCTAACAGTGGAGGACCTGACTCTCTCCCTCCCCAGTAAGAAGCCTCAGGGCACACTGGCCCACCCACCACCTTCTTCTGCTGGCTTGGAACCAAAGAACTCCACTGGGGCAGTGGCTGGAGCGGCAGCTGACTGGTGCCTTCAGCAGCCAGGAGGACACTCAGGCCCCCTCCCTGCCCTGGCCCTGCCCTCTCCTCCCACTGGGGTGGGCTCACTCAGGCTGGGCCTGAACGAGGGACGGAGGCACTGGGTGGGGTTCCCTGGCTTGACCTGTGTGGGAGACTAATCTATGCCACCCCAAAACAGATTCTGTGGTCAATTTTGAGATGGCTATTCAGAGCAACCACATACTCAGGAGTTCTGGGAAGCTATCCTTTTGTAAAAGGCTATAAAGGAAATCCACACCATGAAACAGCAGAATGGAGCAGAAGCTCTCTCTGAGGCCCCATTATCTGCCTAGAGGGATCTAGGAACGGTCCCAGGGACACACAAGAGGAGTGCCTGCGGCCTCGCCAGTTCCTCTGAGAGCAGCTCTGAGATCACCTGAGTGATTATCTGCACAACAAGACAACCCTGCACACCTCCCCTCTCCAGCCCCAAGCCCCTGTCCCAATGCCATAAAAACATCAATCATCTGTCTTCTGCAGTCTTCTCTTTGATGAGGTTCCCAATAGGTGTATGGGACAATTTGCATCCCTTTTCTCCAGGTCTGCTGCCCTTTTATTCCAGAGACTAAAATTATCTCTCCTTCAGAGTAGAAGGAGAGTTTAAAACTCCCCTACCCCTGCCACAGCCAAGCCCTGGCTCCCACCGTACCTCCTCCCCTCCACACTCTACCTGAAACAACCACCAGTGGACACTCCCTCCCTCAAACACCTTCAATGACTCCCCACCGCCCAGGCCTCTTTCTTTCCACCCGAAGTGTTTCCTTCTCCAATGCTACACTGGGGAACCACAGACCAGAAAACTCGAAAAATCCTCCAAAAAGCATTTTTTGTTTGTTTGACAGTTTCACCCAGGCTGGAGTACAGTGGGCAATCTCAGCTCACTGCAACCTCCGCCTCCCGGGCTCTAGCGATTCTCCCGCCTCAGTCTCCCAAGTAGGTGGAGTTACAGGCATGCGCCACCACACCCGGCTAATTTTTTGTGTTTTTAGTAGAAACGGGGTTTCATGTTGGCCAGGCTGGTCTCGAACTCCCGACCTCAGGTGACCCACCCGCCTTGGCCTCCCAAAGTTTTGGGATTACAGGCATTAGCCACTGCGCCCGGCCCCCTAAAGCATCTTATTGTTCCATCTGCTCTAGGGGCCGGAAGACACAAGAGAGAGCCCCAGGCACCCAACACTGTTGCATTCAATCCGCTTCCTGTCTTTTCTCTGACATTTTTTCCCAAGCACAGACACTGCCACCCAAATCAAAGCCCATCCCCCAACCACAACCAAAGTCAACAAGGTGGGGGCAGGGAAGGGCCACCACCATGTTTGCACAGCTCCTTCCCCTCCCGCCCTGGACTCCCCCAGGGCCCGGCCCGCCGGCTTGCAGGCAGCCATCCGGGAGGGGTGCCCACCCTGGCCTTGAGCCCCGCGCTCGGGCGACTTCGCCAAGTCGGAAGGACGCTGCGCGGTGCGGTTCAGACGGGGCGATGCCTCCCTCGTAAAAGTTAGGAGTCTGTTTTTGCAACTTCACTTTTCCGTTGTTGCCATTCGTACAGGCGCAGGATTCCCGGGCGGACCTGCAGGCCCGGGTCCGGCTGTCCCCTTCCACTACACCCCCCGTGCCCCGGCCACTTCCCGGGGGCAGCACTGCCGGGGCGCAAAGCCTCCTCCGCGCTCTGCGCTCCGGGGATGTCGCCGGGGTCCCAGGCGTGCCCGCTGCCCCCACCCCGACCCCTCCCGCAGCCGGGGAACAGGGTCAGTGGGCGCCGCGGGCGGGGCTGGACCGGGCACCCCGGCGGCGAAACCGAAACTTGGAGCCGGCAGGAAGAGGCGGCCGGGAGGGGCATCCGGACGCAGGCGCCGCTCCCCGGGACCCGGCCCGCCGGCCCGCGGGGCCCACTGTATCCTAGCCCGCTCCCCGCCCCGGGAGACTCTCCAGGCCCGCTCGCACCTGCGGCCCCCGAGCTCGCCGCCTGCCGCGCGCTGTCGCCCCTCGGGTCACGGGGCCCTGGGCCCCGCCCTGCCCGCCGCCGCCGCCGCCGGCCCCGCCCTGCCCGCCGCCGCCGCCGCCGGCCCCGCCCTGCCCGCCGCCGCCGCCGCCGGCCCCGCCCTGCCCGCCGCCGCCGCCGCCGGCCCCGCCCTGCCCGCCGCCGCCGCCGCCGGCCCCGCCCTGCCCGCCGCCGCCGCCGCCGGCCCCGCCCTGCCCGCCGCCGCCGCCGCCGGCCCCGCCCTGCCCGCCGCCGCCGCCGCCGGCCCCGCCCTGCCCGCCGCCGCCGCCGCCGGCCCCGCCCTGCCCGCCGCCGCCGCCGCCGGCCCCGCCCTGCCCGCCGCCGCCGCCGGCCCCGCGCAGGCGTGTGCGGAATTCCCCGCCGGTGGCGCCTCCCAGTGACTCCGGGCCCCCAGCCCCCGGGAGGCGCCTCGGGCCGCTGCGCGCCGGGTACAGACGCGGGAGGGGCCTCGGTTCCCGCCAGGCGTGGGGCGCATGCGGGTCTCCCGGAAGCCCAGACCCCGGGCAGGCCCGAGCAGCCGAGTGGGGCGGGACAGGCGCGCCCCCCGCCCCGGCGCCCAGCACCTCGGACAGTGTCTGCGGCCGCGCAGAGCCGGCGGCCAGCCTGGGAGCGGCCCAGAGGGCGCCCGGCGGGTGCAGTGGACGTCGTCAGCGCGCCGCGTGGGGGCCTTTGCAGATTAAGGGACCTCCGCGGCCCCGCGCGGAGCGCTCTGTCACTGATGATGGAGGGGCCACGGCGGTCCGCACCATCCCCCGTGCCTCAGTTTTCCCATCTGTGAGGCTCATGGTGTGACCAGGGACCTCCGTTTTAAAATCACCCACTTTCTTTTTCTTCCTTCTCCTCTCACCCCTTCATCCCGTCCCTCTCTGGACACTGCGCCCCTCTGCGCATTCCAGAGGGGACCCTCATCCTGAAACAATTCCCGGCGCGGAACCCCAGCTGAATGCTCCTGCTTGGGGCGGGGGGTCGCCAACAATTAGTCCAACATCCTCGACAGCCACCCCTCCTAACCGACAACTGCCCACGACAGCCATGGGAACAAGACACAGACCCTGCCCTTACCCCACTCCCCACGGTGCCCACGGCAAGTTTCCCTAGAAGAACTCGATGGCAGCCTGGGCAACATAGAGAGACCCCATCTCTACAAAAAAAATCATTTAAAAAAATTAGCTGGGCGTGGTGGTGCACCTGAAGAGGCTGAGGCAAGAGGATCGTTTGAGCCCAGGGAGCTCCAGGCTGCAGTGAGTCGTGATCATACCACTGCACTCCAGCCTGGATGACAAAGTGAGATCTTGCCTCAAAAACTAACAAACACACAAAACCTGAGGATAAATTTTTAATTTTAGGGTGGCACTTTATTTATTGTTTGTTTGTTTTTTGGAGACAGTCTCACTCTATACCCCAGGCTGGAGTGCAGTGGCGTGATCTTGGCTCACTGCAAACTCCACCTCCCAGTTCAAGTGATTCTCATGCCTCAGCCTCCCGAGTAGCTGGGATTACAAGCGCCCGCCACCAAGCCTGGCTAATTTTTGTATTTTTAGTAGAGACGGGGTTTCTCCATGTTGGCCAGGGTGGTCTCAAACTCCTGACCTCAGGTGATCCACCTGCCTTGGCCTCCCAAAGTGCTGGAATTACAGGCATGAGCCACTGCGCCCAGCCAAGGTGACACTTTAGAACGCTAGTTGGGCATCTTCTCGCTTTGCTGGGTCTCCAATTAAAACCTGCTTTTTCCTCCCACCAATCTTGACTGCACCACTGCACTCCAGCCCTGGCGACAGAGTGAGACTTTGTCTCTAAACAGTTAATTTCAACTGTTTCTTTTGACTTTTTCAGTATGACTAGTCGAAATGTTTAAATGACTTGCATGGCTCACGTTGGTGGCTTGCATGATTTTTCTGCGGGACAGTGCTGTCTCTGTGATCACAGTCTGCCCCTACCAGCTGCTGCAGCAGGTACACTAAGCCCTTGGAGCTTTGCCTCTTGCCCACGTAATAGTGCTGGGCCGGAGTGCTGCTCAGCACGGTGTTCTATCTTAACCTGAACATTTCCTTACTATTAATCCCAGGTCTTTAGATAAACTCAACCAATTGTAAACCAGAAAATGTTTAAATTTACCTACAGCCTGGAAGCCCCCTGCCCCCACCGCTTCAAATTTTCCTGCCTTTCTGGACCAAATCAATGTATTTCTCAAATGCATTTGATTGATGTCTGACGCTTCCTTAAAATGTATAAACCAAGCTGCACCCAACCTCCTTGGCACATGTTCTCAGGGCCTCCTGAGGGCTCTGTCACAGGCCATGTGTCAGGCCTCTGAGCCCAAGCTAAGCCATCATATCCCCTGTGACCTGCACGTATACATCCAGATGGCCTGAAGTAACTGAAGAATCATAAAAGAAGTGAAAATGGCCTGTTTCTGCCTTAACTGATGACATTACCTTGTGAAATTCCTTCTCCTGGCTCATCCTGGCCCACTGAGCACCTTGTATCCCCCACCCCTGCCAGCCAGAGAACAACCCCCTTTGACTGTAATTTTCCACTACCTACCCAAATCCTATAAAATGGCCCCACCCCTATCTCCCTTCACTGACTCTCTTTTCAGACTCAGCCCGCCTGCACCCAGGTGATTAAAAAGCTTTATTGCTCACACAAAGCCTGTTTGGTGGTCTCTTCACACGGACACGCTTGACACTGAGAACGTATGGTTTGTAAAGTATGACTCCCCAGACGCCTTAGGTAGGAATTTGGGCAAGATAAAAAAAATCAGAGTTTAGTCTTCAAACTGCAGAAATGTACCGTCTCACAGCTCTGGAGGCCGGAAGCCCAAGATCAGGGCGTTGGCAGCATTAGATCCTGCCGAGGCTATAAAGAGTATCCGTCCCAGGCCTCGCTCCTGGCTCCTGGTGATCACTGGTGTGGACTGAATTAAAAGTCCTGAAACTCTTTGACAGAGACTAACAGACCCTCTTTTGGCTAAAACACAACAACAACAACAAAATATTCAAGTCCCAGCCACAGCAGGACAGAGGCTGGCCGTGTCCCACCTGCTTCCCCGCCCCAGCCCTCTTACTAATCACCACTCCGTCCTATCAAAGGCTGAGGATGCCTCCACTAACTGTGCCCACCCGGCACCTGGTCTTGTTTCTGTGGTTCTGACGGGCCTTCTGCTGAGGATGCCTCCACTAACTGTGCCCACCCGGCACCTGGTCTTGTTTCTGTGGTTCTGACGGGCCTCCTGGGGATGTGCACTTCGTGGACTTGTACCCTACATGTCACCTTTTCATGTATAGGGCCTGATTATAATGCATTTAACTGTTAAGTTTTCTCCCCAAAGTGAACATGGGTCATATGTTGCTGTATTTTTCATACATGTAAGCCTAATACTCATGCATATGCGATTCCTTCATGAATATTCCTAGCCCCTCCTGTAACCTATTGAGCATGTATACTTGGCCAACCCTTTCAGAGTAAATTCCTGTCTTACTCCTCCCTCCCTCCCTCCCTCCCTCCCTCCCTCCAAGTGCCGGCCATGCTTCCCAGGCTACAAGAAGAGCCTCCGGCCGGGCTCAGTGGCTCACGCCTGTAATCCCAGCACTTTGGGAGGCCAAAGCGGGCGGATCACAAGGTCAGGAGTTCAAGACCAGCCTGGCCAATATGGTGAAATCCCATCTCTACTAAAAACACAAAAAAAATTAGCTGGGCATGGTGGCATGTGCCTGTAATCCCAGCTACTCGAGAGGCTGAGGCAGGAGAACTGCTTGAACCGGGACCCGGGAAGTGGAGCTTGCAGTGAGCCGAGATCATACCACTGCACTCCAGCCTGGGCTACAGGATGAGACTCCGTCTCAAAAACAAAACAAAATTTAAAAAAACCTCCTTGCAGGCTGCAAACCTTTATGAGAAACAAGTTCGCCTTTATTAACGTTTGAACCTCGACGTTCTTCAGCTGACAGTCGCTAGAGTTCCTTGGCTTGTCCCTGCCTTCATGTTCACAGCACATGCTCCATGTGTATCGATGACCAAATTTCCCTTTATAAAAACACCACTTCCAAATTAGCTGGGAGAGGTGGCGGGCGCCTGTAGTCCCAGCTACTCAGGAGGCTGAGGCAGGAGAATGGCCTGAACCCGGGAGGCGGAGCTTGCAGTGAGCCGAGATCACGCCACTGAACTCCAGCCTGGGCGACAGAGCAAGCCTCAGTCTCAAAACAAACAAAACAAAACAAAACAACAACAACAACAACAACAACAACAACAACACACCACTTCCAGCCTGGGCAACATGGCAAAACCCTGTCTCTACACAAAATTTAAAAATGTGGCTGGGCGCAGTGGCTCACCCCTGTAATCTCAACACTTTGGGAGGCCGAGGCGGGCAGATCACTTGCAGTCAGGAGTCTGAGAACAGCCTGGCCAACATGGTGAAACCCCATGTCTACTAAAAATACAAAAATTAGCCGGGCATGATGGTGCATGCCTGCAATCCCAGCTACTCTGGAGGCTGAGGCAGGAGAACTGCTTGAGTCCGGGAGGTGGAGGTTGCAGTGAGCCAAGATCGCACTATTGCACTCCAGCCTGGGCCACAGAGTGAGACTCTATCTCAAAAATAAATAAATAGATGAATAATAAATAATAAAAATTTGCCCTGCATGGTGGCTCATGCCTGTGGTCCCAGCTACTTGGGAGGCTGAGGCAGGAGGATCACTGGAGCCAGAGAGCCGACTGGTCAAGCCACCGCAATCCAGCCTGGGCAAGAGTGAGAGCCTGTCTCAAAACAAAAAACAAGAAGTCACCGCTTATATAGGATTAGGCCCACCCTACTCCAGCATGGCCTCATTTTAACTTGAACTAACTACATTTGCAACAACTCTATTTTCTTTTTTCTCTTTTTTTTTGAGATGGGGTCTCACTCTGTTGCCCAGGCTGGATTTCAGTGACACAATCAGGACTCACTGCAGCCTCGACCCCCCCAGGCTCAAGTGATCCTCTTGCCTCAGCCTCCAGAGTAGCTGGGACTACAGGCCTCCCAAAGTGCAGAAAACTCTTATTTATTTTATTTATTTATTTATTTATTTTTTGAGTCTCGCTCTGTTGCCCAGGCCAGAGTGCAGTGGCATGATCTCAGCTCACTGCAACCTCTGCCTCCCGGGTTCAAGTGATTCTCCTACCTTAGTCTCCTGAGTAGCTGGGACTCCAGACACGCGCCAACACGCCTGGCTAATTTTTGTATTTTTAGTAGAGATGGGGTTTCACCATATTGGCCAGGCTAGTCTAGAAGTCCTGACCTCCTGATCCATCCGACTCACCCTCCCAGAGTGCTGGGATTACAGTTGTGAGCCACCGTGCCCAGCCCAGAACTCTTTCTTAAATTTGTACCCAACATAGAATTGTTTGGTCCGTGTGTTCACTCAAATAGCATCTTAACATGGGTATCATTCTGCAACTTGCTTTATTGCACCCCAAAATCAGTGTTACAACTTAAAGCTTCACCTCATTTCTCTTTTTTTTTTTTTTTTTTTTTTTTGAGGCAGAGTCTCACTCTGTCACAGAGGTCAGCTAATTTTTGTATTTTTAGTAGAGACAGGGTTTCGCCATGTTGGCCAGACTGGTCTCAAACTCCTGACCTTAAGTGATCCACCAGCCTCGGCCTCCCAAAGTGCTGAGATAACAGGCGTGAGCTGCCACACCCGGCCTTCACCTCATTTCTTTTAACTGCTGCACAATATTCCACGGCATTATTCGTGTGTCCTACAGTCAAGATGTTACCGAATTCAGAGAAACTCAGGTTTCTTCCTACTTCTTAAAATTACTGACCAAGTTGTCACAAACGTCCTTGTGCCTGCTTCCTGGAAGGCTGACTCAAGCATGTTTGAGTAGATTCCGAGAAGCATAACTGCTGAGTCACAGGTGGTATGCAGATTTATGAAACTGATAGTGCCTAGTGCCCGCCACAGTCTGTTTACCTTCACCCATCCCTGTGAATGAACCATGTCTAGGTTCAAGCATGGATGCCCTTGGTATGTGAGTGCAAGCCAAATGTGAACTGCTGCCTCTTCCAGCCCTGGCAGGGGGGCCCAGTGAGCACAGCTTTGGGACAGGTTCACTTTATGTAGAAAGAGAAGCTGCCTGAGGTCAGAAACGACATGGATTGGAGGGCAGGGGTGAATGGTTCACTTGTGAATGAGAGAGGGCCAGGCATGGTGGCTCACACCTTAATTCCAGCACTTCAGGCTGAAGCTGGAGTATCACTTGAGCCCAGGAGTTTGAGACGAGCCTGGGAAACAAAGTGAGACCCTGTCTCTATAAAAACAATTAACAAATTAGCCTGGCGCGGTGGCATGTGTCTGTGGTCCCAGCCACACCAGAGGCTGAGGCAAGAGGATTGCTTGAGCCCAGGAGTTGAAGACCAGCCTGGGGAACACAGTGAGAAGAAAGGGGTGGAGGGAGGAAGAAAGGGAGAACGGGAAGAAAAAAATGAAAGGAAGGAAGAAAGGAAAGAAAAACGGAAGGAAGAAAGAAAAGGAAGGGAGCAAGGGAGGAAAGGAAGGAAGGAAGGAAAGAAAGGAAGGAAGGAAGGAAAGGAAGGGAAGGAAGGAAGGAAAGGAAGGAAGGAAAATGGGAGGAGGCAAGGGACCTGGAAGAGTGACGCGGATGAAGGACACTCCAATGTCCACTCCCGTGTCCAGTGGGGAGCCCCGCAGCCAGCAGCCCTGGTTACAGAGGCCCTCCCCTTGCTGCGCTGACATTGGCCGGGACTGCCCGGGCAGAACGGGCAGAACGAGGCTCAGTAGGGCAGGCCACATTCTTCTTGAAGAAAGTGCAGGGAGAACACACCTCTGAGGCTGCCACAGGCCTCCAGGGATTTACCCCCAGACTCAATCAAAGCATTCATAAAAATACAAACATGCAGGCAGTCCTCACCTGCTCAGGCCGCCGTCACAGATCACCCCAGGCTGCGGGGCCTAGCACAGAGATTCATCTTCTCCCAGTTTTGGAGGCTGGGGTCCTCATGAGGCCTTTCTTCCTGGTGGGCGCATGGCCTGGTTTTGCCGTGTCCTCTCATGGAGTTCCCTGGGGTGTGAGGGTGCAGAGAACGAGCTCTCTGGCGTCTCTTCTCACGAGGACACTAAAGCTATCGGTTCAGGGCCCACCTTTATGACCTTCATTAAACCTAGTTACCCCCTAAAAGCCCTGTTTCCAAACGCAGTCACATAGAGGGCAAGGGCTTCAACTGACACATCTAAAGGAGGCACGATCCCGTCTCTAACCCACGCACACGTTGAACAGAGGGCTCGGTAAGTCAATTATGATGCATATATAGACCAAAATACCACGCAGACATTAAAAATCTTGTATTCTAATGCTATTTATTATCACAATAAATAATTCACTGCAAATGACTGCATGAAAAATGTGGGTTCCAGAGCACCATGTATAAAATGATCCCATTTATGTAGAACTGTAAACATACATCCACACACTGACGGACAGGTACATATGCATGTTTGGGGAGGGGTCTGGAATGATCACCCAAGTGGACAGGGTGAGGGGTGGTTTCCTGTATTTTTTACAATAAGCATTTATGACTTTTACAAAATCACCAAAGCTATCACTTTTTCCATTTAGAAAACACAAAATTATTTTTAAATAGAGACTTGACGTCATTTGACACACCTTGGTTTTCTCTCGGAGAGCACAGATGCCGCAGACAAGAGGAGCGGACCCGCCTCCCAGACTCCTGCCTGCCCCGTCCCTCCCCCGCAGGTGGCACTGGTGAGCCGGGAAGGTGCTGCCAGCCCCAGGATGCCTCGCACAGCCCGGGCTGGAAACCCCTGCCCCTGCTTCCTCGCACAGTCTGTCATTCTAGAAGGCTCTCTCCAAACCACTCTTCCAAAGAGGGTCATGCCAGGGAACAGCAGCGAGGTCATTTTCCAGTCATCCCACAGGAAGCCAGTGAGCCCCACTCCCACTGCCGTGGACCTCCAGGCCTGGCTTCCTTCTCTTCCCTGGGTTACCTGCTCAGGGGTTTCTCAGCCAGGCCAGCATGTCTATCAGGCGGCATCCAGCATCCAATCACAGTGACAAGAACCTTCCGGAACACCCTGCAAACTGTGGATGCCCACGGGTGGCCCCATTATGCCTTGAGCAGGGCAACCTTTTGGTCCAGAATGGAGTCTTCTCTGATGTTGTAGGGCTGGGTCCCTGGCTCCTGCCTCAGGTGCTTCTCTGCAGAAAATACAATAAATGTTTCAAGCACTAAAAGCTCAGAAGTGAGGATGGGTCAGTTCACAGGAAGGGATTAAGGAGGGCCTTCCAGAGTCCTGGAAGGTGTGCAGGAAGGAGCTGTGGGCCACCCAGGCCAGTGTCACTAACTCCATGAGGGTCTCACCTGAGTCTCTGTAAGCGTATTTTTCAGGTGACTAACGGCCCTTTCTTACTGCTCCAGGGTACCCTCCCATCCCACGGCCAGGCCACATTCTGCTTATCCACCTCCAGTGCACTGCATCTGAGCTGATTCTACAACAACATGGGTGAATCTCCCTGACGTCACATTGAGCCAAGGAAGTCAGTACAACATCCGCCACCCCTCACTCTCACGGAGCTGACCCAGCTTCAGCTGTGACCTCAGTGGAAGAGGAAGAGGCCTAGCACTGGGGCCTGGGACCCTCTGGCCACTGCTGTGTGGCCTGGGGTGGATGCTCTGCATCTCTGGCCCATCCTCTTGTTGACACCTGCTGCGGCTCAGACCTCCTGCGATTGCTGTCTCAAGGGTCAGCGCCCACCCTGCTCCTGTCCCTCCCGTACCTTCTGTCCCGGGGCTTCTGGATCTCCTGACCCGGCCCTGCTCTGTCCTGATCCCCCGGGATGTGGACTTTCGGCTGGAAGGACATCCTTCCAACCTTCTGCATGAAAAATGTGGGTTCCAGAGCACCAGGTATGAAATGGTCCCATTTACGTAAAACCGCAAACATATATCCACATCCTGACAGGCAGGTACATATGCGTGTTTAGGGGAGGGGTATGGAGTGATCACCAAAGTGGACTGGGGTGGAGGTGGTTTCCTGTTTTTTTTGTTTTTTTTTTTTTTGAGACAGAGTCTCGCTCTCTCACCCAGGCTGGAGTGCAGTGGCACAATCTCGGCTCAGTACAACCTCTGCCTCCTGGGTTCAAGCGATTCTCCTGCTTCAGCCTCCCGAATAGCTGGGACTAGAGGTGCATGCCACCACACCCAGCTAATTTTTGTATTTTTAGTACTGATGAGGTTTTACCATGTTGGCCAGGCTGGTCTCGAACTCCTGACCTCAGGTGATCCACCTGCCTCGGCCTCCCAAAGTGCTGGGATTACAGGCATGAGCCACTGTGCCCAGCTGGTTTCCCATATTTTTTACAATAAGCATTTATGATTTTTACAAAATCACCAAAGCCACAGGATGTCTGACTGTGCCCACCTGCTTCTTCCAGGGTAGAGAAGTACTGGAACCCCTTCAGGTCAGCGGACAGCAGGACACGGAGAACGGGGACCTGAGAGACAGACAGACTTTAGCCAGGGCAGGGATGTTCCTCTGTAGCACACGGGTCGGCAGCCTGGTAGACCTGCCATCTCAGAGTCTCCCGGAGAGGTATGGCTTCACCTCCATACCAGTGAATGGTGAGAAGAAACGCAGCCCCAGGGGAATGCTGTCAGAGGAAGATTTTTTTTTTTTTAATTTTTTGTTTTTTGAGACAGGGTCTTGCTCATTGCTCAGGCTGGAGTGCAGTGGCACGATCATGGCTCACTGCAGCCTCAACCTCCCAGACTCAAGTGATCCTCCCACCTCAGCCTCCTGAGTAGCTACAGGTGCACGCCACCACGTCCAGCTATTTTTTCCTATTTTTTTGATGGGGTTTCGTCATGTTGCCCAGGCTGGTCTCAAACTCCTGGCCTCAAATGATCCTCCTACCTCGGCCTCCCAAAGTGCTGGGATTACAGGTGTGAGCCACAGCGCCTGGCCCAGAGGACTTTTTGTTTGTTTGTTTGTTTTTGAGATGGAGTTTCACTCTTGTTACCCAGGCTGGAGTGCAATGGCGCGATCTCGGCTCACTGCAACCTCTGCCTCCCGGGTTCAAGCGATTCTCCTGCCTCAGCCCCCTGAGCAGCTGGGATTACAGGCGTGCGCCACCATGCCCGTCTAATTTTTGTATTTTTAGTAGAGACGGAGTTTCACTATGTTGGCCAGGCTGGTCTCAAACCCTTGACCTCCCGCCTCGGCCTCTCAAAGTGCTGGGATTACAGGTGTGAGCCACCATGTCTGGGTCAGAGGAGTATTTTTTTAAGTGAATCATCTCCAAAGACCATGAAGACATGTGCTCTGCAAATATGACACAGGACGTAACACTTATGAGCGAAGTTCTGAAGGCACATGCCCAAATCTGAAGCCGGGCCCACCATCCTGTGTGACCGTGGGCAGATTACCTGGCTTCTCTGGGCCTCAGTGACCTCTTCTGGACATGGGGATGAAGATAACACTAGCCTCGTGGGCCAGGTTGGGAATGAAGGAAACTCTGACAAGGGTCGGCTGTGGTCCACACCTGGGGTATACGGGTCACTTGGCCTCCTGTTCCATGGCTAGTTCATGAATGTCTCCTCTGGGCGCCTGGGGACACGCCCTAGTCCCCCACGTTCTGCCATCTAGGACTTGGCAGAGAGCGCACATTTAACCACAGCAACAGAGACCCCTGCCTCTCTGCAAACACTGGCCACACCCCTGGGATGTTGACCCTGCAGTGCTCAGAAGGCTCCTAGGTGAGGCCTAAGACGCAGGGCCTGGGACCCAGCCCTTACACTTTACCTGTGGCTCTGAACAGGACGGCCTCCATAGAAACCCGTCTTCAGCCTCTGGAAGCCCTGACAATACGTTTTTCATGAAATTCTATGAGCACCTGTTTTTTTTCGTTTGTTTGTTTTTGAGATGGAGTCCCACTCTGTCGCCCAGGCTGGAGTACAGTAGTGGGATCTCGGCTTACTGCAACCTCCACCTCCCAGGTTCAAGCGATTCTCCCAGCCTCCCATGTAGCTGGAATTACAGGCGCTCGCCACCACACCTGACTAGTTTTTTTTTGTATTTTTAGTAGAGACGGGGTTTCACCATGTTGGCCAGGCTGGTCTTGAACTCCTGACCTCAGGTGATCTGCCCGCCTTGGCCTCCCAAAGTGCTGGGATTCCAGGAGTGTGCCACCACGCCTAGCCTCACCTGTCTCTTTTTGTTTCCTAAAATACAATTCCCCTGAGAGCAGGGACTGACCCTCGTTCACTGTGTGTCCCCAGCACAAAGGACAGTGTGGCAGTGACCAGAAGCCATAACGTGACCCCTCGGAGGGCTGGGGGCCACCGCTCCCCCTTCCACAGGGAGGGACGAGGAAGGCCAGATGGGAACAAGAACTGTTTAAATCAGAAGCAGAGCCAGCACCGGCCGAAGGGCCGTCCAGCATCACAGCCCAGAGATGTCACATTCGCCATGGGAGGCAGGCACAGGAAGGCCTTCCGGCAGCTGCTAACCCCTAAGGCAGCCCAGTGCACACCCACCTGCAGGCCCACAAAGGCCAGGGCGACGCCCTGCTTCTGGAAGTCCTGGAGGAGCTCGCCGAGTCCCAGCACCACAGTGTAGTCGATGCTGCAGACATGGGTGCACTCCAGGACCAGGCAGCGTGGCGGGGACACTGGGGAGACAGGCCCGAGCCAGGTCACGCCACCCAGAGCAGCCCAAAGCTGCTCTGCAGAGGCCAAAGGAGGCTCTGGCCAGGGGCAGGGGACAGAGAGGCCAGAGTGCTCCATCTCGTGGCGGCTGAGTCGCCCAGTTGGGGGATTCGGGTGGCAGGACCAGAGACAATTGTTTGGTGACAGCAGCAGCTGTTTCCCTCCTAGGACTCACAGGCCCTTAGCTCCCCTAAAATCAACCCCCCAGAAACAGGAACCGGACTTTAGGGGCAGGGAAGGAGTGATATGTGGGGGGCCACCACCCTTGCTGCAGCAGCCACTGGCTGAGGCCCACAGAGGACGGTCCAGCCCACTCAGAGATGCCTGCATCCTTGTGGACTGGAGAGCGTTGGGGACAGGGTCTTGGGGTCCTGAACAGCAGGGAGTGGGGGGCAGAGGACAGGGGAGTGACCTCAGACCACCTTGACCCCCGCCCATGCACCTTCCAGGGCCCGGCTTAGGATCTCCTCCCGCAGAGCCTCCATGGCAGGGAAGGACAGGCCGCTGGCCGGCTGCAGGACCAGAACCGGCCCCTCTGACACCTGTGGGGAGGAGTGAGTCCTGGAGGCGGGTCTGACCGGGTGGCCTCCACCAGGCTTGGCCTGTCCCAAGCGGGAAGCCCCCACCCAACCTAGTGTGCTGCAGGGGACCGGGAGAGGGGTGCTAAGGGGAGACCCCCATGGCCCCCACACAGTGGGAGAACACCATGGTTTATAGCAAGGTGACTGCCCACCTGCCAGCGAGCGGTCCCCTTCAGCAGCACCCACGACCACAATCACCCCGGACCCTCAAAACATAAGACCATGCCCAGGAATCCTGCCCCCAGCACACTCCCCACTCAGAGGCCACGGAGGGGTACCTTGGTCTCAGGCCTGGCTGCAGAGTGCAGGAGCATGAGCAGAGACACCAGGGCCCCGGCCAGGATGCCGTACTGCACCTCCCAGAAGCACAGCAGGAAGGTCACGCACAGGGGCAGCAGGTCCAGCCCTAGGAGAAGGGCACAGCTGAGGAATGCCCGGCAGCTGCCCGAGGCCCCAACATGGCCCTGCTGACCAGCGGGACAGCTTTCTGCCCCCCACATATGAGTAAAGGTGCTCATGGACCCCAAGCAGCCCCTGAGGACTTGGGGACAGCAGCTGCTGACCAGGCCATGCTTCAAGTCGAAAGAAAGAAATGCCCTCCCCATCTGAGCTGAGCGCAGGTGAGACCTGCCGGCCGGTCCCTGGCCTCCAACCTCAGGGAGGGCAGCAGCAGGGGCTTGTCAGGGCACAGAGCTGGCCTGAGGAGTGGGGCAGGGACCACGTGAGCCCTTGAGACCTGGCCAAGGAGAAGGTGCCCTGGGGACAAAGTGCACGGGCTTAGCCCTGTGGGGGATTCCACCGCACGCATAGGTCAGGCCTGCCCCACCCTGGCTGAGCCTTGGTTTCTAGCAGCAGCGGCCATCCCATTCCACGCCGGCACATGAACACGTTTCAGGGCTGTTCTAAAGCCCCAGCGCACTGGCACGCGAAAGGCCCTGGCATGCGACGGGCATGCAAGAAAATTATCCATCCTTTCACCTGGCAACTTGCTGGGGCTAACCAGAAAATGCCAAGTAAGCTAGGTGAACCCACTCCATGCTTCTTCCACAAACAAAACAAAATGTGTTAAGTTAAAGGAACTGCTCCCGTCCGGGAGGTGAGGGGCGCCTCTGCCCGGCCGCCCCTACTGGGAAGTGAGGAGCCCCTCTGCCCGGCCACCACCCCGTCTGGGAGGTGTACCCAACAGCTCATTGAGAACGCGCCATGATGACAATGGCGGTTTTGTGGAATAGAAAGGGGGGAAAGGTGGGGAAAAGATTGAGAAATCGGATGGTTGCCGTGTCTGTGTAGAAAGAAGTAGACATGGGAGACTTTTCATTTTGTTCTGCACTAAGAAAAATTCCTCTGCCTTGGGATCCTGTTATCTGTGACCTTACCCCCAACCCCATATTGTCCTATGACCCTGCCAAATCCCCCTCTGCAAGAAACACCCAAGAATGATCAATAAAAAAAAATAAAAATAATAATAAAAAAAAAAAAAGGAACTGCCATTCTGAGCCAGGGTGCAAGGCTGTTCCGCTGGCCCTGCTGGTCACCAGGGACGTCTCCTGTCCCTCCCCCAGCTGGGCCGGGCAGAGTGGTGGCTGGAGGCGGGTGGCAAGGAGGGTAGGGATGGGGGCAGGGGGATCAGGAGGGGACCCTCCCCCGGGTCAGTGCTCGCCTCAAGACCCCAGGTGTCAGGACAAGGAGCTCCAGCTCTTCCCACTGAGCCTCGGGACCATCTCTGGGGCCATCTCCTGGCCATCCACTTCTCTGTTCCGGGACTGCCCTAACTTCCCAGTCCCAGCCCCACAGAGGGGGCTGCAGGAAAATGGGGTAGCATAAATGACACCCTCCGCGTTCAGACACCGCATCACAGCGCTCTCCCCTGTAGGACAAGGACGTACTCTTAACACGCCAGAGCGTCCTGAAGATCTTGGTGTCGAACAGCGGGGCCACGGCCATGATGATGACGGCAGCCAGGGCAGACTTGGGGATGTAGTAGAACAGTGAGGTCAGGTAGTCCAGAGACAGCAGCACCAGCACTCCTGCGGGGCACGGGAACACAGGTGACCTCGGGAGTGCAGGGTCCCCCCAGCACGCAGCGTAGCAGCCTCTTGTTCAGCAGAGCCCACTGGGGACAGGGGTGGGGGTAGGGCGACGACTGCCAAGGCCCCCAGCCCCTGCTCAGTCTCCTGTGGTCCCCCTACTCCTGTGTGGCCCCCCAAGTCCCTGTGCAGTCCCGGGGCGCACGGCCCATGAGCCAAAGGGACGTCTCTGTGGGCCCCCTCCTCCCTTTCTCCCACTCTCAGGGCTGCGGGCACAAGGGGAAGATGGGGGGCCTTACCCGTCACCAGGCCCCCCGCCGGGGTGCACACCCCCGACTGAGCGTTCACGGCTGTCCTGGAAGGCAACACAGAGACCGTCAGTCACCAGGGGCCGGGAAAAGGGAGACCTCAGTCCACACTCCTGTGGCTGATCTTCCGAGGGGACGTCAGCTCCCAGCACGGCTTGGGAAGCAGGCGGGGACTGCAAGGGGACCGAGGCAAAGAGACTTAGGGTGCAGTCACAGACAGCCGCGCTTGGGCCACCCTGACTATAGGAAGAAGCTCAGGAAGCACGTGTCCTTTCAGGTTCCTGCCGACTCTGTCTCCTGCCCCCATCCAGGTGGGGCCCCCATACCCAGCAGGGCAAGGGTCACCAGCTGGGGGACTGGGCAGTGCCAGGTGACGCCTCCTTCTCTCCTTTAAGCCACAGGTCACCTCCATCCTGTTGTCCTGACTGAGGAGGGGCCGTAGGGCATCTGGGCTAAGCTTCATGCCCGGCTGCTTCAGGACAGAGCCGAGGCCCTTCCTATCTCCACGTCCTTTCAGGAATTGACTCTGGCACCAGGAGCTAGGAGGGCTTTGGCGTGCTGGGAACTTTCTAGTATTTATTTTAGAGACAGGGTCTCGCTCTGTTGCCCAGGCTGGAGTGCAGCGGTGCGGTCACAACTCACTGCAGCCTCATCCTGCTGGGCTCAAGCGATTCTCCTGCTTCCGCCTCCAGAGTAAATGGGATAACAAGGGTGTACCACAATGCCCAGTGGAACTTTCTAGTATGAAACTGCAGGACGATCTATGAGAATAAAGAAACAGAGAACACCCTGGAGGACAGTGGGTGACCCCCAGCCCTGCCTCTCCACGGAGCGTTCACAGTGGAGGACGGGGCGCCGGGGTCAGGGCAGGCAGACTCCTTGTCAGCGTAACAACGTTAGGGCGTCCAACGTGGGCAAACAGAAGAGGCGGACAGGTCACTCACCGTCCAAAGCTGCCTGTGACCGGGTAGGAGGAGACGAGGGAGCCCAACATGTTGGTGAGACCTGGGGAGGAGGCAAGACAGGCTGATCGTGGAGGGAAGGCACACAGGATGGAGGGAAAGGAGATGGGGAGGGGGACAAAAACCCAGAAGGGAGGCAGGAAGGCAGGGCTCGGGAGAATCATCCTGGGGGCCTGGGCCTACGCACTCCTTCAGGGAAGGAAGAAAACAGGCCACATTCTTGCAGACGTAAAGCCTAGCCTTTTTTTTTTTTTTTTTTTTTTTGAGACAGAGTCTGGCTTTGTTGCCCAGGCTGGAATGCAGTGGCGCGATCTCAGCTCACTGCAGCCTCCGCCTCCCAGTTCAAGCGATTCTCCTGCCTCAGCCTCCTGAGTAGCTGGGATTACAGGCACACACTACCACGCCTGGCTAATTTCTGTATTTTTAGTACAGACAGAGTTTTGCCATGTTGGCCAGGCTGGTCTCAAACTCCTGACCTCAGTGATCCACCCGCTTCGACCTCCCAAAGTGCTGGGACTACAGGCATGTGCCACCACACCCAGTTAATTTTTCTATTTTTAGTAGAGACAGGGTTTTGCCATGCTGGCCAGGCTGGTCTCAAATGCCTGACCTCAGGTGACCCATCCGCCTCAGCCTCCCAAAGTGCTGGGATCACAGGAGTGAGCCACCATGCCTGGCAAGATCCTAGCTTTCAAACACTTCTCACCCAGCCTCTCCTGTGTGACCAGGACACGCCTTCCCCACGCAGAACAGAGGGGAGCATCTCACCACCCAGGAGGGGGTGAGAGCTGAGATAAAGTGCCCGTAAGACAAACCCTAGGTACTCGGGAGGTCAGTGGCTGCCCACCGTTCTCCACCCAGTTCCTTTCCGTCTCACGAGATGACAGCCACAGTGAGGCCAAGGTCATGGCCAGTATGCTGCCTCCCCAGGTGATGCCGGCTGCCTACAACAGACAAAGCCCACGCCCACAGCATTGCTGGGGCCCAAGAACGGGGATCACTGCTCAGGTTGACCCACGCTCCCACCAGCATCTGTCTCACCTGGGGCATCACTAAGACCAGAATCCCTCCTGCTCGCTAAGACCCACAGTGGGGTCTCAGGTCTCACAGGTGCAGGGCCTGCTCTCAAGGCGGCTCGGCCTGGGGCCAACTCAGTATCAGGGCATCCCGGGTGACATGGCCCAGCTCACGGCCCTGAGAGAGATGGGCTAGGGCAAGGAAATACAGGCGTGGGAGGGCTCGGTAGAGGCCCAAGGTGACCACAGGCTGCAGGGGATCATCCTCATTCTACAGCAGCTTGGGCTGGGGACCCAACTCTGTGAGCCGAAGCTGACCAGCGCAACCCCTCCCAGCCTGGCCTTCATGGGCTCACGTCAGCCAGCTTCTTGCTGTGCGGCTGCTGAGGCCTACCTGGCCTATCTGAGATCAAGGAATCCCATGGCTGCCATAGTAACCTTGACCTTCGCTCGGTCTGTGTTGTATCCCTGGAACTCAGGGTGCTGTCAGAATAGATCTGTGGTATTTTTAAAGTAATGGGAATAGGGCCAGGGGCTGTGGCTCAGGCCTGTAATCCTAGCACTTTGGGAGGCCAACGCGGGCGGATCACCAGAGGTCAGCAGCTTGAGACCCGCCTGGCCAACATGGCAAAACCTCGTCCTACTAAAAATACAAAAATCAGCCAGGCTCAGGGGCAGGTGCCTGCAATCCCAGCTACTCAGGAGGCTGAGGCAGGAGAATCGCTTGAACCCAGGAGACGGAGGTTGCAGAAAGCCGAGACCGTGCCACTGCACTCCAGCCTGGGCGACAGAGGAAGATTCCGTCTCAAATAATAATAATAATAATAAGTAAAGTAATGGGAATGGGATGCTCTGGGAAATCACATTTGGAAGATTTACTGGTGGGGTCTTTGAGGAGGCCGTGGATTTTCTCAGCCTGAAAGTGCGTGATTCCCAGGAAGCCCAAGCTCCGCCACTCAACTGGACAATGCCCCGCTCTCCATGGCTCAGAGAGAAGCCCGGGCAACGTCCCTTTGTGACCCAACCTGGGTCACTCACTTTGCTGTCAAGAAGCCAAATGGCTCTCGTGAAATTGTCAGGGTGGACACCCCTTGGGAAGAAGCCCATGGTGCTTCCTGGGTTATCCTGCACCAGTCTCATGAGGGGCGAGAAGGAAAGGCAGGAAGGCCTGGGACCCACCATTTAGTTATGATAACTGAATTTAAGATTCACACTGGGCCAGGCGCGGTGGCTCACGCCTGTAATCCCAGCACTTTGGGAGGCCAAGGCAGGCGGATCACGAGGTCAGGAGTTTGAGACCAGCCTGATCAATATGGTGAAACCCCGTCTCTACTAAAAATACAAAAAGTAGCCAGGCGTGGTGGCACACGCCTGTAGTCTCAGCTACTCGGGAGGCTGAGGCAGGAGAATCGGATGAACCCAGAAGGCAGAGGTTGCAGTGAGCCGAGATTGTACCACTGCACTCTAGCCTGGGTGACAAAGCAAGATTCAGTCTCTCACACACACAAAAAGATTCACACTGTGGTCTCGAAATATACCACTAAGAAGTCAGCCCGCAGAGACGTAACAAAAGGGAACTAAACCGTGAAAGCGGGCATGACCCCCATCCACAGGCAGGCAACTTGGGGCCCCCGAGTCTTCATGAATCCACCTGCCCCTGCCTGGAGGGAGGCACAGGGCAGGGTGCGGGCACAATCAGAAGACTCCTCTCGATTCCCCCGGCCACAGCCTTCCCCTCTTGACCCCCGGCACTAGGTGCTCCCTCCCCGAGGTGGGACATTCCAGGTGTTCCTGGATCTAGACCAAGGCCACAGACCTCAGGGTCAGGTACACAGCAGGTGCTCAATAAGTGGTAGAACAGACAACAGATGTCAGCTCCTTGTTCTTAGGGGTTAAACTGAGCAGTGTGGAGGTCTGGGAATGAGTCCTTGTTAATATTCTGGAAGAGCCAGGCGCAGTAGCTCATGCCTGTAACCTCAGCACTTTGGGAGGCCGAGGCAGGCAGATCACCTGAGGTCGGGAGTTCGAGACCAGCCTGGCCAACATGGTGAAACCCTGTCTCTACTAAAAACACAAAAATTAGCCATGCATGGTGGCATATGCCTTTAATCCCAGCTACTTGGGAGGCTGAGGCAGGAGAATCACTTGAACCCAGGAGGCAGAGGTTGTAGTGAGCCAAGATCGTGCCACTGCACTCCTGCCTGGGCAACAGAGTGAGACTCCATCTCAAAAACCCAAAACAAAACTAAATATTCCAGAAGATCCCATCTGGGGCCACCTTTGCCCTCCCAGTTCATCACCACCATCATGGTCTTCCTACAATGCAGGAGACACAGAGGGGCAGGCCTGGGACCCTGGAGGCCCACAGCTGGTGTCTTCCTTCCCGCGGCTGGGGTCTTACCGATGGCCAGCAGCTCCTGGTTGGCATCGATGCGGTAATTATTCTGAGATGCTAAAGGGAACCAACGGTAAAGACCTGGTCAGTAATATTCAACATCGCTCAAAAAGTATTCACAAAATGTAACACAGATTATGAATTTCTACACACGGCAATAAGTTTTGTAAATCTAAGAATACACATCTAAAATATTCACATATATGTGCGTGTAAACATGTGCTTGAATGTATCACAGAGTGGAAAGAGGTACAGTACCATGTAATCAGGCCAGGTATGGTGGCTCACAGCTATAATCGCAGCACTTTTAGAGGCCAAGGCAGGAGGATCGCTTGAGCCCAGGAGTTCGAGACCAGCCTGGGCAACATGGCAAAATCTCATCTCTACAAAAAATACAAAAATTAGCCAAGCATGGTGGTGTGTGCCTATAGTCCCAGATATTCAGGACGCTGAGGCGGGAGGATGGTTTGAGCCTAGGAGGTTGAGGCTGCAGTGAGATGAGATCGTGCCACCGCACTCCAGTCTGGGCGACAGAGTGAGACCCTGTCTCAAACAACAACAAGAAAACATGTAAGCAGTAGTTAATTGTGGTAGTAAAAGGGATTATGGGTGATTTGTCTCTTCTTTACTCGTTTCTGCACTCTTGACATTTTCTACAATGAATGTATATTAATAAACACAGCCATTATTACCAATTAAATTAAAACTTTCAATTAAACAGATAGTACAGGATCTTGTTCTGCCACCCAGGCTGGAGTGCAGTGGCACTATCACAGCTCAATGCCACCTTGACCTCCTGGGCTCAAGTGATCCTCCTGCCTTAGGCTCCTGAGCAGCTGGTACCACAGGTGTGGTCCATGCCCGGCTAATTTTATTTTCAATAGAAATGAGGTCTTGTTAAGTTGCCTAAGTGGGTTTCAAACTCCTAAGCTCAAGCAATCCTCCTGCCTAGGCCTCCCAACGTGTTGGGATTACAATGCTTTTTATAATAAGAAAACCATTTTATTTTATTATTTTCATTTTGTTAGATGGAGTCTTGCTCTGTCACCCAGGCTGGAGTGCAGTGGAGTGATCTTGGCTCACCGCAACCTCTGCCTCCCGGGTTCAAGAGATTCTCCTGCCTTAGCCTCCTGAGTAGCTGGGACTACAGGGGCATGCCACCACGCACAGCTAATTTTTGCATTTTTAGTAGAGACGGGGTTTCACCATGTTGGTCAGGCTTGTGTCGAACTCCTGACCTCAGGTGATCCGCCCACCTTGGCCTCCCAAAGTGCTGGGATTACAGACGTGAGCCACTGCACCCGGCCGAGAAAAACATTTTAAACTGGAAACCTCT